>NC_000020.11:39648052-39951082 GCF_000001405.40 Homo sapiens | reverse complement strand
GCAGCATCAACAACATGGCACTTGCATGAGTGACCTCATGTAACCTCCACACCTTGTGGGAGGGGGACATCCTCACCTCTCTGATGTAGATGTGGAAATTGAGGTTCTCAGTTTAGCAACTTGGCCAAGGCCCCATTTTCATATGTGTTAGGGTCAGGATTCAGCTGCGGGGCTCTGAAAGGCCAGACAGTGCTTCTCAGGCCTGTTTGTCCCTGGCTCCTACATCCAAGATGGTTATTTCTGGCCCTATTATTTGTTACCCATGTCCTCTCCTTGCTTCTCTTCTCCACCTGAGCTCTGTCTCCCTGAAGATCCTTTAAAAATATCCCTGTACAGTGTTCTTCCTTTTTTTTATGAATTCTCTTAAAGAACATTTCTCGGGTAACTACCACATTGTAGGCTTTGGGTTAGCTGTTTTCACTTTGCTTCAGTACCCAAACGAATCCACCCTATACAAAAACAGTAGAGACTGCAATTCACTGAGTTCAACTAACATGCAGAACATCACACGTGTAAATAATGAATCTGAGACTTGAGTCCACTTGTGCCTTTCTCCCTCAGACAAAATTCACTGCCTTCCTGTGTGGGATTCCCTAGCAGCTTTGCTCAGATTCAACATTCACCATAGTGATTGGCATTCATAGGCTCTACAGAGTTGGTGTTGTTTTTTTTTTTTTTTTTGTATGGAGTCTCGCTCTGTCACCCAGACTGGAGTGCAGTGGTGCAATCTCAGCTCACTGCAAGCTCCACCTCCCAGGTTCATGCCATTCTCCTGCCTCAGCCTCCTGAGTAGCTGGGACTACAGGCGCCTACCACCACGCCTGGCTAACTTGTTGTATTTTTAGTAGAGACCACGTTTCACCATGTTAGCCAGGAAGGTCTCGATCTCCTGACCTCATGATCTGCCCCCCCCCTCAGTCTCCCAAAGTGCTGGGATTACAGGTGTGAGCCACAACACCCAGCCAATATTTTTGGACAATGAGTGCATAAATGAATGAATGAATGAATGGGTTTATATTAGCAAGGAATTATAGCTTAGTAGAAAAGCACATGGATTCTGAAACTGGACTGTTGGGGATCAAATCCAGGCTCTGCCACTTACTAGTCATGGGATTGTAGAAAGATGGGCCTCCCCCCCATATGTCTAGCTCTGGCTGGGGCAGAGTTACATGTCTATCCACAACTAAGCACTGGCAAAGGCATAAAACTGGCCAAAGCTGCCTCTCTCTGTTGAGTGTCTTCCATATTTTCTGTCACAGAGATTAACAGCATGGCTTTTTCTCTTTTCATTCAAAGGGAATATGCTAGCCTGCATTTTTTTTCCTAGAATGGGAAAATGAGAATAATATGGAAAGAGATGGAAAGAAAGAAATCAGATAGGATAAAATTAACATTTGCTAAGCCCTTACTAAGTTTTGGGCCCCAGGTTTGCACATTGATGCCCATTCTTTAATTTAAACCTCCCAGCCACCCTTCAAATAGAGAAGTAATATGGATGCAGAAACAGAATCAGAGAGAATGAATTTAATCTGTCCAAGATCACACAGCTAGTGAGTCTCTGGCCAAGATGAATGTGCTTCCAATTGCAAATCTAGTGCTTTCCTCATAACAGAATTAGAAATGTGTGTTCTCTTTATGAAATTCAGCATGAGGGCTTGGGGTCAGAATTGGAAGTCTGGATGAGACTTGGGAGACAATAAACTTTGACTGCAGGGTAGGTCCTCTGTGACAGAAGGAAGACAGATTTCAGGACGTATCATCTGGAAGTGATCTGGCGAACTTTTGCTTCCCTATATCTCTACCCCACCAAACTGAAAGGTAAAGTCAAGAGTCTTGATCCTTAAAAAATCCTTAACATGAAAAACCCCAGAAAGAAGGAGTTAACCATCGCTTTTCTTTTTTTCCCCCAAAATATAAACAGTTAGGGTGTTTTTTTTTCTTTTCTTTTTAAGTGATAAATTTGAGTCTAAAACACAAAGTGGAGAACATTATGTAGAAAGTGCTTATTTTCTTGTGATGTTTGATAGGAATTAGGATTGGCAAAACCCAAACTCTGTTTCCCCTTTCATGCAGCCTGTCATTTTTGTCAAACAAGAAGCTGATTAAGTTTCAATCAAAAGAACAAAAGACTCCAAAAGGATTCTTCTTGGAAAAGCAGTGGCTTTAGCAATTACCCCATGGAAAATACACTTACTGTTGAGCCTGTGACTTAACTCGAATGGGAGTGTGCCCTTTCTGTTTAAACAGTGAGTGTTAGGAACATGCTGACCATCCTAATTTAATCCAACCCTTGACAAACGAGAGAATCTTGTTAACTATTGACACCAAAACTGAGTATTCACTATGTATGTTGGGGAGATTTCCTTTTAGTAACTGTATTTCAGGCCAGTCACTGTGAGTGGACAGAGGAGGAGATTCTATCAGGAGCAAACAGAATGGGTGGAAGGGAGAAAACTTGTGGCTTATTGTAAAAGTGGCCATGTGTTATTTTCTTCTCTCTATC
Source organism: Homo sapiens (assembly GCF_000001405.40). Lineage (NCBI taxonomy): Eukaryota > Metazoa > Chordata > Mammalia > Primates > Hominidae > Homo > Homo sapiens. Next base: position 39,948,579 of record NC_000020.11, on the reverse strand, counting down.
CATGACCTTTGGTAGTGCCATCCCACACTGTCTCTGGACTGCCTATGTGACTTGCTTTGGTCAATGAGAGCCACGCTGATGCTCAGAAAATGAATGCACACATTGAGCTGGCCTTCTCTGGACACTCTTGAGAACTTTGTGACCAGCACCATGTAAATGAGGCCAAGCCAGCCTATTGGGTGATGAAAGATACATAGTTAAATCATTCCAGTAGCCACAGCTCTTTGCGTCAATCATCAGATGTGTGAGTAAGGCCATTCTAGACCACCCAGCCTCAGCCAAGCCATGCCCAATCAGAATCTTCCAGGCAAGGAATCATGAATCTCAGAAAAATCAAGAGAGGTATATAAACGCTTACAGTTACAGAGGTTTGGGGGTGGTCTCTTATGCAGCAAAAGCTAAGCTATCCACTAATCTTCTCTTTGTTCTCTAGATTCCAGCTTCAGTCTGTGGACTAGGTCAGTGAGAGGTTCTAACAAGAATTCAGAATGCCCTCTTTTTGAGATCTACTATCAGAGGCATTCAGGCACAGAATCTGTATTTAGCAATTTCAAAAAGTAGACCCTCTTGTTTACACGGCTTGTCTTCCTGCAGCCCTCATGTGGCTTTGACCCAAGATTAAATTCTCCATCACTGGCTGTTGAAGTCTTCTCCTTTCAGAATTGGGGTATTTTGCTTCTGCCTTACCATTTGACTATAACCCAGCCAGTCTTCAGTTTACAAAGCTCAGTCCTGGTGCTGCCAGGTATGAGGGATTCTGTCAAGAAGAGTGGACAGGTGAGACATCAGGGTACACAAGTCTCTTCTGTTTTGAATTTTTGCATAATTATTGCCGTCATCACCCTCACTCCTCTCACCTCTGGAATCATCCTATATTATAGTGAACTATGTTGAAGGGCTGAAGATTCACGTATTGAAACTTCTTTTCTGTCAGCACCTCAGGCATGCTTCCTGGGTACAACAGTCCACTGTCTGCACTTTCCCACCCCGAGGAATCTGAGTTCTGGTTTGCTTTGAGGAGCTAGCTTTTACTGATACAAACTGGCATGAACAACCAGTCAAATCTGGGAGATCTCATTCTGCCTTCATTTCCTGAGGCCTAGATATCATCAGAATTAAATGTGTTCTCCTGAAATTAAACCAGATTTTATTCCAAAGTCATACCCTGGCCTTTGAAAGTTCCCCAAAACTGTGCACTCAAACAGGTTAGGAAAACGTATCAAACCCACACAGTTCTGAAGGTTCTCTGAGTATTGGAAAACTCCTGAATTTTCTGTGAAATGAGGGAGACAGGCTTTGAGTCCCAGAACAGATCAGCCCATTTTCATATGGTTACTGGGAGAAGCCGTCACTTATGTTTTCCTGCTAGTGGCCAGCCCTGTTCATCTCTGGCCTCACCACAGACTGCCTCCTTGAACTCAGTCAGGAAAGTACATCAGCTCTCAGCTCCCTTTCATTCCTGGCTTTACTCCTTTTTTTTTTTTATTAAAGGAAAGCCAAATAAATGTAACCTGAGGCTTCTCAGGGGACGTTTCATTTCTTGTTGTTGTAAAGCACAGAATGTGCCAGTAACAATGTGGGAAGAACACCATTATAATAAATGAATGATGCCTGCTTCTTAGTCTAATGGAGAAGAAAAATAATGGTGTTCTGGAGGCTTCTAAGACCCCTAGCCTTCATTTGTAGGGCAGAAGGAGAAAACTCCAGCTATGTATCCAAAGAATTCCAGTTTTGTTATGGGTATGACATCATGTTGCTGGTTGTCCATACCATGGCTATTTTTGAGATGCCTGGAGAAAGAGGGCATCCGGTGTCTGGCCCCAGAAAACATCTAAGACAGAAGCTTCTATAGGACCAGTTTTGGAGGGCTCACTTCTGCCACAGTTCTATTAATTCTTTTATTAGATCATTTCTCAAAAGCATTGTAGCTTGAGTCTTGAAACTAGAATGGTTTTAGGTGACAAAACCACCGAGGTCAAGGCTGCGAGTGAAAACTGCTCTGTATCTTAGGGAGGAAGCTCTTTTAGCATCCACCTCTCTTTAGTTTTTGCTTGCTTTAGGTGAGCCAGTCCTCAATTTAGTGTACAGAACTTGAATATTTCCTCCTGAAACCCAGCAGGAAATATTCCCAAGAGTAGAATATGCTGGAACCCCTTCAGACCAACTGAGGCTCCTCCTCACCCAACTGCATGTGTGCATGAATACACACATGTCCATACACATATGTACACACATGTGCATGCACATAGGTTCATCACACATGTACATACACATGTGCATGCATACACAGAAGTCCATACACACATGTCCACACACACATGCACGCACACATGTCCATACACACATGCACGCACACAGGTTCATACACACATGTACATACACTTATGCATGCAGGCACACAGGTCCATACACACATGTATATGCATGTGCATGCACACAGGTCCTTACACACATGTACACACACATGTGCATGCACATGGACCTAAAACTGATATTAGTTTATTCAACAGACATTTATACCATTTCCCGAGTGCCAGTCACTCCTTTAAGTTCTTCTATTGACTCATCTAGTAATTACAACAACCCTATGGAGTAGGTACTGTTGTTAGGCCATTTCACAGATGAGAAAACTGAGGCTCAGTAAGTTTAAGTAATTTGCCTACTGTTATACACATAGTAGAGGGGAGAACCAGGGTTTGAGTCCAGGTAGTCTGCCTGCAGAATTTGTTCTTTTCCCTTTTTTTCTTTTTATTGGGGCAGGGTCTCATTTTCTCACCTGGGCTGGAGTGCAGTGGTGCATTCACAGCTCACTGTAACCTCAAAATTCTTGGGCTTAAGTGACCCTCCCACCTCAGCCTCTCAAGTAGTTAGGACTACAGACTCACCACCACACCCAGCTAATTTTTTATTTACTTTTTGGAGAAACTGGATTTCACTAAACTGGCTGTGCTGGTCTCAAAGTCCTGAACTCAAGTGATCCTCCCATTTTGGCCTCCCAAGTAGCTAGGACTACAGGCATGGGCCACTGCTCCTGGCCTAGAATCTATTATTTTCAATACTACATGTTACTGCCATCTTTGAATTAGAATGGCCACTTCTGCTCTTCCATTTTATTATCTCTGTTGTTTCGTACAACAAAGACCTCACCCTAACATGTGTGCAGGAGATAGTGGCTGCACTGCACTGTCCAATTTAAGTGCTCAGATGCTGTAAGTCTATACTGTCTTCCTTGGAGTCTTTGTAAATGTTGGTTTCACATAAAACTGTGCCTCCTCACAGAAGGGAATGTAGGGAATGACACATGGTGCCTTTTTTTTTCTACACCTTATGATTGGTTATAGCTTAAGATTCACTGGGATATACTTTACCAGTGGGAAGAATCCCTGTGGAAAGGTCCATTCCAGGCTCAACACTGCCTCTCTCCATCCTTCCACCTTTCTTTGCCTCACTGCCTCATAGACTGTTACTGGATGACTGATTATCTCACCCTCACCCCCAGTTAGCACACAGGAGGCTCACCTCTCTTCATCATCTGGAGTTTTCACTTCTCATTTAGGTCAAATTACCAATTACCAAGTCATAGACTTTCACAATTGAAATGTTATGTTGCCTGACATTGACTAAAATCTCTCTGTGAAGACAAAGATCATTGTCTATTTTGTTTGTGTGTGTGTCTAAGTGTGTTTTCCCTCTTTCAGCATTGTGTCCCCAGCACCCATCATGGTATTTGGTGCCTAGTAAGTATGTATTAAATATGTTTTTGATACATACACGAATTTAAAAGGGATTTAATTATTTAACACACATAGTGTTCATCAGCCCTACCCTTACAGAGGTTGCAGTCTAGCAGGGGAGACAGGTGGGTAACTTAAACATCAAAACAGAATGTGATAAATGCTTTGATAGTTAAATACACATATACACACAAATGCACTGCTTATACCAACAAACTTGAAGTAATTACACACACACACACACACACACACACACACACACACGTAATTATAATGCCGTTAAGGTGTTTACCCCCAAGTTTATCACCAGGGATTGGAGAAAGTCTTGGCTAGGAATGGCGAGTATAAACATTTCTCCTCTAATCTGACCAAATTTACTTTTCTTATTTCCTTGTTGTGAATAATCTTTTGATCCTCTGCTTCTTAATGTATCTCATCCATGGGGACAATAACATTCTGATATCAGATTTCAGTCTTACTTCAAAGAATTCTCAGTCTCTGTGTCTGAAAAGGCTTATCTCCCAGAATTAGGGGTACAAAGTGTTTTCCTACCTATAGCAATTTATGTTCCTATTTACTACTGTACAGACCTAAGTTAATGATGAGCTCTAAGGAAGTTCGTTCTTCTCTGACCCCATAATAGCGATAGCCTCTTTCTTCCTATGCCACTTAGTACCTACAGTCAGGGGTGATGTTGAATGCTTAGCCCTAGATGTTATTTGGGGCAGAACATAAAAGTTTTCCCTTGTTACTCATGAAGATCAGTATGGTGTAGGTTGCTTTGGGCCACACTAAATAAGTTGTCCTTGCCTAGAGGAGTCTGGTTTTGCTGTTAACAACTTCTTTTCCATTTTCATAAGTGTTCATCATAGCACACCATAGGTGTTTACTATTTAGCTTTTTTCTGGTTCTTACATACCTTAGTTTTCTGAGGTTTTGTTTGATTCTTCATTATCCTTCACTCCAGCTCCTGCATCTCTTGATTTGGAGACATTTCCTTCTTTGGCTCCGCTTTCTGGACATTCAGGCTTAACTCAAGCTAAACTTTTGGTTTATGGCAGTAAATATGTAAAGGATTTAATTGATTTGAATTTAATTGCATTTAACCAAAGCAATTACATTTTACATGTAAATACATAGGGAAAGGAGTCTGAAGAGAAAAGAGCTTTCTCCACACCAGTGAACATTTGCTTATGCCATGACTCCAAGCGCCAAACAAGTGCTCATGAATGCGGGTGTGTACTGTGTAGGTATGACATGCATGTCTAGGCTGTGTGTCTGAGGCATGACACGATTATTTACCTTGCACATATTTTCTTATTCTTCCTTCTTGATACCCTACTTTTCTTCAGGGTAGCCATGCATCTTAAACCAGACAATGAGTCATGATTGGCCTAAGCTAGTCGTTCTCAACCACAGACGATTTCATTCCCCAGTGGATATTTGGCAATGCCTGGAGACGTTTTTGGTTGTTACACCTGGAGGAGAAAATAGCTGTGAGCATCTGGTAGGTAGAGTCCAGGAGCATTCCTAAATAACCTACCGTGCGCAGGCCAGCTCTCCACAACAAAGAATTATTCATCCCCAAATGATAATGCTGAGGTTGAGAAGCCCTGCTCTAAGACCATCACAACAATTATTTTCACCCTTTTACATCTTTCTTTCTAGCTAAGGGTGGCCATGTGACCCAATTCTGGCCAAGAAGAGGTAAATTGATGTTATTTGTTGATAGATTAGATCTAAGTGTTTGCTTTTCTGGTATGGGGACAAAAGGTCTGAAAAACACTTTTTCCTTTCTGTCTTACTTTGGTCTCAGACATAATGGCTGAAGCTTCAGCAGCCGTCTTGCAACCATGAGGAAAAGGCCAAAAGAATCAGAACAGTCTCAGTCTTTCCATGTTGGAGCTGCTCAATCAAATCCAGCAACAACTTACCTCCATTGCTGTTACATGCTGTAAAAAAACTCCAAATAGATGGAATTTTTCTTGTTGAATGGCTGTAAATTAGGTTTCCTGTTATAACCTCTAAGGATATTTCTGACTAATACAGAATGTGAGAGTATATGTGAAGGAGAAGATATAACATGCACCTCCCTCATTCTCACAGCCCTCCCAGCGTGCTCCCACTACATAGAGGAGTGTAGAAGAATAAAGAATTCTACTTCCTCTCCAGTAAAAGCAAAATGTCAGGACACAGCATTCTGGTTCCAGTAAAGAAGTCATAAGACTGTGTCAGGAAGTCAGGAACTGAGCAAAGGGGTCTGAAATTGAGGACCCTTGAGGGCATAACAGTTGCTTTAGGAAAAGCCTCATGCATTTGCTGCCCATCTACTGGGAATGTAGGGAAATGTGACAGCTCAGTGGGTACAGGTGGACCAAGCATTCACCTGGGATTGACTCCGGGGTTGGGGACAGCCAGGTTTTGAGTTGAGGAGCTTCAACTCAAGAGGTTTAGAAAGCAGGAGTTAGGCCGGGCGCGGTGGCTCACGCCTGTAATCCCAGCACTTTGGGAGGCCGAGACGGGCGGATCACGAGGTCAGGAGATCGAGACCATCCTGGCTAACACGGTGAAACCCCGTCTCTACTAAAAATACAAAAATTAGCCGGGCATGGTGGCGCGCGCCTGTAGTCCCAGCTACACGGGAGGCTGAGGCAGGAGAATGGCGTGAACCCGGGAGGCGGAGCTTGCAGTGAGTCGAGATCGCGCCACTGCACTCCAGCCTGGGCGACAGAGCGAAACTCCGTCTCAAAAAAAAAAAAAAAGAAAGAAAGCAGGAGTTAGATGAGAAATCTCATTCTGGTGGGGCTAGGACTGTGTTCTTTGGTGTGCAGTTCCTACAGAGTTTTCCAGTGGCAACTAGGACAGGTTAGAACTCTATTTTATTTCAGATATGTGTGTGGGGAGATCCAGAGATGTTCCTTCGCCTTGAGAAGAGTTGGATATTACAAAACTCCGTGAGCTCTTTAATAAGCAAAAATAACCCTATCTTGTAAATGTCCTCATCACCGAGGTGTGTGAAAGGTCTGGGGTAGAGCTGGCTGAACTAACTCAGCAGGAAATTGTTTTATGAAAATACAGACTCCTACTGAGATTGCTTGTATTTCAGTCTTAATTCAAACAGCTGCAGAAACATCATTCATGGGTGTGAATCAAAATGATACAATTTGCCATCTTTTCTCTTGAGGAAGACACTGGCTTCTCTCAAGGGCTCTTTAAAATTAAATTTCTGGAGCTACCATGAAAAAGTTGTTTCCTTGGCCTCAATCATTTTTGTCTGCAGCAAACACATTATCCTTCATAGCAGTGTTTTTTTCTGTCAGTTGACCCACTGTGTAGGATGAGGGTGTTCTGAAGTCTGGGGGTGGCTGTGAATCCCCAGATGTAGAACAGAGGGAAGTTGGAGTGGATGGAACTTGTTTACTTCCTGCAGCGCTCTGCAGCTGGATTCTTACCAGCTATGGATTTGGAGTGCCTGCTGGAATTTCACTCCAGCTGCCAATGGATGTGGCAAAATGTTCCCATCTTACCCATACCTTGCCATCCCAAGGCTCTGGAAAAAGAACAGCACAAAAGCAATGTGGAATTATCACTGAAGGAAATCAACTATTATAATCTTCAGCAATTGATGCTTCAAAGAGTGACTTAGGACTGGTGTTATTTCAGAGTAGAGTAAAGAAAATCTGAAGCTATTCACTCACTTAATTATAATGACTTTGAGTAGATACACCAGGTACTCAGTACCTACTATGTGGCAGTCACTGTGCAAAGTGCTTTGCATGCATTTGCTCATGAAATTCTTACCACACCAGCACAAACTGCATAATAAGAAAACTGAGAAATGAAAATAGTAAGTGACTTGCCCAATTTTAGTTGGTAAGGTTTGATCTCAGGGAATCTGGCTCCAGAAATTGCTGTCTGAAAAACTCTGGCACCTGGTCACCTGCTCCATCTGACTTTGGTTTTGGAGAAATCTCAGTGTTAAAATTGCCAGGGTACACCTGTAGTTCATTTTAGATATTAAAGCCTTTATTCAACTGAATTGCTGAGAGTAATTTTTTTAATCGTCTGCCTTGATTTTCAAGTTATAACAAAATACCCAGATTCATATCTTTGTACAGGGCAGAGGCAAAGAGACTATATTACATTCTGGTGGCCTCAGTAAAGCAGATTGCCATTTGGAAAGGAGATGACCCTGATTTTTCGGCTATTGTTTTGTGCCAGGTCTAACCATGACTTTGGGCTTCCCAGACAGAGTTAATGAGGTAAAAGTCAGTATCTCCTTGTCTACAAGCTACATAGATGCTGTGGCCTGAACAGGCTGAGGGGAAAAGAGTGAGCATTCACCTTAGGAGGATAGAAGAAAATCAGGTGCCTCCAATTGCCATCTAAGAGGGAATGGGGAGTTGTACAGATCTGGAATAGCTGTAATAATTATAAAGTATGTAACATCCCCACATTTCTTTTTCCCTACTATTTTTTTCCAATTTCCTTATCCACCCTGCTGAAGTCAGTGTCTGATTCCCTGCTTCCTCTTCTATTAATGTAAATAATGCACATCAGATAAAGACAGGCATCAGTGAGGTGGTCTGCAACACATTTCAGTGTAACACAGAGTAGAAGAAATGTCTATGGATAAGGTCATTTGGGTTTTCTGTTTGTTAGAAAATAATAGCTGTTCCTATCCTTCCGTGAAAGATGCCATTCATTCCTTTCCACCTGTCCATTACATTCATCCATCCATCCCTCCATCCCTCCATCCCTCCATCCATCTATCCATCCATCCATCCATTAATCCATCCATCCATCCATCCATCCATCCAACCATCTATCCATCTGTCCATTCATCCATCTACCCATCCATCTGTTCATCTCTTAACAAGTGTTCATTAAACATTTACTCTGTGTTGGTGATGAGGAGACCAGAGTTAAGACAGAGTTCCTGCTGTCTTAGAGCATATTATCCAAAAGGGAAGACAGAATTATTGTCAAATACACAATGAATAACATATATATCCCATTGGAATGAGAGTTATACAGAGAAGTTAAATGAGGTAGTGTGTTAGAGAGTGAGGTTAGATTGTGTCAGGAAAGGCCTCTTGGAAAAGTGGATGTTGTGGCCATGATCTCATGCTGAGAAGAAACCAGCAATATGAAGAGCAGAACAAAATACATTCTAGGTCAGGGAGCTGCTCACACAAAAGCTATGAGGCTGACTCAACCAAGCATGTGTGAGACCCTGAAGGAAATTCAGTGGTAAGCAGCATATTGGCCAAGACAGATAGTGAGACACAAGGTCACAGAGATAGAAAGGGTCAGGAACTGTAGGGCTTCCAAAGCTTAACTAAGGAATCTGATTTTTGTTCTATGCCTAATTGGAAACCACTGGCAGATTTAAGCCTGAGCACGGTATGATCTGTTTAATGTTTCAGTGAGATGTCTATGTCTGGGTACAGAATTGTAAGAGGAGCAGGAACCAGAGTGGGCGTTAAGAGGGCTTTTGCTGCAGCTATGAGACAGGAAGGACAGCTTGGGGGTGGTCTGCAGAATTTAGAGATGTGTGGCAGTGGGCAAATTATGGAGAAGCAGAAGATAGAATGGGGAGATGGGCATGTCACATATGTAGTAGTGGAAACCATGAGCCCTCATTCATCCTTTCATTTTTTCAACAACAACAAAAAATGTATTGAGCACTTGCTTTGTGATGCACCTGGAGTGCAAATATCAGTAACTTAAAATCCCTGACCCTAAGGAACCCAAAGTCCTGGTGGGGAAGACTGGGATATAAACATAATTAAAATACATTTTAATAAATACTGCAATCAAGGGGTATACACGGGGGCTAGGAGAGCCCAAAGTAAAGACTGATTAACTCTGTTTTAAAATTAAATAATGTCAGCCTTTTGACAGACATTATTTTTATTGAATTCTATCCATTGGCCTACTGAGTTGGATTAATGTAAAGAAAACTCAATAAAATTTATGTCAGTCAAATGTTTGAGTTCATGTTCTGGACATAAATTATTTGATAACTCTGGACTACTCACTTTTATTTTCTCCCCATTTATCAAACACTTTAAGTCATTACTACCTTCAACTTTGGACCCAGGAACAGATTGTGATAGTCACATCCTAGCCTCACCATCTCAGTGACTTCTGGGGGTAAAGTAGTGAGTTTGTGGGAGCCAGCTAGGGATAGGTTGCTGATTCTCTAGGGCCCATTGATGATAAGAAAGAGGTTTCACTATTTCCACTTTCTTTCCATTATATTTTATTGGATATAAAGTATATTATTACATACAGACAAAATCATTTTAGGTATGCAGTTTTATGAATTTTAGAAAATATAGAAACATTTTACCGTCATTGATATCAAGATACAAAACATTAATATCAAACCCCCAAAATGTACCCCTTCTTCAACCCCTGGAAGCCTCTGATCTGTTTTCCTTCCTATCATTTTTGCCTTTTGCAGAATGTCATCTAAATAGAATTATGTGATATGAAACTATTTGAGTGTACTTCTTTCACTCAGCCTCAAGCATTTGAGATTCATCCAGCTGTTATTCATGTTAGTAGTTCGTTTTCTTTATTGCTGAATAGTATTCCATTGCATGGACTTGGTACAGCTTGTTTATCAGTTCTGCAGTTGAAAGATGTCGGGGTTGTTTCTAATTTTTGAAAATTATGGATGAAGCCACTGTAACAGGAATGGGAGATTTTTTGTTTAGTTAGTTTTTGATAAACGTAAGTTTTCATTTCTCTTAGGTAAATATCTAGGAGACAAATTGCTGGGTCATACAGTAAGTGTATGTTAACTTCTTAAGAAACTGTCATACTGTTTGACAAAATGGCTGTGTGATTTTGCATTTCTGCCAGCAATTCACAAGAGTCCCAGGTGCTCTGCAAAAGTGCTAGCACTAGTGTCAGAGTTTTTTCATTTCAGCTATTTTAGTGGGTATCTCATTGTGGTTTTAATTTGCATTTTCCTAATAAACTAGTGGTGCTGAGCGGCTCTTCATGTCCTCCTTCCATATACCATCGTCATATAAATGTTCCTCTTTGTTATTCAAATACCAATATGTGTTCAACCTACCCTTTGCAGTACTAGAGATGCAAAAATAATTAAGCCCCAGTGTCTGACCTCAGGAAGTTCCAGTCTAGTAATGCAGATAAATGTATTACAAATGTGAATGTAATGTGAGTGGTTCTGTGGAAATTCCCTGTAAGGTAAGATTATAACCTTTTAGGACAATTGGAAAAATCCTCAAAAATTTTGTGGGGTCTTTAGAATTTAATTTTGAGAGGCAGACTGGGATAGCAGTCCCTGGAGAGGGGATCCCCAGGGAGAGATAGGAATTAAACTTCGATGGCAGAGATGGTGAAGACACTGACCATACTGGAAGAAAAGGGTAGTACAAAGATGTGAAGAACAAAGATGGATTAATAAAAATTGCACAGAACAGAACAGAGATCCATGTTAGTCAGGGAGGCTGCCTGTAGGTTGGTAGGAGATGATGGTAAAAATATGGGTGGATCAGAAGGAAGAACGCTGAGGAGACTTAAATGAACATACAGTTGATCCAACGTTATCTGCTGAGCATGAGGAGAGATGAGGCATGATTCAGGCTTGAATGAAACAGATGAGAAGTGGGCTGAGACTGTCTTTTCTGACTACATTTTCCTCCACAGTCTTGTTCTCCTGCCCTGACTTCACAGCCCAGAGCATCCTGATGGGCCCCAGCCCTTAGCAAAGGATGAAACAGTTTAGTTTCCCCCAGACCTGGGATCCTTCTATCCTCTTCTGGATCTTGTGCTTCTGCCAGCATGCCATGCTCCATGCTGGTGGCAGTCAATTGGACAATATGCATCCTCTTTCCACAACCATCGACACATGGCCATGTTTGTCTTCAGTGGGCTGCCAGCTCAGAAGACCCTAAATATGGAAGGTTTATGGGGCACCTCCCAACACCTTCTTCACTGGAACAATCATGATATGGGACCAGAACGGGATGAGGGCAGGAACCTGCCTCAGAATGCTCAGTCCCCCAAGCAGAGTGCAGCCTATAGGCTGTAAAATGGCCCTGTTGTTCACAGAATCTCAGTTCCATATTGAAAAGACAAAAGGACGATGCAGCGGAAAAAGTCCAGAGAGTGGTGGTGCAGTAACTGCTTTCACCAAGAGCAAGAGTCAGGCAGAAAAGTGAGGCACGAATACTGCAGCTGTCAGATGCCTGAGCTGTGGGATCAGATCACTCAACACAACCATGAGGTTGCCCAAACTCACTGCAGATGGCTTCCAGTTGTTTCTAGGAACCACGCTCTGTGACAGCAATGGGTAACAAGACAGAATAACTTACGGTCTCAGGAGAAAGGTACAATTTGGATTTGTAGCTGATTCTGAAACATGAAGCTTTTGCACTGTCTTAGGTATAAACACCATGTATAAGATATAACTATTACTAGCTAATAATTACTGAGTCCTTTCTATGTGTCAGTCACTCCATTAAGCTTTTTATTTTCATTAAATATTTTATTTGACCTTTGAAAGAGCCATTCAAGTAAAACTTATTTCTCCATTTTAAAGATGTGAAAACTAAGCCTTAAGGAGGCCAAATAACTTGTTCATGGTCAGAACTAGAAAGTGACAGAACTGGCATGCACATCTAGAAGGAAAATCAATTAGAGAAAATGCATTCCTGATCTCTTGTGAGTCGTCTCCTTGTGATGGAGAACAGGCGCCTCTGAGACACTGTACGGATTTCCTCATATTGAAATGAGATTACAGTGACATTTCAGAATTAAGTGATGAATCATGTTGGGCTCGAGAATACTTTGAGCAACAATTGCTACTTTCTTTACACCCTGGCTAACTGAAAAATAATAGAAAGTCAGTTATTTTTATAGACAATTGATTTTTATGCTTATATACCAATATAAACCAAGAAGCTCTAATAAATAACCAAATAAACAAACACGCACTTCTAGAACTAACAAGGTACAATGGTAATGCATGTTTTGTACATTCTGTGTACATATATAAAGAAACATCCACAGCTTCCTTAAGTATCTAATTGCAAAAAAACAGCTATAAATGGGAATGGGGGAGAATGCCCTACTCACACAAGCAACAAAATTCCTTACTAATTAGGAATAAATTGAAAAATGAAGGTACTTGACTCACTAATAAAACCATAAAATCTTAATGAAGGGCATACCAGTTAAAGAAATGGAAAGATGTAACATTATTAGAAAGAAAGGGTTAGTATTTAAAACAGAGCAAATCTCACCAAATTTCCATATATCTTTAATGCAATCTCAGTTGATGTGTCTTCTTGATCATATTCCACTTTCTTTACCTACATTCTCCAGATTTCTGAGATAAACTCTATCCAAAAGTGAAGTTTAATATTCATATCTATATCTGTATTTGTATAGATATAGATGAAGTTATTATCTAGATCAAGATTTAGAACATTCCAGTACCCTTGCAGAATGTCTTATGTTCTCTTCATTAGTTAACCTATTATGGCCTCTATCACCACAGATAAGTTTTGACTGTTTTTCAACTTCATGCAACGGTCATCATTCATATTTGCCTTTTTTCACTCAACCTTAAGTCTGTAAGATGTATTTTGCTTTGCATATAGCCATAATTTATTTTCATTGCTGTGTAATATTCCATTGTTAATGTATATTCTCCACTTTGGGTTGTTTCCAGTTTGGGGCTATTATAAATAATGCTTCTATAAAGATGCCATTGTTGGATATGAACACAGATTTACCTCTCTCTCTGTGTGTATAGATATGTATATAATATATACATATATGTTATATATGTAAGACACAAATATATATATGTAAGACACAAATATATATATGTGTATGTGTATATATTTGAAAGAGAAATTGGTTGTTCATAGAGCATAAATTACAAGTAATATGTAGCTTTAACAGGTACTTCTCAAGAGTTTTTCATTGCTCCCAAAGAGTAATTATGAAACCCAGTTGTTCTACATCCTTGAAATGTATTATTGTCAGCCTTTTTAATTTTAGCTACTGGATGCTGGTGGCATCTAGTCAATAGAGGGTTGCTGCTAAACATCCCACAGTGCATAGGATAACTCCCATAACAAACAATTATCTGGTCTCAGGTATCAATAGTGATGAGATTGAAAAACTCTGGCCTACTCTACATTTCTGAAGGTATTTTCTTGTAGAATCTGCATTGTTTTTCCCTGAACATTGGATTCTATGATTCATCTCAAATTAAATGTGGGAGGTAAGGGTCAATTCTCATTGTTCCAAAGAGATATAGCATAGATCCTGCATATTTATTAAAATGATTGTACTTTCCCCACTAAAATGATACTTTGTTTTTTCATTGCTGGGGAGACCATAAATGTGTGGATTCTGCGAGGTATTGGTTGGGGGGGTCTGGATCTTCTATTTATTTTTCTATGTATTTATTGATATGTTTTGGCTATGTCCCCACCCAAATCTCATCTTGAATTGTAGTTCCCATAGTCCCCACGTGTCATGGGAGGGACCAGGGTGGGAAGTGATTGGATCATGGGGGTGGATTCCCCCATGCTGTTCTTGTGATAGTAAATTCTCACGAGATCTGATGGTTTTATAAGTGTCTGGCATTTTGCCTGCTTGCACTCATTCTGCTCTCCTGCTGCCCTGTGAAGAGGTGACTTCTGCCATGATTGTAAGTTTCCTGAGTCCTCCCCAGCCAGGTGGAACTGAGTCAATTAAACATCTTTTCTTTATAAATTACCCAGTCTTGGATATTTCTTCATAGCAGTGTGAGAGTGGACTAATACGTTTATCCTTTGCTAAGAGCAGAGTATATTCATTTCTGAAACTTTATGTTAAATCTTGATATATGGTCATCCAACTTTATTTTTCTTATTTAAGATTGCCTTAGTCCAGTGTGTGTGTGTACACACACACACAGACATAGATGCACTAAAATCACTTTGTCAATTTCCAAAAAAACTGGACTTTTTATTGAGCGCATTGAGCATATAGACCAATTTGAAGAGAATTGACATCTTAACAATATTAAGCCCTTCAATTTAAGAGCATAGGTCTTTTCTAGGTTCATTGAACAATGTTGTATAGTTTTCAAAGTAGAGATCTTGCATATGTCTTTTGTTAGATTTAGACAGCAATATGTCTGAATTTGGTGCTATTGAAATAATACTTTTAAAATTTAATATTCTACTTGCATGTTCTAGCTTATGAAAACAAAATTTATTTTGTATATGGACCCTATATCCAGTGAACTTGCTAAATTCACTCCTTACTTCCATTAATTTTTTGAGTCTTTCATTTTTCTATATATACAGACATGTTTTCTATGAATAATCATGATTTTTTTCCCAACGTTCCCAGATTTATTTATTTTACTTGCTTCATTCCACTGGCTAGAACATGCAATGTTGAGTTGAAGTGATGATGATGGATATTCTTATTTTGTTTATTATCTCAGAAGTAAACCATTAATATTTTACCACTAACCGTAGACTTTTTTCCAAGGTACCTCTCAGCAAATTGAATTAGGCTTTCCATGCAACAGCAGCACAAGAACAACAGGAGTCATGGCAGGACAAACATTTAGAACTTTTTTTTTTAATTTTTTTGCTTTCTGACTGAGTATTGGTTGAAAGTATCGCAGTCAAAACTGTAACCAAAGGAGGTATTATGCTTCCCAAAAAATCTCAAGGATAAGTATTGCAAGCAACAGTAGTGGTAGTTACGTCTGGCTGTAAAGGAAAGCGTGGAGAGATACAACCAATTAGTCTGAAATTTGGAGATAAAATTTGTCTCCCAGAATATGGAGGCAACAAAGTAGTTATAGATGACAAGGATTATTCTTATTTAGAGATGGTGACATTCTTGGAAGGAATGTAGACAGAAATAAATCACTACTGAAGTGGTATCAACATGAAGATGCCCATTTCACTGAAGTTCTGAACTCTTCTATCATAAATAATCTCCATCTCCCTCTTTTTAAATAAGCTAATTATATCTAAAAAGGTGAGTTAGTATCCTTCTTTTTCTCGTTTGGCATTAAATTCATATGCTATCATCTTGTTTAGATTTTTACATCTATATTCATGAACAATGTTGATCCTTATTTCTTTTATTTTTGTAATATTCTTTACAAGTTTTGGTATCAATGTTATTGTTATTTTCTAAATTGAGTGGCTTGGTAATATTGTTTTTCTGTTCTCTGTTGTTGTTGCATGTTGTATATGTTGTGTGTTAATATTATTTCTTCTTTGAACAGTTTTGAAAAAAAATGCCTAGTGAAGTCATCTGGACATGGAGATTTTTTAAGGAAAAGTTTTAAATTATAGATTCAGCTTATTTTAATGGATATAGGGTTATGTCAATTTGCTAATTTTTTGTCCTGTGTCATTATTGATAGTTCCTTTTTTTCAAAATTTTTTTTCATTTCTTTTAAACTTGCAAATTTATTGGCATATGCTGGTTTCTAATATCGTGTTATGATTCTTCTGATGACTGGATCTGTAGGAATCTTGATGTTGATATTTTGTTTCTTCACACTGTAACAAAAAGCTTTTCTCATTTTTTATCTTGTTCATTTGCTTACTGTATTAGTCTGTTTTCATGCTGCTAATAAAGACATACCCAAGACTGGGTAATTTATTAAGAAAAGAGGTTTAATTGACTCACAGTTAGGCATAGCTGGGGAGGCCTCAGGAAACTTACAATCACGGTGGAAGGGGAAGCAAACACGTTCTCCTTCACATGGCGGCAGCAAGGAGAAGTTCTGAGCAAAAGGGGGGAAAGGCCCTTATAAAACCATCAGATCTTGTGAGGACTCACTCACTATCATAAGAAAAGCATGAGGGTAACTGCCTTTATGATTAAATTACCTCCCATCATGTCCCTCCCACGATACATGGGAATTATGAGAACTTCAGTTCAAGATGAGATTTGGGTGGGGACACAACCAAACCATATCATTTACTCTTTCATTTATATCTTCTTTTAGTTTTTTACTTTCTGTGGGTTTAATTTGCTATGTATTTTCCCTAAATACTCTATGGTAAAACTGAGATTTTTTATTGTTAACCTTTTTTTCTTTTTTAATATATGCATTTTGAAGAATAATTTTCTCTATGAGGACTGTTATGAATGTATCCTATGGTTTTGATATATTATTTTGGAGTTTACTTTAAAATATTTTATAATTTTAATTGTAATTTATTTCTTGGCCCAAGGACTATCTAGAGATGTGTTGCTTAGTTTCAAAATATTCGGAGATTTTCTAGTGACCTTTCTGTTATTGGTCTCTAACTTTATTCCACTGTTGACAGAGGATATGCTCTATGATTTTAGTCCTTTGAAATTTGTTAAGACTTACTTTATAGGCAAGAATATGGTCTGTTTTGTTAAATATTATATGTGCAGTTGATAAGAATGCCTTTTTGTAGTTGCTACAGGTAGTGTTCTACAAATGACTGTTAGTTCAGGTTGGTTCATCTGGTGTTCAACTTTCTATGTCCTTAGTGTTATTTTTGTCTGCTTGAATCATTAGTTACTGAGAAAAGTGTATTAAAATTTACAACTATGATTATCAATTTGCCCATATCTCCATTTAGTAATGTCAACTTTTGCCCATATATTTTGAGGTCATATTATTAGATGAATACAAATTTAGGATTTCTATAATTTCATGGTGCATATCTCTATTACTGTTATCAATAAATAGACCCTTAAAGCCCCTTTAGTTGCATTTGCTCACTAACATGATACTGTGAATTAAAAAATAAAATATTCAAATATGATGGATAAAAAGATACCTCACTGTGGTTTTAATTTGCACATCCTTTATTCATTGCGAAATTTATGATCTTTTTATGTCCTTATTGGCTTTTGCCACTTTTCTACTAGTTTATTTGCATTTTTAATTTTGGATTTGCAAGAATGCTTTATATATTTTAGGTACTAAAACATTGTAGGTTATTCGATTGGCCAAGTTCCTTGTCCAGTCTGTGGCTTGTCATTTATTTTCATGCTGTTAATTATGCAGTCAATTTCAATTTTAATATATCAAATGTTTTTATTATGTATTTTTATGAAAATCTGCCATAAATGTCTTCAACATGTTTTGTTAAATTTATTCTTAGACATTTTATATTCCTTGTTGCTATTAAAAATGATATTCTTGAAAATTAATTATTCTAAATATCTCTGCCCAGCTAGATGTATATATTAATAAAATATTTAGCTGCCTTGATATACTCTGCATCCCTCAGAGTTCAGCTAGGAATGCATAAACCACTTGAGGTTTTTAAGCAAAAATGATCTTACAGAAAGGTTGGGTACCATACAATCCCACTGGAAAAGCAAAATATGTAAAATTAGAATGAGGGCAACACTTATGTTCAGCTTCAGGTTCTGAAGAATTGGAAGAGCTTGCTTGGCCAAATAATAAAAGATATGATAATGTCTCTGTAATGAAAACAGTTTGTATTAGCATAAAAAATAAAACAGACCAGAGAAACAGAATACAGTGCCCAGAATCTGATTCTAAAATATATATGACAACTAAATAAATTAAATAAATGGTATTTCAATTTAGTGGAAATTTAATAAGTGATGCCAGCACAACTGGTTTTCTATCAAAAACAGAGATAGTTAGATATCTACTTCATGTCATATTTAAAAATACCATAACTGTAATAAAAACATAAATATTTTTAAAAATTATAACTATGTAACATGTCAGGAGAAATGTTAAAGCCAAAGGGTGGTGAAATCTTTATAACCAAAACAATAAACCCAAAAGTGTAATGGAAAAAGCAGAGATACTTGAATATATGAAAATTAAACTTTTGTTTATTTAAATATTTTTAAAATCAATACTGAAACACAGGATACATGCTACACATACTAGATTAAAGGTCACAATATATTTAAAATAATATTATTGATAACTATTATCAATAATATATTGTTATTAATAATAACATTTTTACATTACAATACTATTATCAATAATATTATTGATAACAAATTGACAAGAAAAACACATACACACCACCAGGAAAAAATGGGAAAAATGTATGATTAGAGAGCTCCTACAATTACAAACATAAAAGACCAACGGAAGCAAAAGAATAGGCATGCAACCTTTTTGTTGGAAAAATGCAAATAAAAATAATGTCAAGGTAGTCTTTCATACTTATCAGATGAGAAAAAAATGGTTGCTGATAAGGATGTAGATAGCATGGAGCTCAGACATTGTTGCTGTCCATGTGAGTTAGTAATGAACCTTTTTTGGAAAGCAATTTGAAAGGATCATTAAAAGTTAAAAATATACATATTCTTCAACTCATTGATCTCACTCCTCAGAGCCAAATTTATATAAATAAAAATAGCAAAATATAAAAATACATACATGGAAATATTTATTGCAGGATTTTTGACAGTAACAAAAACTAGAATGGAAAAGTGAATACTATTCAGAAATATACAGATTGGATAGATTATGGTCCATTCATATCAGGGATTATTATTTACTACTAACAGACTACATTTGGTTCAGACCAAATTACTTGGAAAGATTGCCACAGTCTATGAGGAAAGGAGAAAAACAAGATGTAAAGAAGCACTATGATTGTGATCATTTTTTAAAACAAAATAATGATGACAATTTTGCTGTCTATATCCATGTTATCATCTAAATCTGTGTCAACAGTTAAAGCTACAGTCACAGTGACTTGATCATTTGGGCATTGAATAAGATATGAAAGAGTAGCAGTATGTGGCCAATCTTAGTTATCTGAGGCAGAAGAGGGAAAGCAGAAGATAAATATCAAACATTGAAAAAAATAAAACATGGCATTAAAATATGTACCATAAGAAACAAAATAATATTTGTATATACATATATACACATACATGAAGAGGTGCATGAACAGATGATCTGTAACATTGATTTTGGTTTTCTTCATACAGCAGAATTTCAAGGGACAATTACATTTATTTTTTAATATTTCCTCTTGATTTTTATAATACAAATATACTAACTACATAATCATAAGAAGCTGTAAAGATAGGTTCACTGTTATAAAACAATGAAGAAAGGAAATGATTTTGTTTCTTCTAGTTACCTACCTAAGCCTTCTTGGCTACCTCAATATGAACCAAAAATAAGTAATCCCAGGTACCACAAAGAGAAGTCCCATAAATAGCTAGATTTTCACTTGACTTATGTTCTCAGTTCCTTTAATTTTCTGTGAATGTTAGTTCTTTAGAAAGGGCTTTCCTGACCACTTCATCCATTTTTCCCCATCACAAATCATTTCCTAACATTTTACTTTGACTTTAGGTAACTCTTTTTGTAAACTGTTCATTGTTTCTTACACCTTGTATACTTGAAATCAAGGGTTGTTTTTTTTTTAATCTATTTTAAGGCTTCCTCTTTTAACAATAATTTTTTAAATGCGGTTCAGGCTACATATTTTCCTCAGAAAATATATTAATTAACCCTGAAAATATTTCTTCTGGAAATTTATTTTTTTCCTGTGAAAATAGATAGCTTTGACTGTGACCCATTGGTTTTTTTTATGAGGGTTTATTTTTCCCATTCATCCTTTAAATATAATTTGTGACTTATATTTTCACCTCTTTAATCACGTATTGTTAGAAAAACATTTTTAAATAGAAATGAGCTAGTTATGTTTTTCAGGCATAGACTTTATTTGTTATTGATTTTAATCTTGGGGGAGAGAAAGCTATGATCAAAAGTGAGGCCTATAAAATATCTCTTTGGATAGATATTAAAATTTTTTGTATCTAAGTGTATTAGTGTTGTTTTATAGTGTTCCAAGGACATTAAAAGGATGTATATTCATATTTTAAGATAGTACATTGCATACAAATCTATTAAATTGTGTTTATTGATTATATTATTTAAATATTCTATTTGTGTCCTCATTGATTTTATATTCTGAAATAGTTGCACTGAAATTTTCCAATGAAATTTTATTTTAACAAGTTACCATAGCTTTCGACGTCTAACTCAATTCTTACATTTTTCTGCAGTGTTATTGGCTATGTAAAGATGTACATCATTTGTAAGTCTCTTATGGACTGTTAAATTTTATTATTACATAATATTCCTCTCTATCTTGTTTAGTTCCGATGACCTTGATTTCCCTTTGTTCTGATGTTAATATTGTCCAATGCATCATTAGATTTTTGTCTAATAATAAACAATAATGAAATTTTTCTTCATTCACTGTTGGTAATCTCCTGGTAATTTAGAAGCTCTATTGCATTTTTAGTCTAGTAGTAACTTCCACTTCTTAACTGTCACAATTAAACCTGTATTTTTCCCACTGACACTTTACATATCCACTCCCCCGTCCCACTGAAATAAATGTTTAGAATACCTTCACTTTTTACCTCAATA
Organism: Homo sapiens; assembly: GCF_000001405.40. Taxonomy (NCBI): domain Eukaryota; kingdom Metazoa; phylum Chordata; class Mammalia; order Primates; family Hominidae; genus Homo; species Homo sapiens. Next base: position 39,927,384 of record NC_000020.11, on the reverse strand, counting down.
TGAGATCTTAGAAGTTGCAGTAACCCCTGTCAAACCTGAATTTGGAGAAAATGCAATTAGTAAATGGCTCCTCACCTCTGCCCAGCTCCAGTTCTCAAACAGGGTTAGGTTAAAGCTCTTATTCTTTATAAGAAGTGGGCTGTGGTTAGGATTTGACCACCTTGTGATCCTTTGGGACTTTTCAGTTCAAGTATCTTTCAGTTGTGTACTTTTGTATACTTTACACTATCTTTTGTGATTTTAGACCGTACAGATCTCCTAAAAATAATGTATTATATGTTTTAATAAATTAATAACACATGAACCTATATTTAACAATTTAATTATTTGGATCTCACGTATGTCATTGTGGTGGCATATTATTATATGTTAATTTTTTTGTTCTTTATTATTCCCCCCCTTCTCCCACATCTGCCACTTAATTTTGTTGAAAAAGTAGGGGTTTTTTTGTTAGTTTTTGTTTTCTTTGTGGGGGGCAGTCTATTGAAAGGATTTCTCTTGCTACACGTTTCCTCTTCCAAAAAGACTCACTGTGTGCTTATAAGTTCACAGTAACATTATCATCATTCAATTATATATGATATGTATATAAGCATAGAAATTGTGTCCATCTATTGTTTTATCCATCTTTTATTCATTGTTGTTATTTCCCCTTTTATATCTTCCAATATATTGAGGTTTCTAGTCTTATTGCACTGAAATTTATTTAGAGTTCACAGATATTTTTCCAAATAATAAACATGGATTGTATTCACTGAGACTATTCTCACCTTATGGTTGTTTCAGCAATAGGTGTATAATATTTTATGCATGTGTAGAATTTGACATTGCAGGCCTTTCCTCTCAAAAGTCTATACATGTTGCGGAATAGCGTCCATGTATTGGAGGCAAATCTGAGGCTAAACAGGTTAACTCTGATATGTGAACAGTTTTTTATAACTGGAAGCTTTAAGCATTTGTATGTAACTTAGGATTTTGGAATTTCAAAAGTTCACATTTTTTCCCAGTAATTTTTTGATACCTAGCAAGAAACCCAAAACTGTATATTTATCTTTCTGCTGCTCAAAAACATTGTCTTATAGTTCTTTTTGAAATATTACTTTTCCTTCATCTTTCCTTTTTTCTTCCTGTTAATTCAATGAGTCTAATCTCCTGGCACTGTCTTCAAAACTCTTATCTTTCCTTTTGAATCTATAACTATGTGTTTCTACTTTCTTTTATGACACATTTCATCAACTTTATCTTTTAAATCATCAATTCAAACGTTGGCAAGTTTATACTTTTTAATAATTTATGTATTGATTACTGAAACTGCAAAATCACTAACTGCTGAAGTTATTTTTTCCAAATTTTATCTCCTTGAGAGTAGAAGTTCTCCTCTTTGAACTAAGGTCCCCCTTCCCCAAGACTATGATGAAAACTGACCCCTCATACAAGGAAAACCCTGAAGGAGTCACCCACACAGTGGGACAGACAGACACAGATATATCTGAACCACAGAAGACAACACAGCTTAAGCAGAAACCTGAACTCCTGCTATTCCTGGATTTTTCTTAAAAATAAAATTAAGATACTTTGGCCAGGTGTGGTGGCTCACTCCTGTAATCCCAGCACTTTGGGAGGCCAAGGCTGGTGTATCCCTTGAGGTCAGGAGTTTGAGACCAGCCTGTCCAACATGGTAAAACCCCGTCTCTACTAAAAATACAAAAATTAGCTGGGAGTGGTGGTGCACGCCTGTAATTCCAGTTGCTCAGGAGGCTGAGGTGGGAGGATGGCTTGAACTCAGGAGGCAGAGGTTGCAGTGAGTCGGGATTGTGCCACTGAACTCCAGTCTGGGTGACAGAGTGAGAGTCCATCTCAAAAACTAAAAATAAATAAATATATTTTTCCAATGATATTTAACCCAAGACCTATGTAAAATGGAAGGATTCATTTTAACCCCTATGACCTCTGTCCTCCAGTTTTGGAAAGTGGTTTATCAATACTGCATTAATAGAAATAGAATTACATAGTAATTCAAGATGGATAAGGAGGCAAATCCTCTTCAAACATCGTGAAATTAGGAGATATGCTAGCAGAAGTTGTAATTTCCACATTGTGAAAGGTCTAGTTGTATTGTAGATACTTCATCCAGAGAGCAGGCCAAAAAGAGGGCCACCTTCCTCTCTCTCCCACAGTCTCAGCATCTGATAACCCCCGCCCACTTCTGTCCTTTATGAAGGTTAGGAACTAGACACAGAAGTAACTGACGATCCGTGAAGGAGGACACAACATGGGGAGATGGGGCCTTGCCTGTCAGAGGGCACAATGGAAGGTTAGAGAGAGACGATGAGAAATGGTAAAGAGAAGAACATGGAAAAGGTCTGGGTGGGGGTGGAAGGATTTCTCTGTTAACTTCAGTGCCCATGGAAGATGGTGTGCAGACCCTGTGCTCATGATAAGAGCTTAGAGAGAAGTTGCATGGCTTAGACTCTCAGCTACAATCTTAACCTCTTTCAAATTCCACAAGGATTGGGTGATTTTGATACCAAAATCAAGTACTGACCAAACTTTCTCCAGGATTCCAGCAAGACATTTCTTTCTTTTTTGTTTTTCTTTTTAACTTCACAATAAAGAACCATTTCCTGATCTATATAAAAAGACTTGCTAAATGAAATTATAATATATCCAAACTAGAAGCTATTCCATAAAAGGAAAAAAATAATAACTGTACAGTGGAGAAACCTGGCAGACAGTACCTTAACCAAGTGATAAAGGTTAACATCATCAGTGATATCATGTGGATATCATGTAACTTTGTGGTCGTCTATCCAAAAATTCAAAACCCCAGTCAAACCATAAGGAAAATCAAACAAACCCAAATTGAGGGGTATTCTATAAAACATCTTACCATTATTCCTCAAAATGGTCAAGATTATGAAAAACAAAGTAAGACTAAATAACTGTCACTAACCAGAGTTGTCTATGGAGAGATGGTGACAAAATGCAGTGTGGTAGCCTGGATTTGATCCCAAAACAAAACAAAAAAATGGGAAAACTAGTGAAATTAAAATAAAGTTAAATAAAATCTAGAATTATAGTAAAGTACCAATGTTGGTTTCTTAGTTTTGACAAATAAACCGTGCTAATATATGCTGGTAACGTTAGGGGAAACTGAGTTAGAAATATATGGAACTCTCTGTACTCAGCTAATTATTTTGTAAGTCAAAGATAATTCCAAAAGAAAGAGTTTATTTAAAAATATTTCCATAACCTAAAGAGTACAATTTACCTCTCCTCAGTTCTAAGTTAGATGTACTTTATTTATCCTTTAGATCCAGTTACCTAGAAAGGCAAGTATACTGCAAATATGGTACTGATATTCACAACTATTTTATTGATCACCTACTATATACCAATAGTATGATGGTTCAACTCTAGTATGTTGTTATTCACATGATAAGGCACAACCATTGTTGCTGTTGGGAAAGCAGAGCCTATTTCTAGAGCCTATTTCTCTCTCTCTGTTGATTTCTTCTCCTCCATGTCTATAGTCATACAGAAAGTTTAATCAATATATTGAGGACATTGTGGGTTTTTTAGTTATGAGTTTGATTTTTGTTTTTGTTTTTGCAGCTTTTTGAATGCCATCAGTGGCCCTCACTGGGGGTAATGCAGTGAGTTTGCTACTGATACTTCAAGTAAGCATAAACAGTCTCCAAAATGGTTTGTCTGTGTAAAGACAGTTGTTCAAAGGACATGGGACACAACTGGATGTTCACCTTCATCACTGCCCTCAGTCAAGTCCAAACCGGATGCTGGGTAGAACAATGAAAGGCAGACAGCATCAGTTTCTTCGCCAACAAAAAGTGCAAGAAATAGTATTTCCCCTTCCCCTGAAAACTTGATGGGAATTCAAGAATCAAGAATGCTAATGGAGTGAGAGGAGAGGGTATTTGGGAAAGGAAAAAGGGGAAAAGGCTGAAGTTGAGCCAAGGGTCTTGCTCTCTCTTGCCTACTTCCTCTGCAGGGACACATGGAGGGGAAGGAAGTTAGTCATTAGCAAGTGTGTGTTCATTCCTGATGAGTTTGAGATAATTCCCATCAGCCATGGTTCCATCATTGTTGGATGGGCTATTGGAAGCAGAGTGTGTCCTCTCTGGTTTGGAAGTTAGAGAAATGGGTTTGGGCTACAGCCAGATTCCCTTTGGCCATCAGTGCGCTCTGCCTTAGAATGCAGCAAGAGAGAAACTAGCATTTTCCCTATGACACCAAGCTTCTCAGAGTTAGATAGACATTTATACATTCTCTTTGCAACTGGGTATTTACAAATTATTGAAGAAGCTTAGGGTCAATTTAAAAATCTTTGACCAAATAACATCTTGTTTCCCCAGAAAGAAGAAGCATGGTGATGCCTAACTTCTCCTTGAGTGTCTATATTTTTATTGAAAGCTTCCTTGGTTGGATGACAGAGTAATTAAATTCTAAAACTTTTCACCAAGTAGGTGCTCAGAAAAAAAATACATGTTTATGATTATAAAATGTATTTAAAAGTACAATACAGCTTGTTGATTGTGAGCCTAATTTTTTTTCCTTTTTTTTATTATTATTATACTTTAAGTTTCAGGGTACATGTGCACAACATGCAGGTTTGTTACATATGTATACATGTGCCATGTTGGTGTGCTGCACCCATTAACTAGTCATTATGTAGTTAATTACCTAGTTAATTAGTCATTATCTAGTTAATTACCTAGTCATTAGGTATATCTCCTAATGCTATCCCTCCCCACTCCTGCCACCCCACAACAGTCCCCGGTGTGTGATCTTCCCCTTCCTGTTTCCATGTGTTCTCATTGTTCAATTCCCACCTATGAGTGAGAACATGCGGTGTTTGGTTTTTTGTCCTTGCGATAGTTTGCTGAGAATGATGGTTTCCAGCTTCATCCATGTCCCTGCAAAGGACATGAACTCATCAATTTTTATGGCTGCATAGTATTCCATGGTGTATATGTGCCACATTTTCTTAATCCAGTCTATCATTGTTGGACATTTGGATTGGTTCCAAGTCTTTGCTATTGTGAATAATGGCGCAATAAACATACGTGTGCATGTGTCTTTATAGCAGCATGATTTATAGTCCTTTGGGTATATACCCAGTAATGGGATGGCTGGGTCAAATGGTATTTCTAGTTCTAGATCCCTGAGGAATCACCACACCAACTTCCACAATGGTTGAACTAGTTTACAGTCTCACCAACAGTGTAAAAGTGTTCCTATTTCTCCACATCCTCTCCAGCACCTGTTGTTTCCTGACTTTTTAATGGTCGCCATTCTAACTGGTGTGAGGTGGTATCTCATTGTGGTTTTGATTAGCATTTCTCTGATGGCCAGTGATGATGAGCATTTTTTCATGTGCTTTTTGGCTGCATAAATGTCTTCTTTTGAGAAGTGTCTGTTCATATCCTTCGCCTACTTTTTGATGGGGTTGTTTTTTTTTTTCTTGTAAATTTGTTTGAGTTCATTGTAGATTCTGGATATTAGCCCTTTGTCAGATGAGTAGGTTGCAAAAATTTTCTCCCATTCTGTAGGTTGCCTGTTCACTCGGTGGTTTCTTTTGTTGTGCAGAAACTCTTTAGTTTAATTAGATCCGATTTGTCAATTTTGGCTTTTGTTGCCATTGCTTTTGGTGTTTTAGACGTGAAGAGCTTGCCCATGCCTATGTCCTGAATGGTATTGCCTAGGTTTTCTTCTAGGGTTTTTATGGTTTTAGGTCTAACATGTAAGTCTTTAATCCATCTTGAATTAATTTTTGTATACGGTGTAAGGAAGGGATCCAGTTTCAGCTTTCTACATATGGCTAGCCAGTTTTCCCAGCGCCATTTATTAAATAGGAAATCCTTTCCCCATTTCTTGTTTTTGTCAGGTTTGTCAAAGATCAGATAGTTGTAGATATGCGGCATTATTTCTGAGGACTCTGTCCTGTTCCATTGGTCTATATCTCTGTTTTTGTACCAGTACCATGCTGTTTTGGTTACTGTAGCCTTGTAGTATAGTTTGAAGTCAGGTAGTGTGATGCCTCCAGCTTTGTTCTTTTGGCTTAGGATTGACTTGGCAATGCGGGCTCTTTTTTGGTTCCATATGAACTTTAAAGTAGTTTTTTCCAATTTGTGAAGAAAGTCATTTGTAGCTTGATGGGGATGGCATTGAATCTGTAAATTACCTTGGGCAGTATGGCCATTTTCACGATATTGATTCTTCCTACCCATGAGCATGGAATGTTCTTCCATTTGTTTGTATCCTCTTTTATTTCACTGAGCAGTAGTTTGTAGTTCTCCTTGAAGAGGTCCTCCACATCCCTTGTACATTGGATTCCTAGGTATTTTATTCTCTTTGAAGCAATTGTGAATGGGAGTTCATTCATGATTTGGCTCTCTGTTTGTCTGTTATTGGTGTATAAGAATGCTTGTGATTTTTGCACGTTGATTTTGTATCCTGAGACTTTGCTGAAGTTGCTTATCAGCTTAAGGAGACTTTGGGCTGAGACAATGGGGTTTTCTAGATATACAATCATGTCGTCTGCAAAGAGGGACAATTTGACTTCCTCTTTTCCTAATTGAATGCCCTTTATTTCCTTCTCCAGCCTGATTGCCCTGGCCAGAACTTCCAACACTATGTTGAATAGGAGTAGTGAGAGAGGGCATCCCTGTCTTGTGCCAGTTTTCAAAGGGAATGCTTCCAGTTTTTGTCCATTCAGTATGATATTGGCTGTGGGTTTGTCATAGATAGCTCTTATTATTTTGAGATACGTCTCATCAATACCTAATTTATTGAGAGTTTTTAGCATGAAGCGTTGTTGAATTTTTTCAAAGGCCTTTTCTGCATCTATTGAAATAATCATGTGGTTTTTGTCTTTGGTTCTATTTATATGCTGGATTATGTTTATTGATTTTCGTATGTTGAACCAGCCTTGCATCCCAGGGATGAAGCCCACTTGATCATGGTGGATAAGCTTTTTGATGTGTTGCTGGATTCAGTTTTGCCAGTATTTTATTGAGGAATTTTGCATCGATGTTCATCAAGTATCTTGGTCTAAAATTCTCTTTTTTTGTTGTGTCTCTGCCAGGCTTTGGTATCAGGATGATGCTGGCCTCATAAAATGAGTTAGGGAGGATTCCCTCTTTTTCTATTGATTGGAATAGTTTCAGAAGGAATGGCACCAGCTTCTCCTTGTACCTCTGGTAGGATTCGGCTGTGAATCCATCTGGTCCTGGACTTTTTTTGGTTGGTAAGCTATTAGTTATTGCCTCAATTTCAAAGCCTGTTGTTGGTCTATTCAGAGATTCAACTTCTTCCTGGTTTAGTCTTGGGAGAGTGTATGTGTTGAGGAATTTATCCATTTCTTCTAGATTTTCTAGTTTATTTGCGTAGAGGTGTTTATAGTATTCTCTGATGGTAGTTTGTATTTCTGTGGGATCAGTGGTGATATCACTTTTATCATTTTTTATTGCGTCATTTGATTCTTCTCTCTTTTCTTTATTAGTCTTGCTAGCGGTCTGTCAATTTTGTTGATCTTTTCAAAAAACCAGTCTCCTGGATTCATTGATTTTTCGAAGGGTTTTTTATGTCTCTATTTCCTTCAGTTCTGCTCTGATCTCAGTTATTTCTTGCCTTCTGCTAGCTTTTGAATGTGTTTGCTCTTGCCAAATTGTAAAGACCATCAAGGCTAGGAAGAAACTGCATCAACTAACCAGCAAAATAACCAGCTAACATCATAATGACAGGATCAAATTCACACATAACAATACTAACCTTAAATTAAATGGGCTAAATGCTCCAATTAAAAGGCACAGACTGGCAAATTGGATAAAGAGTCAAGCCCATCAGTGCGCTGTATTCAGGAAACCCATCTCATGTGCAGAGACACACATAGGCTCAAAATAAAGGGATGGAAGAAGGTCTACCAAGCAAATGGAAAACAAAAAAAGGCAGGGGTTGCAATCCTAGTCTCGGATAAAACAGACTTTAAACCAACAAAGATCAAAAGAGACAAAGAAGGCCATTACATAATGGTGAAGGGATCAATTCAACAAGAAGAACTAACTATCCTAAATATATATGCACCCAATACAGGAGCACCCAGATTCATAAAGCAAGTCCTTAGTGACCTACAAAGTGACTTAGACTCCCACACAATAATAATGGGAGACTTTAACACCCCACTGTCAACATTAGACAGAAAGTTAACAAGGATATCCAGGAACTGAACTCAGCTCTGCACCAAGTGGACCTAATAGACATCTACAGAACTCTCCACCCCAAATCAACAGAATTTACATTCTTTTCAGCACCACACCACACCTATTCCAAAATTGACCACATAGTTGGAAGTAAAGCACTCCTCAGCAAATGTAAAAGAACAGAAATTATAACGAACTGTCTCTCAGACCACAGTGCAATCAAACTAGAACTCAGGATTAAGAAACTCACTCAAAACTGCTCAATTACATGGAAACCGAACAACCTGCTCCTGAATGACTACTGGGTACATAACAAAATGAAGGCAGAAATAAAGATGTTCTTTGAAACCAATGAGAACAAAGACACAACATACCAGAATCTCTAGGACACATTCAAAGCAGTGTGTAGAGAGAAATTTATAGCACTAAATGCCCACAGGAGAAAGCAGGAAAGATCTAAAATTGACACCCTAACATCACAATTAAAATAACTAGAGAAGCAAGAGACTAATTTTTGACATCTACTGAGTGGAACATGGCAAGAGGCATGACACAAGCAGATGATTGCACTTAGAAGTGAAAGATAGCATAGATAAATTTCTAAAATTCAAATAACATGAAAAGGAGCATCTGTGAGTCATTAGTTAAATAAAAAGCATGAGGCAAATACTAATATAAGTCATACAGTAATTAAAACTAAGTTCTACCTTGCTATTTCTATGTATTACACATATACTTACATGACGTGGATCAACATAAGACAAAACTGAGACATGCCAATGGGTGCTGATAATCTAATTCTTGCATTATACACTAGCAGCCACAGTGGCATGGGCCAAAGGGCACATCTCAAAAGAAGGGAACTTTATCATTTAATGAGACAGAATTTACGTCCATAGTGACAAATAAACATACTTGGTATCTTGAACGCTTTGCTGTTTAATACTTTATTATAGAAAATATGTGTTTTCTGGAAAATTGTTTCTGGAGTTCACTCTCTAGAACACAGGGCTTCTTCTGGTTACTACATTCATTTGAAGCAAGCCCAAAATTACATTTCCATCTAGAAAATAAACAACAACCAAAAAACCCCTCAGAGGAGTGGTTGGGTCTTTGTCTTTTCTATGCCAACAACTTTTTAGTGGTTATATAAAAACTCAGGAATTGTACAAGTATGAAGAGACAGTACTGAGAGAAGAACCAATAGCAGAACCAAGAACCAGAGAGAAGAAGAAGAGAGAACAAAGGGACTGGGTAAAATTTCTCTTCCAATCTCCTGTGAAAGCAATCCATGCTTGAGAAACAGGCTCATCAAATGGGCTCAAGAGCAAACCTCTACATTTTACCAGTTCCCAGGAATCAGAGAAAAACTCTTAAATATAGAAAGTTGAGAACATTTCTGATTAAACTTCTAGAAGACACATAGAATTTGTGAAATTAAGTAAGCATACAGTAAGTGAAACAATCTAAAATCAGGAAAGATAGATAAGGGAAGAAATTAAAGGATACATTATTGCTTCAATTTTTGAATTAAGGACTCATCGTAAAAGTGGTAAATGACAGATCGTAAAAGTGGTAAATGACAGATTTTATGCAAACAACTATGTGTATCAGAAGAAAAAAGATTATAGGAATTCAGAAGCGTTTAAAGATAAAGGAAAAAAACTTTGAAACTTAGAAAAAAACAAATAATGATGAGCCTAGGGGAATATGGACCATATATACATAATAGAATATATATATACTTGTGTGTGCGTTTGCATTGTGTGAGATATATACATACTTTATATACTAAGTATACAATAAATATTTTTATTGTATATATTTGTATATAAACACACATTTATATGTAAAAATATCTATCTATGTATCTATCTATCTATCTATACACACAGACACATAAAAGACGTGTCTCAGAGAAACCTCTCTTTTGGTAAAAAACACACACCAGAAGCAATTAAAGGAGTAATAGAAGGAAACATTATTGAGTAAAAGAAAAAAAATCTGCGAACTAAAAGAATTTATTGATCCTGGGCAAAATTAATTTAAAAAAAAACACAGAATTACAACCTGAGATTTATTCAAGTAATATGGTGACACTTCAAATATAAAGCCTAAACACTTTAAATAGAAGTGGGAATAAAAGTTAGGTTGACTAAAATACATTCCAAATAATCTTAGCTTCATATATTGCTATATGCCACACACGTCTGAAAAAAAAAAAACAAACAGAAAATTCATTGCTTCTTCACCTTTTGGCTAAGATCAAAATTAGTAACAAAAACTACAGAGTTTGAGAGGAAAAGATTATGGCCCGAAAATTCCATGCCCAATTATTCTGTATGAGGGCAGAGGGAAATATTTCTCAGGCTGGCAAAGGCTCAGAACAGAGGCCATCCCTGTTCTCTTGCTGAGAAAATTACTCTAAGTCACTCTACCTGAGCAAAAGATAAATCAATATAAACAACTCAAGAATGAGGAAGTTGTGGTAATAAAGGATTGATGGTGTCCCTTTGGGCATTGTACTTTTTAGTCTGTATTGAGTTCTTTCCACTGCTTGACTAATAGTGGGGTATATGGCATGTGGCAAGCTCTTCCTTTTTAAGAGCAAAAGACATCGCACTTGTAAAACAGGACAAATGGACTTGTCCCCTCCCATCAGCCCCAGAGGGAAAACCAAAGGAGAATTCCATCAGAATACACTCACCCTTTTCATCTACTTGAACTGTGGTTAGCAAGGGTCTAATCAGAGTCAGCCTCAGGAGTGAGCCTTGGATCTCTTGCTGGTGTTTTGCAACATGCCTCACAGGTCTGTCTGCATCCCACTGAAATGTGAAACAAAAGAGCAAAGGATGGATTCTACGTCTGCAGTTCTCTTTCTGAAGCTTTTTATTTTAAATCAAAAATAAGCTCTCTGGATTAAACTGATGCACTCAGGACCTGATTGTCCCCCCCACAATATTGCTTTCCCTTTAGATGTAATGAGCAAATAAACAAGCGGGACAGTTAAACTTCACATGACAATTACATTGACATATGTAATGGAAACCTCATTTTTCACATTGGCCAAAGTTTTCTTGTGAAGAATCCTTTCTAATCACGGGAAGAGTTATTGGTAGTAGGAAAAGTATGTATTCTTTATTACAACAAAAGCAACAGTCCTTCAATGTGAAACTTTCCTAGTGTTTTCAGTCCAGCTGGGATGAACTACCTTTTGAATGGTGCTGGAGCATTCACAAGTGTTCCTGTCTAAAGACACATGTCACAACCAATCAGAGGGTGAATAATAATCGAGAGAAAAAGAGTCCATACAGTGGGAACATGGAAGAAAATCCTTATGTAGTATATCTCTTGCAGGGAAAAAAAAAGAAAGGAAAGCAAAGCAAAGTAAAAAAAAAAAAAAAAGTCCTTAACTAGTTGGGAAGGCATACAGACTCTCCTTTCTGTTTCATGATTCTTCCATCAGCACTTATTCTGTAATCATCTCATAATCATGAAAATTTGGCATTTTAATTTTATCTCTAGAGGAAAAGTGTAGATGCTGGCACTATGACAAGTACAACAGTATAAAAGGACAATTACCTTAAGCTCACACTTTTTTTTTTTATTTCCAAGGAAGAACTCAATTTTCAAGGTTCATAGCAGAACATTTTGCTGTGGCTTTATATACATGACCTTTCATTACATTAAAAACTCTAAAAATCTATATATTCCAAGCTTAATTATTTCTCTTAGAAGTCACACTGTCATTTATTTATTTTTATTCATTGCATAAATATATTGGGAGCACCCACTATGGATCAGGCACCATGAAGACCATTGGGAAGGAGTATGACAGAGCAGGGAAAATGAGAGCTCTGGGCACAGGTAGTCTGGTTTCAAACCCCAGCTACATTTTGCCATCTTGCATGGTTTTGGATCCGTTCCTTAACTTCTCTGAGTCTGATTTCCTAATTTATAATATGGAGAAAATACTAAGACAAACTTATCAGGTTATTATGATGATTACAAGATTCTCTATTGTAATCCTCACAATTAAATATGTAAGATGTTTAGACTGTGATGATGATGATGATGCCTACTTCTCAGTAACTGCATTTAACCATTTATAGTCTTAAAGGAGGAAGACTACCTATATTTTTAAGATATCACAAGCCCATATGGAAATTGCACTACTCAAAAGAAGCAACCTTTGAATCTTCTAGAAATGATTCAGCTCCTCTCTTCCAAGACTTTCTAAAATCCAAATATCTTCTAAATTCTCAAGATCCATTGTCCTCCCAACTGTACTCTTCAGTTCTCACCTGCAGATCCTGGCTCCAGTAAACAATGTAACCCAAGGATGGCAAACATTTCTGAGGCAATAGAATGGCCATGAGGCATCCTTCTAATTTGTCTAGGAATTGTTCAGAGTGTAAGGACAAAACAGTTGGCTTCTATCATGGTGCACATGAGAAACCCAGTAACAAACTTTAAAAACTATCCTTGAAAGAAAAGGAGCTCTGTCACTCAATTTTAGACGGGCTTATCAGGGATTCTGCAACACCTACCTGACTTTATCTAGGTACACTGAAAGTTCCTGTTACCTGTTTAGGACACATTGTACTAAGATGACCTATTCTTACGAGCAGAGTAATGTCTTCATTAGGTACTTATGTAGGTGGGATTGAAGACATAACAACAGTATGCTGAAATTGGCTCCAGCCAATTGCTCACTATTCAGGATTTTTGCAGCCTGGTTGTTAAATCTTTCTTAGCTTAAGATTGGTCATGGTGGAAATATTCGCACCATGAAAATCAGCAAATGCTACAAATCAGAGTGTTTTTCCCCCAAAGGAGTAAGTTTACAAACACATCAATGAACTTTAGTACCTCCCGCTTTGAAAAGTTCCGAGCTGGGGTAGGTATCAACAATACCCAGGGACCTTTTTTTCCCCTAAAATGTAGACTCTTGGCCCCCATATACAATCTAATGAATTACATACACTCTCTACTGCTGGTCTGAAACATATATTTTGAAAGAAATAAAAGTCACTGCAAAACTAGAACACACATTTTGAAAGAAGTTATAAAAATGAAACTAGATACATGAAGAATATTAGAAGGAGAGTGAGAGTGAGAAGTGGGAATAACTACATAATAAAATATATAAATCCAGTGAGGGTCTTCCTAAGATGCTAAAAATATGCCAGGCTACTTGGTGTTTAAATAATTCTACCTCCGGTGTATAGGGTAAACGGCATGGAATGGGAAGTGGGTGCAAGAATCTCCATTGTCAAGTGTGATGTATGCATACTTAGTTGTAATACTGCAAAATGTTGAAGGAAAGGACTGCCTCTTACTAGTTTTTGTGTCCCCAATGTCTATCACAATCCTTGGCATAGAGCAGGCTTTCAGAATATGTTTCTAGATTATATGAGTGGGTGACTGAACAGGTAAATAGTAATAATAATAATTTTAATCTTTTAGCACACTCCCTATTAACCATGGATACCAATAAAATTGTTTCAAATAAACATTAGATGACATCACTGCTTTGTTTGGAGCCCTTCAGTGGTTTCTGTCTCACCCAAACTCACTAACCCTAGCCCCAAGTTCTGTTATGATCAGTCGTCTGCCTGATTCTCATCTCCTACTTCTCTGCCTTTCATTCACATATCTCTGTCTGCCCTTAACCTTCTTTCATTTCCTTGAATGTCTGATTCCTGACTCATACCTTTCAGACTCCGCTTTCTCTTCCTTTAGACCTTGACTGGCTCATACCTTGCCTCATGCAGATCTTTGCTCAAATGTCATGTCCTGAGGGACAATTTACAGGGCCAAACTATCTAAAATAGAACGATTATCTCCATAGCAATGTTTGATCTGCTTAACCTGTTTTATTTCTCTATATAGCACTTACCACTATCTGACATTTGTTTATTCTATGATTTGTTACTCTTCCTCATCTTTTTGTGGAGTGAAGCTCTATGAGGCTAGGGATTTTTTCCATCTTGTCTTCTACAACACCATTGATGTCTGAACAGTGCCAATTATGGAAGGATCACATTAAATTTTTGATGATTGATAAGTGAGTGCCTTCCCTAACAAAAATTCAAGAGTGATTGATCTATGTAAAATAAACTAAAGGAGTATCCTGATTTACAGAAAAAATAAACAATCATGCTACCTGCTTCCCTAGGCAAGCTCATGAATCTGCCCCTGCTAAGTGTGACAGCTCTCCAGTCTGAATTTCCAATTATTGACCATGTCCTGAGTAACAGAAACACAACATATTCACTTGTGTAATGCAGGCAAACACAATTTAACATGTCCAAAAGCAAACTAAATATATCCCCCCCGACTCCCAATTTAATTCCTTATCTCATTTCAAGACATTGGCCAAACCAGAAATGGGATCTCATCCTAGATATCTCAATTTATTCTTCACACTGCTACCCTCATGGACAGCATTCCAAAATGAGAATAATCACATCATGCCATTGGCAAAAATCCTTTGGTCCTTACAGGCTAATGCCCAGCCTGCTCAGGAAAGCATCAAGGTTACCTTGACTCTGAGTCAGACCTACTTTTCCAAGTTCATCTCCAATTGTATATCTTCTCTTTCTGCCATTGACTAAATAATGTACTCCAAGCATACTAAACTGACTTTCAGTTTTTTGGATCCTCCACGGTCATTCATGCCACCATCTTTACACCTTCTGCAACCTCTGACTAGATTGTCCTAGCTTTCTCTTGTCTGACATATGAACATTTTTCCCAGCCCCAATATTGCCTTCATGGGAAGCCTTTTCTGACACCAACATGCCTTTTCTGACACCAACAAAAGTTCTCTTGATACATTCTTCGGAAAGACTAGGAGGCGGCTCAGTTCTAACACAGTTTCCCTTTTGAAAAATCTCCATGGTGTACATGTACCACATTTTCTTTATCCAGTCCATCATTGATGGGCATCTGGGTTAATTCCATCCATGTCTTTGTTATTGTGAATGGTGCTGTGAAAGAAAGAAAACCAAATGTGGCACTTTCTCACTTATAAGTGGGAGCTAAACATTGAATACACAGGGACCCAAAGATGGGAACACTGGAGACTGCTTGACGGGGGAAAATGAAAGTGGGGAATGAGTTGGAAGGTTATGCTCACTACCTTGGTGATAGGATCATTCATACACCAAGCCTCAGCAGCACACAATTTACCCATGTAACAAACCTGCACATATACCTCCTGAACCTAAATTAAAAGTGGAAGAAAAATTAAAAGGAAAAGCTCCAATACAAGTGCTCCTCTCCAAGGTACATATATCTAACCCCATCACTAAGTATATAAGGAAATTCTTTGCAAATGCTGAGAAAAGGGCCAAAGGCCTAACAATTTTTCAACACTGAAGTCTGAGTTTTACAGTTTGTCCCTTTTTTATGGTAATAAATTTCTCTAAAGCAAGCAAGGCTGGTGATTAGGCAAGTGGCCAGCAACTCTCAGTTGACAAAGAGCTTTCTTTTCTTGGGCTACGTGTATTAGGAGAACATTGCTACAGGTCAGATGTCAACATTAGCCCAGTTCCTTTCTAATGGGGAATGTAGGTCTCCCTTCCATGCTATCTGCCAAGAGATGCCACTCTGGTTCTCCCCTCAAATTCTACAAGCACTTTGGGCTTTGGTCTATGTCAATACTTCCAAATCAACTTTCAATACTTTGGTGTATGCCAACTTATAGAATTGTGGTTTGGGGATTAAACTTAGAAGTTATTTGTTTACTTATTAAGGCAGTTATTTGCTTATTCTACAGGTAAGTAGTACCCATGTCTCTAATACCAGCTTTCAGCCCATTTTCACCTTTTACCCACTCTTAGTTGGTCACAAAAATAATCTAAATATCTGCGACCCCTTCCATTCCAGAAAGAACACAGATATCAATATTACAAGAAATCGGACTTTCAACTGTGAGTTGCAGTTAAGAGTAGAACTACTCCCTGCCCTGTTTCTAAAGACACACGTGATATACATCCCCTCTTCATGCTTTGGGCAACTGTCTGGATTAAAAATCTCAGAATGGGGCATCGGTCAATGATGAGGAGGACACTTACTTAAGTCCTATATGCCTAAATGTTTTGGAAAGCTGAATTTTCTTTTGCTTCAAGTATTAGTTTTCTATTTCTGTGTAACTACAAATTTACCAGCTTAAAAATGATACAAGTGTATTATCTCACAGTTTATGTAAGTCAGAAGTCTGGGCCCAGCATAACTAAATTCTCTGCTCAGAATTTCACCCAGCAAAAATCAAGGTGTCAACAAGGCAGGGGCTGGAGTTCTTGTTTGGGGCTTGGGATCCTCTTCCAAGTTCACCAGTTGTTGGCAAAATTCATTCCTTTGTGGTTGCTGAACTGAAACCCCTGTTTCCTCACTGGCTGTCAGCCAGGGGCCATTCTGAGCTCTTAGAGGCTGCCTGCATTTCTTGTCATGTGTTCCCTCCATCTTCAAGCCAGCAACAGTGCCTTCAGTCTTTCTTGTGCTTTGAATCTCCAACTTCCGTGATGCTGGATGAAACGCTCTGCTTATATCAGGCTCCTGTGATTAGGTCAGGGTCACTGGGATAACTTTCCTATCAACTGATTTGGGACCTTGACTCCATTTGCACAATTCTTTCACAGAAGCAGCTAGATTAGTGTTTGCTTTAATAACTTGGAGTAGGTGTGTGTATACCAGGGGTAGGAAATCTTGAGGTGGGAACATCTTAGAATTCTGTCTACCAAACCTTCTCAGAGTATGAAAGAAAGTGGATTTTAGAGAGAACTTTTTTTTTGTCTACTCCCTAAGTTTTCTCTTGTATATTGTTACTTTTCTGCACATCTTTGCCTGGATGTCTTTTCCTTAGCATCTCCTCATTTCAGAGAGCATGACGGAGTAGAGGAAAATAAGTTGGAGAAAGAGACAAGACAGATACAGCAGAGCCATGCTGGTCATATTAAAGAATGTTGATTGCATCTGCCTTGTAGTGGGATGTATTAAAGGGCTTTAGGTAGGTAGGCATGTAACATGATCAGCTGTGTTGGAAAGGTGCATGAGAAGATGTGAAGAGATCAGTGTAGAACAGTTGCAATGTTTAGGTGAAAAATGACAGCCGTCTAAATGAGGGTAGTGTCAATGGGGAGGAAGGAGGCCTTCTCTACTAATAAGACTAATTAGGCATATTCTTAGTTTCCTCTACACTTCTCTTTCATGCTACTTATGACATTATTTTGGGGCTGTTGCTTAGCTTGTCTCTCCCCCTCTTGACTGTCTTGTGGCATTGTGTCCCTAGAACAGAGCCTAGAATGCAGTAGGCAATCAATACATGCTCATGAATCAGTGAACGTGTTCTCTATACCATGACTAATCACAGTTCCAGATTCAGTTGCTTCCCTTTAGAAGCCTCTGCTGGCCTTGTTCCTGTTTTCGCTGTCTCAGTTCAGAGGGTACTTGACCCAGTAGCAGTTGGTGTTCCTGTTGTCTTCCTCCCACATACCCAAGGTCAAATGGGCTGGTCAATTGGACTTCCCTCCTCCCAGCTCATCTTGGCTCTTGGTTAGTGGCCAGGCTTGCACAAGCCTCATCATGCCTCTGAATTGAATATTGCCTCTCCTTCCTCAGAGCCTGCAACAGAGCCCACTTTGGCCCCACGGTCCTTACATTCTGCCTCCTCTTCTCTCCCAGGGCATGGCGCAGCCTTGGTCCTGCTTCCTCACCTAGCCTTTTGAACTAGTTCACAAGTGTATAAGGACAGGAGCTCTCATAGCCTCCAGACTCACCAGGACAAACATTACATTTAAAAGACTTTTGCTGTCCTCTTCCGTCCCAGATCCCAAAACCCCTTGTTAGATTTAATGAGTCCACTTCAAAATGCTTCTGGTTTTCTGTGATTGATCTTCAATATGACTGCTTCTCTCTGCTGGGAAGGTCTTGCAAAAATTACTTTATACTCATGGATTTAATTGGCTTCACTCAAATTTTGCTTTCAGTCATTTTAGAAGGCAAGCCAATTGCTCCCACACCCCACTCTCCCCCTTCCAATAAGTGTCAAGGGAACTGTTTGTGTTTTGTTACCAAGACCGTTGTTGGACTTGAGGCTCCAACAAGAGCAAGACCCTCTTGAGTCTTGGCAACCAAATCCCACATGGCCTCATTCTGTTGATTTTGTCCTCTCAGTCCTGGTCCCTGGTGGACAATTTTTAAAATTAGGAAATTAAGAAAACAGAGACTGAAAAAGATCTGGGAAATGCTTAGTAAGGAAAATTCCTTTATATAGGTGGAAACTCCACAATAAATTTGCCAAGGAAATTTGAGCTGTAGAAACTCACATGAGGTGCTACACAAATTAATATTCTCTCTCTCTTTTTCCTTTCTTTCAAAACATAGTATATGCTAAATGAGCATCAATTTATTTCCCTAGGTGGAGAAAAAGGAAAAACTACAAAACTACCTTTGGATTCAAAATGGCAAGTCATGGATAAACACACTCCTCAAAATACTGGGACTCAGATAAGGGTTGATCCAAGCCCTTTCTTGCTATAATTTTCCTTAGATTCCTGTGTTCTACTCAATCCCTCCCTTTTCTAGGCTCATGGATTTTGTATTTCCAATCCCAAGAAGTATGAAGGATGTTTCTTGAATTAGGTGCCAGATTCCTCTCTCTTGCAGTTAATATGATCCTTTCCTCCTTGTGTGAAATATTATACTTGTAAACACTTTACCAGCAGGTTTATTTGAAAAAGAGAAACTATTTTTAGGAGAAGAGATGAAGCCCTGTTTCTGATTTTCTCCATAAATGTTCTGAGTCAGCCAAGAGAATACCTATACCCAATGGGTATAAAGAATGGGAAAGAAAGGAATTCCACATAAACTTGTATAAGGCAAAAAACAAAGATGGGCTGTGTCTTCAGTGTGACCACAACTTTCACTTTAAATAAGTTTTACTTAAATCACATCGTTTGAAATTTACATTCAGGGTCTGCCAGGCATTAAGTCTCTCTGCTTTTATAGAAAGATAATTCTCTCTTAACCAGCTTATGGGGTACAAAGGGAGGCATCTGGGCACCATGTGAGGCAAAGACACCCTTTAATGTCACCTCTCCAGGGCTGAGGAACCAGTCCTGCACTCAGCCATGGGTCTCGGCTCCACCTCCTTGGCTGCAAGCTAAAGAAGTAGAGATCATAAACTGCTCTCAGTCTGTGTCATCAAAGGGACTACTGGCTCTTTGGGGTGGGAGATTGTATCTTATTCAATCTTGTTCCCATTGTCTAGAATCGGGGCAAGGCAGTGGTGGGAGGGGGAGAGAGAGAGAGAGAGAGAGACAGAGACAGAGACAGAGAGACTGCTATAGAGGATATGAAAGTAAAAATGGCACAAAACCAACTTCAACTATAAGATTCCCTAAAAATCCAGAAAAGTAACATACTGATTCCTTTTTTAAAGAAAGCTAGCAGGGCTAAGGAGGAACTGTTACCAGTAAAGTGTCTTGGGACCTGCCCTGGTATCCTCATGGCTAGATGTATCCTGAGATCAGAAAATATATGATATCATCACCTCCCTCACCCCAGGAATAGGGACAGTGAGAGCTGTGAGTTACTAGAAGCTGTTACTACAAGACAGAAAGTAGTGAAGTGTCAGTTATGTATGAAATATAATTGCTCCTTTAGCAAACAAATTCAAGACTTCACATATTTTGTTAATTTGTGCAACTTATTCTAAAAGTTGAGGCTGAGTTTGTCAACATTTTACATGGCATGGCCATATGCTATACAGAGCAACATCATTATTCTGTATTACAGAAAGGTCCTAAGGATCACAAAAAGATTTAACATACCTATTCTCAATTACTATGTAATCTTCACACGGAAAGAGTGGAGTTGAGCTGGATAGAATACAACACACATTTTTCAGAGTACACTTTAGGGGCTAGGCACCATGCCAGGGACTTTTTTTTAACCCTAAGTCATTTGATTTGCCCATCTACCTGTTCTCACACCCAAGTACCCACATCCAATTTAGAGATGATAAATGGAGACTCAGAGAACTTAAATAATTTGTCCAAGATCCATAGAGTTACATTCTGGAAAAGCTGGTATTTGAAATTATGTCTGTCTGCTTTCAAAGACCATTCTCCTTCCATCACACCATGCAACTGAAATAAAGAGCCAATTGAAACATAATTGGGATATGCTACTAGATGTCCCTGGTAAAGACAGAGTCAAATGTTCTGGGAATGGGGACTGAGAAAGTCTAAGATAACCCAAAATTTTGGTCATACCGAGGCTATTAAAACTCCTCTTACCAAGCTCGTTATTAGTTCTTTGCTTACAAATCCAATGTATCCTATGCAAACTAGTAGTTTTTCTGTAAAATTATGAAAACACAACATGGAAATCTAGAAATAGAACTGATCTTAAACACAAGGCGATCCTGAGATAGAAAATAATGGCTTTCTCACCCTCCCTTTTTTCTTTTTCCTTCTTTCTCTTTTCCCTTCTTTTTCCTCCTCTTCCTCCTCCTCTTCTTCCTCCTCTACTTCTCTCTGCATTTCTTGGCTTTCCCTATATTTGTTGAATTCCTTCCGACTGCAAAATACCTCCATTTATTTGAAAAGAGAGAAGCAGAAGTGGCTACCAAAAGCTCAACTTATGTTATTTCAGCCTTACAGTGACAGGAGACAGAGTTGACTGAATGAACCCTTCTATTATCAACATATGATATCTTCTTGAATGATCTCAATTGGCCCTTTTGGGTCATAGGCTCAGGTTATGTACTGATCTCTATAGACAAGGTTCATGACAGGTGGCCCACACTTGTAACCTGGTGCCAAGGGAAAAATGTGAATTATTCTCATCAAAGCCACATGGAATAGAGAAAGGCTAAGTTCTCAAGAGGGAGGAGAGGCTGTTATCCTGTTTTCATAAAAAAGAGGAAGGGGTTCAAAGCAGGCATTAATTTACACATATTCACAAAGATACTTTTTGGACCTAACCTCATCTAAATTCTGAGATGCATCTGTCATCCTCTTTTTAAATTTCCAAAACAATTTCCAAATTAGGAATTGTTGTCTATCATCTCCTATTTTACTACCATCTTCTTATAGCCAACGCTACAATGCTGATACACAAACTGCCTAGCAAGGCATGGAGGTCTCTCATGATTTGGGTAATGTAGTGGTGAAAATGTTGAAAATGATTACAGATACCATTTACTGAGCACCTACTATGTGTTTATGAACTCAGGCTCTAAAGTCACAGATAGACAGACCTGGCTTCAATTCAAGACCCTTCCCCCGCAACTTGCAAGTTGTGGGATCTTATCACTGCACTCTTTCCTCATTTGTAACATGGAGGGGGAGGTTATAATAGCATTGCCTCAGAGCACTTTAGCAAAGTTAAATTAGGAATATGCCTATAAAGTGTTAGGTGCAATGCCTGGCACATATCATACACATCAATACATTGTAGCTACTATTTTTTGGTCTTAGTCACTGCTCTAGACATTTTATTTGATCCTCAACAACTAAATAAGAGGAAAGTATTGTCCTAATTTATTTTACAGGTAAGAAACTAGAGTCTTAGGAAGAGCTGGATAATGTACTCACTCATAGCTCATCATAATAGCAGCCTGGGATTTAAAGATGTCTCTTTGATTCCAAAGCCATTTGATCACCAAAGGTTTGCTGTCACCTTTGAGAAAAGCTAGAACATAATCTGGTAAGGGGTAAAATATTTGAAACCAGTTCTATACCTGAACATTCAAGATGCACAGTGGCCAAGGTGGATGACAGGAGTCCCCGTGGTGTCTGTGCTTGGCTCTACGATTTCTGTCTCAACACTCCTCTCCCCTATTCTCCTTAGTATTCTGTTTATCGTCTTGCAGACAAGCTATGGAGTAGGTTTAGAGCTAATGTCAGGGCGTTGCTGCTCAGCGACTCTGGGAAGCAGTGAAATTGCTGTCTAGTGTTATTACTTTTTTAATATGTTGTGAGCATTTTGTGGGATGAGTGGATTGAGGCTAGGGCCTATGCCAGAGGCCTATACCTTCCTGTCAGAGTAGCTTCTCAGGGATACCCAGCTGAGGGTAACAATGCTGTTAGAAGTCATTTCTGTTTAATGAAGTGCTGAGAATGGGCCAGGCTACCTCTATCTTCCTTCCACGGCTGCTCCAATTTGTGTCCGATCCCAGGCTAAGTGTTCCCATCTGTGTTATTCTATTAACTGAAAAGGAAGGAATTAGCACATGAACTTGTCACATCTTGTGACCTGTTGCACACTGAGATGGGAGGTAGTGGCAGAACAAACAACATTCTTCTTCTCAGCGCCCTGCCCACTTACTGAGGAAAAGAGGGACAGCAGTTCTGACTCCATGAAACACACTCGCACCCTTCCTAAAATCAGTCTGGGCCTCTCTGGGCTGCACCTTATGCAGAGCTGAGGGGAGAGG
The DNA here is from genome assembly GCF_000001405.40 of Homo sapiens. Lineage (NCBI taxonomy): Eukaryota > Metazoa > Chordata > Mammalia > Primates > Hominidae > Homo > Homo sapiens. The sequence continues at coordinate 39,904,713 of NC_000020.11, read as the reverse complement.
GTGGCAGAACCTCAAAGGAAACTTCCTCTGTCTGCCAAGCTCCAGATGGAAGACCTTCCCACGGAAATACTTGCTGGAGACGCTTTGCTGACACAGAGTGCTGCCAGGGAAAAGGGCCTCTGCTGGGGCTGCTCCTGCCCTTTTTCCCAGGGAAACATAAGGCTGAGACGGTGGCAGAGGCCCTCAGAGGACATGTCTTGGTAGAAGGCCCCCAGCAGGGCCCTGCATGGGGAGACTCAGGGGAAGTGCTGACCAGAAGCTAGTGCTTACAACTTGCTTCTCCCACACAGGTTTTGAACACAACATGATACATGTTGAAGGTGTCTTTGATCCATACTTCCTTTTTACAAGGCTTTTATAGGAATCCAAGCTTGACTAAGTGTTGGATACAGATTTAGAGTGAGAATACACTTGGGTATGAAGTGTTCGAGAGAACTGGGCTCCATCTCCTGCTTTCCTGATGGCGCCGGTTTGTACCAGTTTGCCTTGGCAGAAACTCCATTAGGATATGAGAGAAAGACATAAAAAAAAATAGAAAAGAAAAAAGAAATTCTTCTTTTGAAATCCAACTAAATTATACCCCCTGCAACTGGCACAGACCAACAACAATCACAGGCTGTCTCTCACGGGATAGCGGACAGGACCCATCTCACGGGTGAGTTGTTCAAGACTGAAAGAGGGCTCTGTAGGCCCCAAAGAAATTTTGCCCAGAAGAAGGGGCTCCCTGCCAACTCGGACTGCCACCAAGAGACATTGTCTGCTTCCTACTTCCCATGTCCTCTCAAAAAAGAAACACTGCTACACGAAGACAAACACCGATTCCAGGATCTCACAGTCCCAGCCTATGTCGTGACCTCCAGAAATAATTTCCATCAGCAAGTATTCAAATATGCTTTTTTAAATCTCTTTGATTTCCTCCATTTTTAGAATTTTATGGCACATACAGGGAGCCACTGTTAAGGTAGTTCTAGGCAGGCTGTTCTCTTCCTCACCCCCTATCAATAAGTTGTGAATCAGTAAATCAGGAGTGAAACTGAGGATTCTGAACTCCAGACAGCATCATCTGACCCACGGGACTGTGATACAGGTGGTGCAGGAGCTTCACTTCTAAACACTTGGCATTGGAAATTCACCCAGCCCTGAATCCACAGATGATACTTGACTCTGCCAAAACTTGACCTGAACCCTCCTGTTAAAAGGATATATTGGATCCTGACTTTAATGATAGGAGTGCATGCCACCCGTATTTTTATGCCCTTTCTTGTACATGATATCCTCAGTTATTAAGGGGTTCCCTGGCTTCCCTATACTTTAGATAAGTTGGGACTCCAGGAAGAAACTTTTGCGGGTGATGGATATGTTCATGGCATACGTTGCGGTAATGGTTTCAGGAATGTATGCTTATGTCCAGAATCATCAAGTAGCATACATTAAATATGCACGGCTCTTTGTATGTGCAATCATATCTCCAAAAAGGTGTTTTAAAAATATTAATTCAAAGAATATTTATCAAGCAGACTTTTTACAAAATACTATGATTGCCATCGATAATACATAAGTGATCACAATGTATGATGGTCTAGAGTAGGCCATTACAGCCTTATAATAAAATAATTACAACTGAATGTAATAAAGATATTAGATATTTATTAAGGCTTCAATATTACTCAGGGCTGTAAATATATTAGAGAATGTAATCAATTGTATAGAGTAGGTGCTATTGTTATTCACATTCTGCTGATGAGGAGACTAAACCCCAAGGGGCTGGGCAACTTGCTCATAAATATTCTATTGTAAGTGACAATGCTCTGGTGCTCACCATTGCAGCCCAAGTCCAGAGAACCTGCTCTTTAAATGCTATCGTAGGTCTCTGTAGGAACTGTTGAAGGAGCAATTAATCTAACTAGGCCATAGAAGGAAAATAATGAAAATTACTTTACACCACTGCATTTTCCCTTGTCTATACTTGGCCCCCATATGGCTATGTTCCCATCTCCAGCTCTCTTGCCTGAGCTCCACACTGCAAGGTCCAGCTTCCACTGCTCATCTGCACCCATGGGGCCAAAGGTGCCAAGAAGCCAACATATCCCAATCTTGGCTGATAATCTTTTCTCCTAAATATTCCTTTCCTTCTAGATGTTCTGGTCAGTGGAAGACCTGATTTTCTCCTTGAAAAGCTAAACAGAGGCTACAGCTGTGGCCTGTCCTCAATCAAATAGCAAATAGCCTGAGCATGGTGGCTTATGCCTGTAATCCCAGCACTTTGGGAAGCTGAGGCTGGTGGGTCACTTGAGGTCAGGAATTTGAGACCAGCCTGGCCAACATGGTGAAACCCCATCTCCACTAAAAATATAAAACATTAGATGGGCATGGTGGCAAGCGCCTGTAATCCCAATTACTCAGGAGGCTGAGGCGGGAGAATCACTTGAACCCAGGAGGTGGAGGTTACAGTGAGCCAAGAGCGCACCACTGCACTGCAGCCTGGGCGACAGAGTGAGAGGCTCTGTCTCAAAAAAATAATTAAATTAAATTAAATTAAATTAATTTAAAGCAAATAGATAACAGTCTGGAGTATCAAAATAAGACATGCCCTTTCTTGGAATGAAATATTGTTCTCACTTACAATAGAAATAAATAATCACCCATGTATTCAGTTCAGGTCCTTTTCACCAACTAGAATATAAGCTCTCTGAGGGCAAGGACTAAGTTTCATTTATCATTGACCCACAATACTTAGTACAATGCCTTTAAATATTTCGTAATTATTGTTGGATCAATGAATGAATCCCTGCTTCCACTTTCATTTCCTCTGTGTTGGACTCCCTACCTAACGGCTGCTCATTCTTTTTAACACTGAAGTAATATCTACTATGTGCCAGGTACTTTTCTAGGTCTTATGAATGCAGAGCTAAACAAAACAGCAACTTACCCTTAGGAATCTGTGGTTTCTGGAGGCTGAATTGAACTTCTAAAATCTTAGATAAAGTTGCTGCCCTGGTGAAAACTCTCTAGTGGCCTCCCATTGTAAGTAAGAGAAACATCTGAACACCTGCCTGGCCCACAGGATGCTCCCTGACCTTCCCTGTGCCTCATGCCACCTTTCCTGTTGGTGAATATTTGCAAGCTACACTAGTGGACCCCTGTTTTTCTCTTTCTTGAACCTGCTAAGTACATCCTTCACTTTGGGCAGTAGCTGCTTCTTCTTCCCTGAATAGAAAAGATCACTTTTCCCTGATCTTCACCTGCCTGGATTCTTTGGTCATTCATTTGTCAGCCTTAATAGCAGTTCCTAAGAGAAGTCTTTTCAGGTGACCCAACAAATGTGATCCTCTAGTCTGTTGTACTACCCTGTGTTAATTCTCTCCACAGTGCTCATGGCTACCTAATATGTTCTTGCATCTTTATTAGTTTATCATCTGCCCCCTGTGCTAAAATGTAAGCTGTAAGAAATGTATCTTCTCTGACTTGTTTACCATTGCACCCCATTATCAGAACAGGGTCAGGCACATCTTTGATGCTCAATAAATAAGAGATGAGGTACTGAATTTTTGAATAAATAAACCTCTACTAAGGTACTGGCCATGTTCTTTTCTCTTCTCATTCAACAGCAGGTTAAAGAAGTGAGTTTTGTTTGTTTGTTTTTTAATTTTCAACAAACTATTTGCTATATTATCTATTCCATCCATTATTTTATGGTTTTATTGCATTGTGTTCTCAGTTGTTTATTGAAGCACTGCTTACTGCTCAGAAATTAAACTTTTTTTTTTCAAATCAGTAAAGATCGGGTAAATAAACTGCTTTACCTCCATAAAAGAGAGAACTCTACAGTCATTAAAATGCTAATATAGGCCTTTATTTATTGATATGGAAAGGTTTCCATAGGATATTATTAATAAGCATTTTATAAAATATTATTAATCAGTTCACTAAAATCATATATGTGTGTTCTAAGATGTTCAGGAAAATGTCAGTGCGTGTTTCCTCTGGGTTGTGGGATTTTAGGTAATTTTAAAATATGACTTGCAATTTGTCCATAAGTTAATGTTTACACAATATTTCACTACTTGGAAGGAAATTTTCAAAAGCTCTTTTTGATTTAAAAAAATAAAAGTTAAAAAACAATGAAGTGAGGCCTGGCATGGTGACTGACACCTGTAATCCCAGCACTTTGGGAGGATGAGGCAGGTGTATCGCTTGAGGTCAGAAGTTCGAGATCAACCTGGCCAACATGGTGAAACCCCATCTCTACTGAAAATACAAAAATTAGCCAGGTGTGGTAGCGTGCACCTGTAGTCTTAGCTACTCAAGAGGCTGAGGCAGGAGTATCACTTGAACCTGGGAGGCAGAGGTTGCACTGAGCCAAGATAGCACCACTGAACTCCAGCCTGGGCAAAGGAACGAGATTCTGTCAAAAAAAAAAAAGAAGAAGAAGTGAACAAAAAACAGAAACAAATGAAACAAGGATTTTCCATGGATTCCTATCGCCCATAGCATAAAGTCTGAACTCCTTAATGAGATCTAAATGCTTTCCTTTCTCTCTAGACTCAAACTCTAACAATGCCCCCATTAGAATCCTAAATCCAGGCATAGTTCTTAATTTGCAGTTCCCTAAGACTGACTGCTTGGCCTCACTCTTGCCATTTCCATTTTCATGGCTGTTCCCTTCACCAGCAATGCCTCCTTTTGCCTTGCTAATCAGGGACACACCTGTGGATCTTTGAGAATTCAGCTTTACACCCCACTGTCTCTGACACCTTTCCTTAAATCTGGCCACTGGCTGTGTCAAAGCCCTGTTCTCTTTTCACACCTATATCTGGGTATCCACCTGTTCACATTCATGTCCAGTTTAATAGCAGGCACTATGTCCTGGTAATTAAACTATGTCTAATAATTGTGGAAGATAACATTGTTCTTAATTCTCCTTCACTACAACCCTACAAGTGCCATCTTACCTCCATTTGACAGCAAGGAACATGAAAGTGTGTTTCCCAGTCTTACCCAGTAGTAGTACCAGGATTCAGATGCAGCCATTTCTGCTCCAGATTTTATGCTCCTACTCACTATTCTCTGCATCCCCCACCTGTCATAGTACATGGAACATTGTGAGGCTTTATTTAGATTTATGGAGTGGTCAGCGCACCAAGGCATAAATTCTCACACTGGAATGAAGCTCCATCCTAAATACAAGAAATAAAGCTCAACACTTACATATCCACAGCTTTTGGGGTTTTAAATTATTTGTCTTGTACTGTAATTACTAAAGTTTTCCCCAAAGCAAAAACTTTTGAAGATGCACCTTCAATAATGTCTCATGATGGAAGGCCTCAATCTTGATACCTTGCTTCTATTTAACACTTTAGTTGATACCTTACAGGAGCATAAAACTATAGTATAGTTTATTACCAGAAATTTAAAAGTAAAATGAGATAATCGAGAATACAGAATACATTCGTTCAGTGGAGTGTGGAGCTCTAGATTCCAAGTGCCTGGAATAAAATTCTCATTTCACCTTTTACTCACATTGGGCCTTGGGCAAGTTGCTTTTCTTTTCTATGTCTCCACTGCCCTATAAAATGGGGATGCTAATAGTACCTTCTCCACAGTGTGATTTTGAGGCTATAATGAAATAATACAGGCAAAATGCTTAGTATAGTCTGGAGCGTAATAAGTGCTTAATAAAGCATAAAATTAAAAAATAGCTATTGTTATCACCATTTTCCATTCTAAGGACTATTGCATCAGGAAGACTAGAGGCCAGGTAAGGCACTTAGAAGATTTAAGTCACCCTGGTCCAATAGTTAAGAGAAGGTGGTGAAGGAAAATGCACTTTCTTCACTAATCTCACGCTGACATATCTCAACAGACTAAAAAATCGTTTACCAGCTAACACTTGCCTCTTCCTAGACTATACTTTCCCTGTATTTTATTCTAACAGCGTTGCAGCCTTCTTTTTTCCTGTTTTTTTTTTTTGTTTTGTTTTGTTTTTCCAGTGATACTGTTCTCTAATTCTAGCTTAGCATTGATCCCAGCTCCAAAAGATAAGGGGTAAATAAGTAACCACTGTGTCCAGGAAGCAGGGAAAGGGGATGAGGATGAAACCTCTATTCTGCCACATGTAGAACTTACTCTCTTTCTACCCTCTTTTAGACCACAGTGCCAACCAAGAGGAGACTGGCAATGTTCCAAGTCCAACAGGGTCCTAAAATGGGAGCCCAAAATGTGTACATCCTGAATATTCAGACATGTCCGGGAATGCCTGGAGGGTCAGCCAGGCAGGCAGGACGTGAGCCAAGGAGCCTCATGGGTGGGTTTCCAACCTATCTGATGATTCTCTCCCCTATCTGGCCCATAGCCCTGTTAGAGCAACTATCTTATTCTGTTTCAGGTTTAAACTTGTCTGTTGGTTCCTTACTAAATACCAAATTCACTGAGGTCTTCAGTGATGTCTACTTTGTTAGTGTAGACACTAATTAGTATAATGTGGTGGTGTTCACCCAACACCCAGAAGAGGTCCTGACTCATAGAATACACACAATAAGTATGTTAGAAATAAATGACTGAATAAGTGAAAGAATGGAAGGGAGCTGAAGAATGATGTTTGATCCAAAAAAAGTGATTTTCTGGATAAAGGGGTAGCCATTTTGAATAAAACAAGCATGGCGAGTCATTTAAATGGCATTTTTGCCACTCCTGGCCCTGGGAGCTTTTAACAATATACTGTAAGAAAACAACTTCTTGTGAAACAAATTCCCATCAATCTCTGTAATCAAGGACAACACTGGACATCCCTGCTTTAAGTATGTTTCCCAATAGCATGTGACAAGGGCATTTGGGGTGAGTTCCCTCATTAGTTATATAACCACTTGAAGACACTGAAGAACAGAGATAAGGAGAACCTATAAACCCGGAAGCTATTTCAGAAGGAAACATCCCTGAAATGACCAGGGAACCCACGTAGCTAGAAATTGAGTAGGAGTTCACACAGAGGGTCACTGGAGAAAGGAGGAGAAGATGTTTTCTGTGATGAAAAGTTTTTAAAATAAGGACTATGCTGTGTACTTACTCTGTGGCAGTGGGCAGTTTATTCATCAGTGAAGTGGAAATTTTCATAGTATCTGCCTTGAATGTTATTGGGAGATTAATTTATATAATATATGCAAAATATTCCTCATGGCTGCCAATGCATGATAATTATAGTAGACATGATAGCAATGAAGGTGATGCTAGAAAGAGGTGAACATGTGTAAGCTTGTCAGAAATATTCCATTCCTATCAGGGTAGGCAAGTTTTCAGTAGAGTTATCCCAATTCTGGTATGTGGGTAGTGAGCCAGAAAAAGGCTGTTTTATAATGATTCTTACAATTTGAGGGTATTTTCAGATTATTGTGGTCAGGAGAAAAAATAAACATTGCATTTTGAGGGTTTACCCAGGTTTACTTACCAAACAACCGTCTGAATCATCAGCCATTTGCATCTCCTGATGTCAGAGCCCACCCGTCACTTGTCAGCAATGCAAAAGCATGGATAGGACATGGATGCAAGAGATGACTGTGTGCTTTCTCATGTTATTTCTACTGTGGGTGATGTGAGGGAGTTCCTCCGAAAGTCTGTAAGGATTAAGACTGGAATGCTGTTCACTAGAAAAGAGAATTGAAGAGCAGTTTTCCTAGAGTTTTCAGTAAAGTAGATTAAACTAATATTTCCAAGAGTTGACTTGTAAAATGAGAACCTAGAGAATTCATGAGTCTCTCAAGAGCTTGACATTATTCATAGAAAATGAATTTAAAATTTTTCTAGAAAAGGCTGTATACTTGCATGTGAGGGCACATCTATTGTGCTGAGTCCAGAATGTCACCAGATAAGTGTGACCATATGGCAGGACAGGATACTGAAATAGTTTCATATCCTTATGGAAACCACATCTCCCAGCAAATGAGGTTGCTCCTGGGAAGAGTTCCCTGCAATTTACAGAGGAAAAAAAAATCTGAAACATAGCTGGCCAGATGAGTACTCATTTTCTAGGTATAATACATGTTTGGTATATTCTTATCATCTTAAGAAAACTTCATCTATTATTATTTATTTTTGTCTATTTACTATGTAGTTGAGAGTCATATGTGTGTACATATCCCAAACATTTTCCTTTGAATTTCCAAAAGATTAATTTATATATCTATTTAATTATCTGTTATTAAAAACAGCAAACTATATCATAGTTATTTATCCATAATAGAATATATAACTACAAATAAATGAACTCTTGTACTGTTTTGTATCTTTTTTTTTCAACCCAAGATTCTACTCTATGTGATATTAACACTGACACATCCGTTGTTCTTATTTACATTTTCCTGATGCATATTTTCCAGATATATTATGTTTAAACTTTCTGAGACACTTTTTAAAAATTGTTCCTTTGAAGAGGTGCATCTTTGTTTTTAACCTGAACTGATGGTTCCTAAATATTAAAGGGTGGCATTATAATTTACATTTAATGTCATAAGAGACACATTTGCACTTCCTTCTATGATCTTATTTTATGTTTTCTGGATTTTATGCTTTCCTACCATTTCCCCTATTTCCTGTCATTAGCTAGATGAACTCTGCTTTGATTTCTTTAATCTCCTGCAGTAATTTGGGAGGAATCATCCTGTTTTTTATTTCTACTAAATTTTGCAAAATAATGTACTTGATCCAATATTTCTCTAATTATCAAGGTCAAAAAGAAACAATAGCTTTTGACTCAGTCCTATTTTAGTTGAGAAACTTAGCACATTTTATTTATTTATTTTTTTACTTCTTTTTTCACTTCCCAGTATTTCATAGTGCAATATGTGGTCTTGGACAACTGTTATTGTTTCCCACAGTATTTTACATTTTGGGTTATATTTATTTTAAAATTTAGAAAATCCTCCCTCTCATTTCTTTTAGAAGCATTCTTGGCCTTGTTCTTATTAATTTCTACTTTAATTGTTTTTGTTCAGTGTTCTTTTCCTTTGTTTTTGCAGGGTTCTCTTATGTGGATTGTCCCTCCAAGGCTGGTGTCCTGGGAACTCTGTTTTATGTCCTTGTTACCTCTCACTCCCTTTAGTCTCTTGGGTGCCCTCATAGATGCTCATGTGTGCGGCCATCACCCCTGTGCTTGTGTCTATTGGATCTCTATCCTCAAATCAGATTCTCTCTTGACTGCACCATTAGTATAACCAACTGCCTACTGGATAATATCTTTAATATCTCAGAGACACACACAGAACTTCGACAGAAATATTTACAGAAATACGGATGTCTAGCGTTATTGTGCTACCTCTCTAAGTTGGGGAATAGGTGTGAAGAACTAAACAATATTGAGGACCTATGGTATGCTATGGTATATTCATACATCACACCACTCCATTCTCATTTTGACACCCTCTGGTATAAAGACGTAGGTGCGTGCTCAATTCTAAAAGTGGACAAACTGAACGTCAGGAAGGTTAAGAAACGTATCCAAGACTTGGTTTGGGTTCTAAAACCCCTGATCTTCTATTTCTTCCACATTAAAACTTTGCTTTATCATTTCTCCTGATTTCCTTGACCTCTGCAGCTTGATTTCCTTTCTTTAAGAGCAGATCTTAGTCTTTCCATTTGGACTCATCTTTCTGGGTCATCCACTCCTTCCTAAGGGTATTTCTAGGTTTGATTCCACATGTAGAAAGGATGAAGAAGGAAGAGTTTCATTGCCTGCAATTGGCCAGGAGACCAAGTCCACTCTGCGGTGGGACTAGGGGCTGTTCTAGATCCTCAATTCCTCTGTTGTCAGGTCCTGGATCTTAAGGGGAATGGATGGGACCAACCATGGGAAGGGCATCCTATAGGCTTCTAAGAAATTAATTAGCATTCATAACTATTTTTCTTCCACTCTTTCCCACTTTACCTCAGAAGATGGGTGGGACTAGAATAGTACAGAGTTCTGCAAAACTGAACTACTGTGTTTGAAGTGCCATGTGGAAGCTTCTGGTTTGGTTTGGGTTCAGATGGATTCTTCCACTGGTCCTGTTTGTCCCCAGCTAGGTTTCTTTTCTGTGATATTTCAGGCCAACCTAAGATAGCACATCATTGAAATCATCAAGCTAAAGGATCTCTCAAGCTTCCATGTAAAGCAAATGTTAAGAATAGATCTTTCGTCTACCTATATTTTGGGTGGTACAAAATGCCTACATTCCTGAAGTCCTGCTTCTGCAGACCAAGGCCAACAGATTGTTCTTTGAATGTCTCAAAAGCTCTTTTTTTCTTATAATGCCAAATGCAATATTTTTTTGAAAATTCTACACCAGAAGTTTCCCAGCTGAGAAAACAGGCTTGTGAAAAATGGTTTCAGAAAATGTAATAAACCATGCAAAAGTTGTTCAGGATGCGTTTGAAATGAACATCTGGATATGAGTGCAAAATTACTCCTTTCCCCTCTTCCTCTTTCTCACAGCTGTTTGAAAGACTCCTGAGGGCAGGGAAGCAGGTCAATGAACTAAATTGCACCTTCCCCCCTCTTCCAAATCCTTTTGCACCTATGCAAGGAATCTAGCTCACATATGTGTTTAATAAGTGAGCACAAATACAAGAAAAAAAATTATCTCGATTCCTGTTGACTCTCTGCAGCAACTCCAAAGGAAAATAAACTCTGGATTTTAAATTTTTTCAAACAAAACTTATGGTTCTAATAAAATGTTGCTTTAAAGTTGACTTCTTTATATCAAGAACTGAACAAACCACCCATTTCTCTTTATTTCTTAAAAATGAAGGATTATTACATCACACTTTCCCCAAATGGAAGAAAATCCAGTTACCAAGGCTTTGCCTTTTAACTTATAATTGAGAAACATAAATGATTCTCTATGTTTTTACTGAATTTATCATTGCATCTGTTTATTACAAGTCCCTTCCGTAACTACTACTACAATACATACATCTAAAGATGGCATCAACTAGTTAAGTAGATCAGAAAGGAACACGTTGACATTTAATAGATCTTCATGAGATTATCAGTGTTCACAACAAATGCAGCAAATATGAAATAATTACCTCATATCAGAAGAATGTTTAGAGAAGTCTTTGGGGGGACCAGACAGATGTTTTCACATGAAAAGAGGCTGACTCATCAACCCTGTGCTGTCAGAGGCCAAAGTGGGCCTGAGGAAAAGAGGAGATTCACTACTTAACACAGTAGCTTTTGTCATTTGTTTCAAGCACTTGTCTCCTCTACTGGTCTCTGGGATTTTCTATGGTAGGGGAGGAGCCTTAGTCATCCCTGGATCCTTGTGCTGTACTGTCAACAGTACACAGTACATTGCATGTGTTCATTTGTTGAGCAAATGACTTGCTGAATAACTGGAAGCAATTCCTCATATAGATTTTCCAATTACTAGAAAAACTCCCTTATGAAAAAATGGCCAAACACTTGCAAAACATGTTTGAGGACTACAGAGGGCGTATTTCTTAGATTATGTGGAATCCAAGGCCCTCCCATCTTTTTGGTGTCTGAAATTCCTGTCCACATGCCAGAATTATCTCTCAGCAATCTTTCTTCCTCATATCCCTCATGTATGTTTACAGACATACCCTGGTTCTTACTAGGATCATTGTAGAAACAGTCTTTGAACTTGACCTCTGCTTCAAAGCTTCTTCTATCTAATCTATCCAGTTCTTTTCAGCTGGTTTTATTTTTATTTTTTTGAGACAGAGTCTCATGCTGTCACCCAGGCTGGATGCAGTGGTGCAATCTCAGCTTACTGAAACCTCTTCCTCTAGGGTTCAAGTCATTCTCATTCCTCAGCCACCTGAGTAGCTGGGATTACAGGCATGCACCACAATGGCCAGCTAATTCTTATATTTTTAGTAGAGACACGGTTTCACCAAGTTGGCCAGGCTGGTCTCGAACTCCTGGCCTCAAGTGATCCACCTGCCTCTGCCTCCCAAAGTTCTGGAATTACAGGTGTGAACCACCGTGCCTGGCCTTATTTTGTCTAACTGAGTTCCTACACAGTGCCAAGCACTGTGCACAGCAGTGAATACATACTAGGGTGCTATTGAACTGTATGGTAGAGATCACCTGCCCAGAATAGCAAAGTAGGCTTTCTGGGAGAAGCAAATTAGAAGGAAAACAACAATGAACCAGATGAAGAAAGCATCAAGGAAAAGGGTATTTGAGTATGAAGGAAAATTATTAATGGTATCTGATATAGTTTAGACATTTGTCCCCTCCAAATCTCATGTTCAAATATAATCCCCAGTGTTGGAGGTGGGGCCTAGTGGGAGGTGTTTGGATAATGTGGGTGGATCCCTCATGAATGGCTTGGTGCCCTCCTCTGAGGTAATGATGAGCTCTTGACTTTTTAAAAGAGTGTGGCACCCCTCCTCCTCTCTTTCCTTCTCTCTCACTGTGTGACACGCTGACTCCCCTTCCTCTTCCACCGTGATTGGAAACTCCCTGAAGACCTCACCAGAAGCAAATTCTAGTGCCATGCTTCTTCTAGAGCTGCAGAATCATGAGCCAAATAAATCTCTTTTTTAGTAAATTACCCAGCCTCAGGTATTCCTTTATAGCAACATAAAATGGACTAATAAAGTGTCATTGAGTTGAAACAGCATGGAAGAATAGAGGTACTATAAAAAGCTGTGGCTAAAGAGTAAAGCAAAAGTGATAGAATTGTGTGATGGGAAGAAGGGAGCAGAGGCCATGGTAGGAGTCCATATAAGTCATATTCATACATTTGAACTTTACAACAGTCCAGCCCAAATGGATTATGTGAAAACCTAGACTCACCATTTATTCCTCAGACCAAAGTCATTCTTCAGGCCATTCCTACTGCTAGGTATAGTCCTCTTCTAATTTCTGTCTTGTAAACATTTTCCTATCCCACAAAACCAACCCCTAAGAGCCACTCCACAACCCCACCCCCCTGCCAATACATTCTCTCAGAAGTCTTTGATGATTTCCTTGAGTGGGCCCACCTCTCCAGAGACCACTTCCATATCTTGCCTCATGTCATGAGACTGGGCTGCATGACAGAGGGGATATCTCCTATCACTTCTCCTACCCCCATGCAACTAAGGAAATATTTACCAATGAACTGTGCATAATGGTCTGCTAAGAAAAGACTACTGGCCAGAAGGAGCATTGGTCAGGCTTCTCGTTTCAAATCTTGATGCTGTCATCTGCTCCATGTGGAATCCTGGACAAGTTGCTTAATCTCTTCAAGTGTCATTCAAGTGTGAAAGGGGGATCATGGTAATACGTACCCCATAGGGGTTACATGAATATTAAAAATAATACTTGTGATTGACTTAGGGCTCAAAAATGTTAGTTGTTATCCTGGCTTGACAGTTCAGAGACAGTCTCTGAACTGTCAAGCCAGATAATGCAAAATCCTCAGAGGATTTTTGCACCTCACATGTCTGACTCTACTGTCTTTGTCCTCAACAACCCTATAATAATGCAATCAGGAGAAAAAAACATTAAAGAGGAAAAGAATGATCATGGGTTTTTGATTTTTCACATGCACATACATACGTGCAAAAGTTGAGCTGAGGGAGGAACAAACTATATGAAATTATAGACTCACACAAAATAAAAGATGTTTGAGGAATCATGAGACAATGCTCCTCCTTGGACCCCAATTCTGCCTCTTGGTTTGTATTCTCTCTTACCACCTGAAGCTTGGTCTTCCTCAGGGCCTGTTTTTACCTCATTAGATTGTGCCCTCTCCAATCTCTCTCACTGTGGGTTAACCAGGATGATCATAGTGATTATGCAATGATTGTTCAAACCAAGATACTTGGGGAGGGAATGGATGCCCTGTTAAACATTATCCTGGGACCAAAGGTATAAACTGGACAGTCACTGGCAACTTAAGCTGTGTGGTCATCCAAGTTAGAACCAGCAATCTTGCTGACTGGGGTCGCACAGCTTTCAGTATCTTTCAAATCCCTTCATCTCCCAACTAAAGAAGAGTAAAGGCTCTTTCTGATCCAATTTATTTTTAATTGTATCGGAACATTTTAAGCTCAATATTGCACATAGGTTTCCTGGAAGGCCATGTCAATATATTGTGAAACAACTGGATCTTTGGGTATCAGGATGTTAGACTATAATGAGCAATTTTCATCCCAAATCTTTAGAGTCATGTAGATAAACCGATTGGTTTCGATTCAGGGAACTTAACTGCCAGCTTCAATTAGCTCGGCTTCTTTAATATATTCTTTTTCTTATATAGTAGGCAACTTCAATAAATTATTATTTATAGAGTACTTATTAAAATGCTACAGGGAAATCATTCCTGGAAACATCTCACTGTGTAACTGTAAATGATCAAGCCCTCGCTTACTGATTGAGTGTTGGAGGACTTAAGTCAGATCACAGGATCACAGCAACTCATGCCTAAGGGAGACCTCAGACAGCATGCAGGCCACCCACCCCATTCCATCTCCAACCCCCTGCAACAACATCCCTGCCATGTAGGTATCCAGGAAATATCTGACGTATCAGCGATGAAGGGACTCATTCCTGCCCAGAGTAACTTTTTCTTTGCTGAAGGGCTTTGCCAGATAAAAACTGGCTCCTGATTTTAAATGGAAATTAGTGTTTCCTAAACATTTACGCACTGAGCCTCATTCTCTAATATCGACTGCATTTTTCAGTAAAATTAATCTCTTTCAGCCCTTTTTTGTTCTCACTTCACATATGGTGGTGAAGATCTACATCATCGGAGCTGGTGAGAAACAAGCGTGGCCCATAAAGTGACAGACAGTGGGCAAAGTTGTTTATCCCATGGACTAGAGCCAAAGTACTTGAGTTTGAATCCTAACACCACCTGTAATAAGGCAAGGCATTTAACCTTTCAGAATCTCAGTCTTCTCATCTGTACAATGGGGAATGTTAGTGATATCTATTTCGGTGTATTTTTGAAAGATTATAGGAGGCAGTGTATGTAAAGTGTTTAGAACCGTGTCACCTGACATATGGTATACATAGCTATTATCACGTAGAATCCCAGCAAATAGAATCTGGACATTGTCCTGCTATTGTAAGATTAGTGGTCAGTGGGCGATGGCTTAGTCTTATTGCATTGGGTAGCTCTAAAATTCAGCCTCCGCAAAATACCCCACCAAGCATTCCTATTTTTTTTCTTTGTTTTAATGTCTAACTTAGTCTCTGGAGGGTATAAATTCTGGTAATTAAGAGTCAGAGCCTAGGAAATTGTACTCAACTCAGATATATGTTAAATTCATTGGACTGGTTTTTTTAAAATAGCAGTGAAATAGGAATTCTTGAGGGTTCAGAAATGGATATTTTCCGAAAGCTCCTCAGGGAATTCTAATGTGCAGCCAGGTAAGAACAACAGACTTCAAATGAGCCTTTATGGATCAGAATCTGGGCTCCCTCAACTGCCAGCGGCACAAATTAGGGCAGGGTTCTTAATCTCTTCAGGCCTTGGTTTCCATAACCATAAAATGGGAGTGAAATGGAAAGTTCCTTTCTCATTAAACTGCTATGATACTTAAATGAAATAGCACACGTGGATAACAGAGTACTCATTAGGTATTAATACTGAGTACCTGACTTTACTATGCAGCTTCCATCCTCACCCCATCTCTTTCAATCACTTTTGCCTCAGCCTGTCAGTAGGTATCAAAGGGTGCTAAGCACTGCCTCAATTATAGGTGTAACCCACAGTCCTGGACACAAGAATCTATCAAGAGATCTTTACCTAACCTGAGTATATTTCAGGCTGATGGTGATCCACTTTGCTTTTCTGATAATTGAAAATGATTTGCATTTACAGACCATGGGAGCAGACATGGGACCCCAGTGGCAGAGCACTTAGGAGGGATGAAAGCAAACTTGCCAACCTGGGCCATGGTTTATATCAGCCCTGGAATCATTGTCCTGGATGAGTACTTGGGTACTACAAGTGATGAGCAGAAGGGTACTACATACCTGCCACTCAAACCAGCAGCATTGACATCACCTGTTAACTTATTAGAATGACAGCATCACTAGACTTACCTCAGGCCCACCAAATCAGAAAGTGAATATTAGCAATATCCCAGGTGATCTTTTTGCACATTCACTTTAGGGAGTGTTGTTCCTTATCAGTATCAAGAGGAATTCATTCCCAAAGTTTGTAAAACTTTCCAGAAACGACCTTCAGCCTGCCACCTAGGCAGCTGGGTTGACGCTTACATAATACTCTTAAGCAACCCTTTGAATCAAAGCCCTCTAAATTATCAGCTTTTCTCCCTCTCTTGTGCACCCTATACCACTGTCTCAGAAAGTATATAAATGCCTTCTTTGAGTTATTTTCTGACTTGGGGTTTCTACCTGGTTTCTGGTCCTTGCTGGAACTCAGCACCTGATACTTGGTTTAAAGGAAGCCTCAGGTCTGTTTCCTACTTCAGTCACAGAGAGAGAGAAAGTTATTGACTAATACAGTTTCTCTCACTAATTATTTCCTACCTCTGATTTTCCACTCCAGGAGTCTATGATTTTTAGGTGGTATGGAGTCTGAATTCAGTTTGAAATAGAGAGAAGTTGGGCCCTAGACAGCATGTGCTAAAGGCCTTTGCTGAACAAAAGGACCCCAAAACAAAGTCAGAGAATAGTTTCTTCCAATTATCATTTGGCTTTACATTGTCATTACATACATATTGAAATCCTTGATTTCACAGGGTTTTACATAGCTAAACTACAGATGGAGGGAGTCAGTGAATTAAAGCCTTTGATGAAGGCCAGGTGCTGTGGCTCATGCTTGTAATCCCAGCACTTGGGGAGGCCAAGGCAGGCAGATCACTGGAACTCAGGAGTTTGAGACCAGCCTTGGCAACATGGCAAAACCCATCTTTCCCCAAAATACAAACGTATCAGCCAGGAGAGGTGGCGCACACCTATAGTCGCAGCTACTAAGGAGGTTGAGGTGAAGGATAGCTTGAGCCTGGGAGGTAGAGGTTGCAGTGAGCCGAGATCACACCACTGCACTCCAGGCAGGGTGACAGAGTGATATCCCATCTCGAAAAAACAGAACAAAACAAACAAAAAGTAAGAAAACCTTGGGTGAGTCCTGGGGTACAAAAGAGAGCTGTTATCCTTACACATACACACACACACACACACACACACACAAATACACACACATTGAGCATCTATTATTACACTGGAAAATGTTGATCCAAAGGTGAACAACTATGAGTTCTGTCCCCACCTCTCACCTCTGGCCCTATGAAGCTTATACCTTGATGGGGAAACATATATGAATCAAATAACTACCAAAATATATGTTACATATTAACAGTGATAAACACTTCTAAAAGAGAGGTACACTCATGCATGCTGGGCTTAATAACTAGGTGGTAGGTTGATAGGTGCAGCAAATCACCATGTCACACACTTACTTATGTAACAAACCTGCACACCCTTC
Source organism: Homo sapiens (assembly GCF_000001405.40). Lineage (NCBI taxonomy): Eukaryota > Metazoa > Chordata > Mammalia > Primates > Hominidae > Homo > Homo sapiens. The sequence goes on along the minus strand of NC_000020.11, from coordinate 39,887,266 downwards.
ACATGTACCCCACAACTTAAAATAAAATTTAATAAGGAAAAGAAAAAGAAAAAAAAGAGAGAGAGAGGTACAAGTACTGTGAGGACATATTAAAAGGGAGATGGTTCTACTCAGAAAGGTTTTTCTGAAGAAGCAACAAAACTGAGGGGTACATAGGGTTAGCCAGATTCAAGGGTGTGACAGGGAATGGAAGCCCAGCTGGCACTGAGGTCCTGTGACCAGGGGAATCCATGCTCTTTTGAGGAACTGAAACAAATCTGGTGTGAGTGGAGTCCAGAGAAGAAAGGAGGGGGAGGAGGGGCTTGACTCCAGCTGAAGCTGGAGTGATTGTGGAAGTATGTTGGTCTTCATTTTAAGAATCCGGGGAAGTGATGCAGGTTTTGAAGCAGAGGCAGCAGGGCCAGATTTCTGTTCCTGCACGAGTGGTCTTTCTGCCATGTGGAAACAGATTGGAGGAGGGCAAGAGAGGATGTGAGGAACAGGCCAGTTAGGACTGCACTGCAGTCTTCAATGGTAGAGACGGGCTGCTTACACTGTGGAGGTGATGGGGCAATGGGAAGAAATGGGGAGTTCCAAGAGGGAGTTAAGTGATTAAATCAAAAGAACTCACATTAGCATGGCAGGAGTAGGGGAGAGGGAGGTGTTAAGGATGACAAACCGTTTATAAAACAACTGGATGTTGTTCTCTGAAACAGGGATCTCTGAACAAACACCAGGCAGGGAGGTCAGGGTGGCCATGAGTTAGTTTTTAGATATTTTGAGTTGGAGGCGTTCCCTGACCTCCCAGACAAAGATACACAGTTATGAAATTTGAATGAGCATTCTAACTTGGAGGGAGATATTTTGTAACGGGAATTTAAAAAGTAGAAATGACAAAAGTTACTATTTGTTGAATATTTACTCTGTCCCATGGTTAGGAATCTATTATCTAATTTAAACGGTACAGGACTCTGTATGAAAAGACTGATTCTCCCATGTTACAGATGAGGAAGAGGAGGCCCAGAGGGAGCAGCATCTTCAAGTTCTTAATGACTGTGTCACACTGCCCCCTGCTGAGCAGCTATTACGTGCCAGGCTCTCAGGGCGTTTGCATTCCAGTAAGATGGGCTCACGGGTTTTTGTGTCTTCCATAGCAAACTGAAAGAGAACTCATGTGGTAGGAATTTCTGCCATGTGCCTATTAAACTGACATTTGTCTGCAACAAACAACCCACTGGTATTCACATGCACAAGTACATAGGCACACCTGTGCACACAACTTTCTCACTAGTTTCCTCTCTTCACTTTTCTCCGCCAGGATTATTATTTATTTTCTTCTGATACCTGGTTTTAGGTTGCCCAGTGGCAGGTAGGCTAAACATGATGAACTTCGCCGTGCATCCAACAAGAAACACACTCTATCAGCCTTTAATTTCAGAGTCTTAGACAAACAGGGAAGGGATGGGAGACCAGCAGTACTCTTCTTCTGTAAGGTCAACTAAAACTCTTGCTTGCTGTAGGCAGCTTCCTCCACTTACCTATCTGAGTATTGTTCTGAGGATGGTAAGAATGCCACTTCTAAAACTAGCTGAGAAGCAGAGATAGGCTTACTGCAGCATCTAAAGAAAGAAGAACATTTATACAGCATGATCCCTTCAAGCATGTTCTGCTTTTGCCCAAACATTTAACATGACCATGGAAGAATTTCACTATACCCATTACTCAGAAAAGTTTGAGATTTGAAACTGCAAAATTTTTCATAGTTTTCATGGAACAAAACATACAGATCAGTACTGAAAATATAAATCACTCTTAAACATTTGGTTCTTACTATTTTTGTAAAAAGTAGCACAATTGGAAGATAAATTATGCCCCTGTGTTGACATGTATGTATGTGTGTGTGTACAGAAAAAATAAACAAATTTTCAATGATCCATTTTGGATTTAATTAAAATTCAGTTTTGTCTGTAGTCAAGCGTATTTTTGCTGTTTGAAATAATATAAATCTCCTAATCTAAAGACCCTGGCTGGGCACTGTGGTTTATGCATGTATTCCCAGCAATTTGGGAGGCTGAGGTGAGAGGATTGCTTGAACCCAGGATTTCAAGACCAGCCTGAACAACATAGCGAGACCCTGTCTCTACAAAAAAAATTATCCAGGCATAGTGGCATGTGTCTATAGTTCTAGCTACTTGGGAGGCTGAGGCAAGAGGACTGCTGGAGCCCAGGAGTTCGAGGTTGCAGTGAGCTATGCTTATGCCACTGCACTCAAGCCTGGGTAATAGAGCAAGACCCTGTCTCTAAAAATGAAAATAAAATTATTGTCTATAAGATCAGTGACAGTGATGACAGGAGCAATTTTTATCACAAAGTGAGAAGTCTCAAACAATTGAGACTATTGCTGGAATTTTCTCCTATAAATACTATACAACTTGTCTTCCTATATTCAATCATAGTTTTCATGTATTTTAATTCTCCTAAAACTTATATCCAAAAACATAAAATAAATAATATTTAGATTACCCATTGTTAGACAATTCAAAACAATGCCATCTTTAAGCAGAAAATCAGTGCTAACTTCAAGGATTATCTGAGGTCATTGGCCTTTCTCAAACAAATGAGAGAATACACAAACCTATGTTCAAAGGGGAACATATCATTTGAAGAAATTTTTTTGGCAATGTTATTATGACTTATTTTTACTTAAAAAGTAATATATGCTTATTATAAATCATTCAACTATTAAAAGGGATAGAAAATGGCCCCATTTGAAGGAGGGTGGAGAGAGAATATTAGCTGCTTTTCCCACAGTTTCCCTTATTATAAATCATTCAACTATTAAAAGGGAATAGAAAATGGCCCCATTTGAAGGAGGGTGGAGAGAGAATATTAGCTGCTTTTCCCACAGTTTCCCTAACGGCATCTGAAAGCAAAGTTCAGTATAACTCATTTAAAAAATCATAAAATTGTTCACATTGGTGGAAATACAATGCAGGTAATGCTACCAAACCCAGATCAAAAGCAACTCTAAGAGGTTCCATATTTCTGTCTGAGGCCAGTTCCTCCACCCACCTGTGCTCTAGATGCCATTCAACTTTGTTTCATCCCTAACTTTGCACTCTTTCTACAGTGGATCCTCCCAGAATATCATCTGCTCAAATCTCTCTTTTCTTAAAAAAAAAAATCTTTGATTTTACTTTCCTCTATTTTTCTGTGTTTTTTTAACAGCAGCATTCTCAAAAAGGTGTCTGCATCACTACATCCATTTCCAAGAACTTTACTCCAATTTGGTTTTCATTACCATCACTCCAGGAAATAGTGTCTGGTTAATTCCATCAGAAGTTATCGGGTCATTAAATAAAATGAACACTTTTAAATCTTTTTAATCATTCATTCAACAACTAATTTTTGAATAATTTCTATGTACCCTAGTTCTTTATTAAACATCAAAGTTGATTTATCAAACAAACATTTAAAAACCAATTTTGTCTTAGTTTTAACGTTGCTGCAGAGGGCGTTTTCCATTGTACCTATTAGTGCCCCCATTAGAAGGTTTTATGTAATATATTTCTTTTCAACTGTATCTGTGGCAAGATACATAAAATGAAAAATAATATATTATTTCTCCCTAAAAATCATTCTATTTCCTCTTTTTGTTAGACTTTTCTTTTAACTCTGGCCACCAGGAAGCTCAAAAGCATTACCCAAATGTAATAACTCCATTAGTCTTAAATTTAGCATAATTAATTCTCCAAAGGTTCTGATTGTTTGTATATTTCTAACGCTCTTTCTTAATGTTATATGTTTTAGCTACCTCAAGTCCATTTTAGAATGTATTGTGCATAAGCGAGCAAGGCTTTTCTAATGCTTAACAATAGTTTAGAACCAAGTGTCTGCAAATGTGTCAAATCTAGACCAGAAGCTGTTTCTTAAGGACCTCAACTTAATCTCTGCAACCTGTTATATGGTCTTTCATCCTCAGCTTTAGAAAAGTCATCAGTTTGCTAACTGCTTTAGGGATCATAAAACAAAGTTTGTTCCTAAACAGAGGAAAAGTGTCTAAGAAGGAGAAACTTATGCACAGAGCACAGGGTGAGAAAAGGCCCCTCAGAAGCTTTGCTGGCATAAATCCCAAGCTCATGTTACCAGAAATATTTACATTAAAAATATATCTCCAACTTGACCAACTGCTCTAAGGTCAAGCTCAAAATCCTGCTTGGGAATTCTTTGGTTTTATGAACATTTGTCAGCTCAAACTTTGGCTATGATTTCTGTGCCTTCTGAGGCATGAAGGCAAATAGGGCAGAGGGACAGCTGAAAATAGCAGCCCTGATAGTGTGAGGTGAGAGTGAGGGGTTTCTGAGATTTTTCAGCAGGAAGTGTCTGGTTGCAGCGTTAGTAGCCAAGAACTTTCCTTTCACATACTGACCTTTTTATGTGCAAGAATATGCCCACCAGGAGATGAGTGAGTCTTACCTTCTCTTCTGAGGCCTGCTTCTGGTGATGAACTCATTTGGTCCCCTTTTCCCATCCACCTGGAACTCCCTAAGAGGTCTTGCTGGCTGTAGGAGTAAGAGAGGGAGCGATTTATGCAGTTTCCATTATAATTATAGCCCTAGTTTTACTAGGTTCCTACTGAATCTTAAATATTTTCTCCTAAGCCTGACATTAGTGAACACCATTTAAGAAGGCATATAAAATATAATTTTATTATTAATATTCTTTTAAAAAACTAATATACAGATCTGTGTTTAAAGAAAAATTCAGTGAATAAACTATTGCTGTTTCAGTGTCTCTCAGTAACACCACCAGTTGAAGTAATTCTGTGAGAGACTGCATGTACACAGTACCAAAAAGATCATGGTCACACAGAATTGGGGTTAGGGAATGCCACCACTATGCAACAATGTATAAACAAAACTCCAGCTCCCACTCATGTTCCTAGTATTAGTTCTGAACATCTTGTCCCAAACCATGCCTCATATTTTACTCAGTGCAGTTGTCAGGCTTCTTAGTAGACTACTTTTTCACCAGTGTTGGCCATCTCTTGCAATTTAGACCTGACGATACATATCAATCACCTTTTTATTTTGTAGTGCTGCATTCAGATCTGTTTTCCAGTTCATAGGTTCTCTCTTCAGCTGTGTCTATTCTGGTGTTTAATTTGTTCATGAAGGCTTTAAAAAAAAAGTCTTTATTTTCTCTATTCTTTTCTAGAAGTAGTATTTGGTTCTTTTCTTTCTTTATATCATATTTTTATTACATTTTCTGCTATCTCATTTAATTTTAGTCAGATTTAACATATTTATTGTATAGACACTTCCAGACTTTCATATTATCATCAATTATTAGAGTTATTAAATATTGTGTGTGTCTGTGTGTGTGTGTGTGTGTGTGTGTGTGTTGACTCATTGACTCATTGACTCTCTGTCATGGATTTTTAGCCTGACTTGGTTCTTCTTCCCCTCTAGGTAGCCCTATAAGTAAAGCCACCCCTTTTGGGTGGTAATAAGAAGAGGAAAAGCCAAATATTTGCAGGCAATAGACAGTTCCGTTTCTAGGTTAACTGTCCCATGAAGAGCAGCATTTTTGTAAAATTCTTTTCTTATATCACAATTCCTTCTGGTTAATTACATGAATGAATTGAACAGAAGATAGAATGCGGATGTGCAACTTCAGGATTAATTATCTACATGCTCTCGAGATCGTGGCACAAACAACAAATAAACAAAACAGTATCTAGAAGCTCTTTGGAGCAGATAGTCTCAAGTTAATTTTTTTTTTTTTTTTTTTTTTGAGGGAGGTCTCACTCTGTCACCCAGGCTAGAGTACAGTTGTGGGATCATAGCTCACTCCAGCCTTGACTTCCTGGGCTCAAGATATCCTCCTACCTCAGACTCCTGAGTAGCTGAGACCACAGGCACACACCACCACACACACTAATTTATTTTATTTTATTTTTTGTAGAGCTGGAGTCTTCCTATGTTGCCCAGGCTGATCTCAAACTCCTTGGCTCAAGCGATACTTCTGTCTTGGCCTCCCAAAGTGCTGGGATTACAGGCACGAGCCACCGCTCCCAGCCAAGTTAATTCTTTATAAATGCAAATCATCGACCTCATCATTTTCTTTGCACCCACAAACTGCTCCCCATGCATCCCCTAGGTGGCACTCACCAGGCTACCAGTGTCTCTTCCTAGCATCCTTGCCAGGAGGGAGGCCCATTAATCAGGAAGTGAGGTATGTGCATTGTAGTTTCTGTTGGCCACTCAACTATGTTTGCTCAGATTTCAAGTATGATCTTGACTCATCCCACTCTTGAAGGTGCAGAAATAAATACTTTAAGCAGTTTTTTGTTTGTTTTTGTTTTTTGTTTTTTTCTTTTTTTGTTGTTGTTGTTTGTTTGTTTGGTTTTTTGAGACGGAGTCTCCCTCTGTCTCCCAGGCTGGAGTGCAGTGGCATGATCTCAGCTCACTGCAACTTCTGTCTCCTGGGTTCAGGGTTCAAGTGATTCTCCTGCCTCAGCATCCCGAGTAGCTGGGACTACAGGCGCATGCTTTAGGCAGTTTTCTTCTCTATATCTCGTCTTTGTATCCTGAAGATAGTGTGACCTCCAGAAACTCCCCTGTTCCCAAATATAAAGAAATAAAAGCTTAAGAACAGTGAAATAATTTCTCAAGGTCACACACGTAAGTAAGTAAAGGAAATAGAATGTGCACCCTGGTCTTGCTGGTTGCAGACTCTGTGTTTACATTCTCAGCAGTGCAAGGCATAGGGGAGTAGATACATAAGCCTACTGGATGAGAAGTCTTCTCAAAAATGAATAATAAAGGCAGATTTGCTTTATGTTTTTTATTCATATCTTAAAAACTCATGTGAATTTTATATTCTACTTCATAATATTTTGTGTGACTTTTGAAATGAAACTCATATTGAGTTAAACTACCCTGTTTTTATTTTAGTCCCTTTGCCTTTGTAGCATTTCTCTCTTTTTGTTGAGAACTTGGCTTGTTGTCCATTAAGAACTCATGCTTCTTCTCCATAATATAAAATTGTGGTTGGAATATAGCCACCCTAGCAGGAACTAGATTTCCCAGACCTCTTGCATCTAGGTGGGGTAATATGACTAAGTTATACTTCATAGAATATGGGTAGAAGTAATGTATGCCATTTGCAGGCTTGGATTATAAATACCCTTTGGCCCCCCTCTTTCCCCCATCTTCATCTGAGTCCTTGATGCAGATGCCCAAGACAACCTCAAAAGTCATCAATTAAAGTGTTCTCACTTATAAGTGGGAGCTAAATGTTGAGAACACATGGACACATAGAGGGGAACAACACACACTGGGCTGTATTGGAGGATGGAGGGTGGGAGAAGGGAGAGAATCAGGAAAAATAAATAAAAGGTACTAGGCTTAATACCTCGGTGATCCTTGGTGATGAAATCATTTGTACAACATGCCCCCATGACACAAGTTTACCTATATAATAAACCTGCTCATGTACCACTGAACTCAAAAGTTACAATAAAATCATGCAGTAAGGATGGCTGAGCCTCCATCAGTTGAGTCCTTCTCATGAAACAGAATCTCCACCCTCACCATTGCTGCCAACCGGGCTTTATAAGAGCAATATGTAAATGTATATTGTGTTACAGCATTAAGATTTCACCATTCGTGTCTTAGAGCAACTGGCTTTACTTTACTGCACCAGCCCCCAGTTCCAACTTCTTGTCCTTAATTCCAGTCTCTCTTCAGTTCTGACCAGCCTTACCTCTGACTAAGCCCTTAGCTCTGCTCCAAGGGAAAAGAGTAGGGTAGCATTCCTGAATTAGATTCCTATGACTGCTGAAACAAATTACCCCAAACTGGGTGTCTTAAAACAACAGAAATGTATTCCCTCATAGTTCTGGAGGCCAGAGTTCAAGATCAGTTTCACTGGGACAAAATTAAGGTGTTAGCAGGAACACACTGTCCCTGGAGGCTCAGTGAAGAATTCCTTCCCTGCCCCTTCCAGCTTCTGGTGGCTGCATCGCTTAAATTTCTGCCTCCATCTTCACATTGTCTTCATCGCTGAGTTTATCAAATGTCCTTTTTCTCTCTCTTATAAAGACATTTATGATTGAATTTAAGAACCACCTGGATAAAACAGGATATTCTTCCCAGGTCAAGATCCTTAGTCACATATGCAAAGATCCTTTTCCCTAATAAGGGAACACTTAAGGTTGTAAGGATTAGGAACTGATGCCTGTTGGGGCCTGTTGTTCAGCCTACTACACTACCCAAAGTAGCTTGAGTTTAAGACCAGAGCCAAGGACGACGCAGAAAGAAAGAGCTCTTGAAGTCAGGAGGATGGTGAGTCAGAGGATACTAAAATCTTTCACTAACTTCTTTAGTAAAGACAAGAAAACATACATTACACACACATAGTGAGGAGAGAAGTTTGGGAGCTCCAAATAGAGACTCAAACCAAGAAGAGACCCCCACAATTACCTGGCCTGCAAACAGTAGTCCTGAAAAACACCTTGCTGAGGGAAGCTGCAGACTCACCTCTATTTCCTGTCATTTACTCAATTAACACATAGTGTTCCAAACCTACTACAAATCGAACACACTTCTCTGCACTGGGATATTTCAATGGAAAAGATGCAAGCAGAAGTCCCTGTCCTTTTGGTACTTACATTCCAGGCAGGATAGACAGTAAACGACACATTTAATTAGTAGCTAAATCATGTGTAAATAAAAACATTCCTTGTATCCAGTTTCCAAACTCCTGGCATCTCTCCTATTCCCTTGACTCCCCAAAGATTAAAAATAGAAACCAATAAATCACATCTGAGGGTTCTCTCTTCACTTGTTTTGCATTTGGCCTGTGTTTAAAGAAGCTGTTTTTTCTCCTACCAATATTTTCAATTTATTTTTATTTGGGGCAAGTTTTTTTTTTTTTTTTAGCACACAGTAGGTTATTGCATAACTTTCTATTGATTTTTAGGTTAGAGAGAACTGTCTTAGGGCAAAAATGTATTTTGCACTGGACAGCTCCAACTGCACAGCCTTATACTTCAGTATTTATATTTTTGTTCATCTTTCTTTTCATCATTACATTCTCTTGGCCCTCTCTCCCCATTTCTCCCATATAAGTTCATATGGGGCTGTACAGTCAGCAAGAGACAGACACAAGCTGTCATTGCCCTACGGACACCCTGGCTACTCCTGTCTGCCCTGCTCTCAACAAAACCTGATGAAAAGATGTCTCTGCAGTCAAGCGTTTAACCTCCTCACCTCTCCCCTTTGCCCTCTGCCTTGTCTGAACAGCAGTGGGGGAAGGTGGGAGTGAGAGAAGAGATTAAATCAGGTGGTTGAAAGCTAATACCATCTCCCAGCAACTCTCAAAGTCAACCCAGGAATTTAAACTGTAATATTATCCCCTAGGAAAAAGGAGCAAGAAAATGAGAAAGTCATTGTCTTCCTGGGTTTAGGGTTGGGGTGCTCAGGCAAGGCTGATGACAGGGGTGGGACAGCCTGGCCTTAGCTGGGGTGAATCTGGGAGAGGAAAGAAAAGTGGGGCTTCCACAGACATCCATGTGGGAGCAATCCAAATCGTGCCTGCCAAGCCTCCAGGGCTCTGGGGGACATTCAGAAACTCCAAACAAGTGCATGGAAAGATATGCTTTGTTTTCTTTTTGCCCCCGCTGAGAAATGCTGCCCATTGTGTTTCCGTGGGAGGCTTTTGTGGCTAATTTTGAAAAATGAAGTGAACAGGTAAACTGGAGCTAATGGCCTCAACCTCAGGGCAGACATCTGGGGCGATGTTGACTTTGTTGCCAGAGAACCAGCTGGCCTTTGCACTCCACTCCCCCTTCCAGGCCCGCTCCCTGCAGGCCTCCAGGGGGGCTTCAGCTTCTAATGAACCAACTGCACAGTCCCTGACGCTATAGTTGCTGCTGCCCAGACTCTTGTTGAAGCTCCATAAATGTTTGTTTTATGAATAAGCACGCACTTGGCACTCCTCGAAGATAATTCTCCTTTATCCTGAGAGGCAACAGTTTCCCAGCTGCCCTTCTCTTGCCAGGGGAAAAGAGTACCATCATATATACTCGCAGATCCAGGAAGAGACAGACTCGGCAGAACTGGAGACCAAAACATTCCTCATGAGTTTCTCCTAATGACCAAAGTGATGGGAATGAAAGTAACCTCCTATATGCTGGACACTGCTCTGATGAGGTGTCTAGCACATATCCTTACAAGAATCGTGGGACACACTATGTTTTCCATTTATAGATAAGAACAGTGGAGGCTAGTGCATGTAATAGACCTAAAACCACAAAGTCATCTAGTGCTAGATGTAAAGTTAGATATAAACATGAGTCTAATTATTCAGTGCAATGCTTAAGAGCGTTGCTTAGAAGGCTGAATTCCTGGATTCAGTTCAGATTTGCCAATAGCTTGCATTGTAACCATAAAAAAGTTAATTTACCTCTCCAGACCTCATTTTCCTTATGTACTAAACAAGAGGAGTAAAGGTTCCTGCCTCTTGGATGTTGTGATGACACATGAGATAATGGCTGTAGAAGATTTTAAAAGTATCCCACGCAAATAAGTGCTCAAAAGCTATTTGCTGTCGATATTACAATGTCAATGATCCTTCCACACAACTGCAGATTGTTCCTAGAAGGTAAAGAGTTGCCCAATTTCTAATAAATACTAGAGAATACTAAGGTATATGTGGATGTCCCAGCTGGACTGTTGGTCTGATTTAGATGATCATCTTTGGGTAGAACAAAGGGTCCTTCCCCATTCAAAAGCTGCCAGCCCTGAGTGTGAGAGGATGTGGGGTGAGAAGAACTTGCCATTTCTGGGCTGAGGACTGAGGTCTGCCTTCCCCACATTACCCTGGTTATGGTGACATTGATCTTTGGCACCAGAAGGTCCGGTAAGCATCAGCCCTACCAATGACTGGGAGTCTCAAGGACATTCTAGAGTGGAATTCCCCAGTGCCACTTCCCTATCCTTTGCCCTTGTCTGGTTCCATAGACAAAAAAGAGAAAAAGAAGGTTGGCAGGTCCTTCTTCCTGCTAAATGGTCCCATCTTTGAGCCATTTATTTCTTTATTCATTCAACAAAGTTTTCAACATTTATAATGTTCCAGCCATAGGGTTAAATGCAGCACAAATAACAAAGAGAAAAATAAAGACACGTACAATTGCACATGTATAAGTTCACTGCAGGAAGAGTGCTCAGCCCCTTTGTAGGCTTCACTGTGGATCGGAAGTGTGGATGTCTACACAAAAACACACCACAAGCAAAGAACAGGGAGCCTTCTGTTGATGTGGATGTCACTAATCATTTTATGTTACCCACATGGAAAACTCTTATGCCTGTTTTTCCTGTTCTGCTCCCTGCCCTTGGGCTTCCAAATTTTGCCATCTCAACACTTCACTGTTCTGCTTCTTTCACACAATTGTATTCCCCTGACTTCATGTCTGAGCTTACAGGGACTGTCAGGCAGGCCTCCAAGTTAGCCCTCATACTTTCACAAAGAGCAAGTCTGCATTTCCTTCATCCAGAACATCAAACAGAGTGTCTCCCCTGGGCCCCTGATATCCTTGTTACCACCTCGTTAATGACTGTATGGGGGGAAGTTTTATGAGGCATCAGGGCTGATGTAAACAGATATGGGAGGATGGATGTCTTCTTGCCTGCATCATCATGGGGTAAAAGCAGTACTGACCCTCTTGTGTATCCTCCCAAGGCATCAGCATGAACTTCCTGGGCTTTTACCCTGTGCTACCATTTGCTCATGAGTCTGGGGAGATATAAGAAGGCAGTTTGTTCAATTCCCACCTATGAGTGAGAATATGCGGTGTTTGGTTTTTTTTGTTCTTGCGATAGTTTACTGAGAATGATGATTTCCAATTTCATCCATGTCCCTACAAAGGACATGAACTCATCATTTTGAACAATGAGAACACATGGACACAGGAAGGGGAACATCACACTCTGGGGACTGTTGTGGGGTGGGGGGAGGGGAGAGGGATAGCATTGGAGATATACCTAATGCTAGATGACGAGTTAGTGGGTGCAGCGCACCAGCATGGCACATGTATACATATGTAACTAACCTGCACATTGTGCACATGTACCCTAAAACTTAAAGTATAATAATAATAAATAAATAAATAAATAAATAAATAAATAAATAAATAAAAGAAGGCAGTTTGCTGGAGGAGTTTGGTGGCTCAACCTCAAAGCACACTGGAAATTCATGTGAGGATAGAGTGTCAATCCTTCCTGCTGTCATGGTGGCTGCAGTGGAGGGTTACAGTATTACAGTGTCCAGAATAGCAAAGGCATGGCTACCTCAGTTTCCAGATAGTGTTACCTGGTAGTTGTAGACAGAGTGCCCATCACAAAGTGAATGCTTAATAAATCTTAGTTGAATGGGTGATTCAATAAATTAATAAATGAGTGAGTGATGGGAGGGGTGCGGAAGTTTCTGTTCTCCTATGATGACAAGAGTCAGTACAGTCTCGAAACAGGGGTTAGGGTGGACAAGAGCCTGACTCTGGAGGTGACCCAAGTTAAACTGAGTTTTGTTTGTTTTGCAACGGGAACAGAGCTTCAGGGCAGGTTTCTAATAATTTCACGAAAACTGAGTCATAAGCCCAGGCATCAGTACTAAGCACAAATAACTGGTGTGATAAAACAGATAATAATGGGAAAAATATATTAAGCTTCTACTATATGTCAAGAATTTTCCAAATGCTTTACATTTACTCTTCATAAGCAAACACTATCACATACATATTATTTTTATTTATGAAAAGGAAGAGAGAAGTTAAAAAAAAAAAAAACTCTTCCATTCTTCTAGTGCTGAAGTTCAAATCCAAGTAGTCTTATTTAGGAGACTGCATTCTGAAGACAACTACAGGGGCAGGGAAAAAATTCAATTGAGTGGGCAGGTGAGTGTTTAGGGCTGCCCCTAGACAAAACAGCAAGACCATGCTCAAACTCCACCCCTAGGGGGAGCTAGACCAGAGCTAAAGGGTTGACTCAGGCACTGGACAGCGGTGTGATTGCACGTAGCCATCTGCCTCCAGGGGGTGGGCATGGAACAAGCTGTGTCAGGCTGCAGCTGTGGACAATGGTGGGAAATGATGCTCCTGACTTTCACTTTCCTTTCCCTCAAGTCTCTAAATCACCCTCCTATCTACTCACGGAACATCGGATCTCAGCTCCATGCAGGTGGATCCCAGATATACATTTTCATTTTTAATTTATCCTCCATGTTTCTGTTGCACATTTCCAAGTTCTTTCTGATTATCTGCCCTATTTCCTGTCAGCTCCTCAAGCTTGACTCAAAGTTCAAATCTGGGCTCATCTTTCTACACAGTTCGAACAGTCTACTTTCCCCACTCGTTTTGACTGTCCTTGACACTACCATTCTCTCACTTTTAAGAGAACCAGAGCTCAGAGTCTCAAGATTCATCTCTTTTTCTTTGCACAATAAGAAATCATTGATGAAACCCTGTTAATTTTCCTCTTTTAACTTAAGAAATATTATTACTGAAGGTTCTGTTAGTTTTCTACCTCTGCAGCTGCTCTTTTGTCTGCATCTCCACTCCTCTGTCCATCCATGAGTTCAGTTGCTTCTTGTTTAAAATAGTGCATGGATTCTGGATTTATTCTTGCCTCCAGTTTCTTTCTCCTTGGTTCCATCTTCTACCTGGTGCCAAACCGATCTCTCTAAGTACTTTTCTGAATATGTCACTCCCCTGAGCAGCAAGCTTCAAGGGCTCTCCATTGCCTGCCAAATAGCATCCAGATTCCTTGTCATGGCTTTTCACATCCACTTAGATCTGGTCTCAACTCAGTGCACATTTATTGAGTCCTACTTAGTGCCAGACCCTGCACTAGGTGTTGTAAATGTAAAAATAAACCCTGCATACTTCCGGCCCTTGGAAAAGAAAAGGAAGATAAGCTGGTCCCACAATCTCTAGCCAGTGCTTCCCCCAAATCCTGCCCACTGCTGAAGGTGTAAAGTTGGATTTTTGCTGTTCTCCAAAACTTCCTCAGCACTTTCTTACTTTTGTGTCCAGGAACTTCCTCACTTCAATCTCTGAGTAACCCCTAACCCTCTTCTGCTGTAATAATTTTTCCTTCATGAAGAATCCATGAAGCAGACACATTTGGAAGAGGAATGCTTCTTGGCAGTCACCTTTACACATCTTTTGATGATGGATCATGATCCATGTGCATTATAGCTTTGTGTCTACCTATTATCTCTCCTACACTGACATTCTCATAACTGATATATAACAGAATGCTATTGCATACAGTATTAATTTATGCATGTTATTAAAAAGAAAAATACATGATTTTTGGTTACATTACATTCAACACAATTTAATAGTGTTCTCTCCTGAATGCTTTCTTACAGACTACCAGTTGCATATTATGCATTAAGAATAGCCAAGAAAACAGTGGAGTATGTATTTTCAAAACACACTGAAATATAGGATATTTTCTTTGCACTTATTTGTTTGTTATATCAGTTCACAGACTGGACATGGTGGCTCACTCCTGTAATCCCACTTGGGAGGCCTATGTGGATCGCTTGAGGCCAGGAGTGCACGACCAGCCTGGGCAACACAGTGAAAACCTGTCTCCACATACAAAAAATAAATAAATTAGCTGGACAGGATGTGGTGGTGTTTGCCTGTAGTCTCAGGAGGCTGAGGAGGAAGGATTGCTTGAGCCCCAAGAGTTTGAGGCTGCAGTGAGCTATAATCATGCCACTACACTCCAGGTTGGGTGACATAGTGAGATCTTGTCTCAAAACAACAACAAAAACAAACAAACAAACACAAACCCAAACATCAATTCACATCCATCGTCTGGTATTAGTGTTCTACAAAACACAGTTTTAGGAAGCACTGTCCTGGAAAGTAAGATCATTGAATAATAATGTTAATAGTAATACTTTTTTTAAAAAGGTTTTTATTTGTTTTATTTTTAATATTTGCTCCATGGTAGCCACTGTAGCAAGTGTTTTTATATCCAGGTTTTTATCTAACTTTCATGACAATCTGATGTGTGGATGCTAATTTTAACCCATTTTTCAGATTAGGAAACAGAAACTCAGAGCAGTTAAGTAACTTCCCAAAGTCATTATCATTAGGGAGGTAGTAAAATTGCAACAGGAGCACATCACAGCCTACCCCAGAGCCTGTGCTCTTTGAAGGAGAGTCTGTTTTTAAAACTTCTGTATTCCCTGTTCCTCCAAAATTCATAACAGCCCATGATTCTTGAACACACTTGTGATTTCAGTTTTGCAGTCAGATTTTGTATTTGTGCTTTGATGCTTTACAGCACAGACAGTAGAAAGAATACTGGTACCCTGCTCCTAGTCTCAGGAGACCTAAGTTTATGACCCCAAATCTGCCTTTAATTAACCATGTGTCATTAGGCAAAGAATTTCTCCCCTCTGGGGCTCAGTTTCCTCAGCTGTAAAATAAAGTGAGGTTGGACTCACTGGTATTTCAGGTCCTTGAACCTCTTTATGCCATACTCTTCTCTTTGCCAAGTTTCTGTGATTAATAGAATTAGATGAGCCCTTTGTTACCCATTGTATCTGCCACTGAGAGAGCTGGAACCATCCTTCAAAGGAATCCACGACATGGCCAATTCATTGTGTTGACTCTGAGGCCACTTCAGTGACCCACAGTCACTAGCAGCATGAAGAGCAGAAGCACTTGCCTTTTACCAAATATGTTTTTCCATTATAGTGAATTTTTCTTTAAATTATAGAACATCAAATACATTTCAAAATTTCATTTGGACAATATAAGTGAGTAAAAAAAATCAGATGGAATATATTTCCCTTGTAATATATATGTGATTAAAAAATGAAAAGAAAAATATTTGTAGCAAATATGTTTTGGATTTACAGAACTCAAAGCTCTTGTGGAATAGTTTGAGACTTCCAAAGCACCAATATGCAGCTGCTTTGGCCATCCTTCTATGAACAATCAAACCCCCAGTTGTCTTGGAAACCTGCCTGCATCCTGGGATGTGTTCTCCATTGAGCAGCTAAAATGGCTTGAAGTCTTCCAGGGAAACGTGGTTTGACTGCAGTTCACCCCTTGGGAGCCTTCATAAAAACAAGATGTCTATCTCCTGACCCCAGAGCCATAAGTGGCATGGCTTAAAGAAATAAAACAACAATAGTAGCTAATGTTAGTTTGGGGGTTTTCCTAAGGTGAAGCACAGAATTTCAGAGATGGAAAATTTAGTCTGCAAAAATGGTTCCCATTTAATTATTCCTACCCTAAGAATGGAGAACTGAGGGTTAGTTTACACAAACATAAAGATTAAACGAGGGAAATACAACCATGAAAAAGAAACATGAAGATTCCCCCATTAATTAAAATACTCTGAGACCAGAATTCACAAAACTTGGATTTTAATATGAGTTCTGCACTAGTTATGATAGTGCTAATGCTATCATTTTAATTATGGCAGCTAGCATTTATTAAGCATTTATATGCTAAATCCTTAAATGTGTCATCTTATTTATTTTTTTAACATCTGTAGCAGATACTGTTGGTGTCTGGCCCTGTCCCCCATCAGCTTACCCCAGAGGTCACCTAACAAGAATCCCCATATACGTCAAAGGAAATTGTGTCTCTCTGCCACAGAATGTCCTCTGGCCACAGGAGAACTGTGGCCCACTGCGCTGGACACCCAGAAACCTGAAGGTGTTGACACCACCAAGGGTAACCTTATAATAATTAAGGATAAAAGTTGGTGATGTTGATGAATGACATTCCAACTTCTTTGCCCCATAGCAGGCCAGTTCCAAGGTATGTTCTGCACAGGCTCTTAGGAGTCCCCAATGGAATTGAGGCCCATCTTCCTGTAGCGATAACACACTAGTTAATACCACTTTTATTGCCTCTCTTCCTTTCCCTGACTCATTTCTCCACCCCCTCACTGTGCCTGCTGGGGTCGCAACCCAGATAAACTACTTATGCTGAAATTCCTATCTCAAAGTCAGACTTTGGGGGATACTCAACCAACACATCCTTTTTACAGGAGGGTGACGTGAGGGAGGTTCAACAGCATGTTCCAAGAGCACTCAGTTATCCAGCGAAAAACCACCCATAAGACTTTCCATAGAAAGAAGCCTAGAAGGGTTTGTCATACTGATCTGGGTGCCACCAAAGCTGGAGATTCAGAGGGCAAAGAGCAGGCACTGATCTAATTTGGTTGATTATACCACCAAGTCTATGTGCCATTAAGGTATATTGGAGGATGGCCTCAGGGCCTTTGCAAATGCCTTAGCAGAGTCGGGGTTTGGTAAATGTCACATTCAAGAGCCATACTTCTGGTTTCTTTAAAAGAAAATTAAGCCTAATATTGTCATTGTTTTTAAAATAGCATTTATATTGTAAATATAAAAGCCACATAGGCAATCTTATAAAATATGAAAATATTAAGAAATATATACCCATAATCTCTCTACCCAAAGAAAAGCACTGGCAATTAATATTTTGTGAGTGAATTTCCTTATCTATAAAATGGGTGTAGTAAAAGAACAATACTTCATTGAGTTGTTATGAGAAATAGATTACTTAATGCTTATATTTGCTTAGAACAGTACTTGACACAGAATAACTGTTCAATAAAGATTAGCTATTGTTATAATTTTCAAAATATTCCATTTCCTGTGCTAATGACATGAGATCTAATTTTGTTTTCACACACAAAAAAGTAATCCATATGAGATGTACATCAGTTTACCTGTGTCTCAACTGAACCAAGTGAATAATCTCAGAATGCACTGTCTTCATATTTTACAACAAAAATATTGCAAAGCCAGGATTTAAACTCACATTTTCCTTGCTATGATTTTTTTTTCCTGAAACACACCATGTGTGTAATAACATGAAAAGGTTCTTGAACCTTTGTTATTTTGATATATTTGTTATCCTTGTTCTTTTTTCATCATTTCTCTCTAGTTAATAATTAGTAGTAAAAGCACTAAAACAAAAATGACCAATATTCTTCTCTTTCTTGACAACAAAGCACAGGAGAACAGAAGATCCTGTTCTGGGTCACTTCCTTCTGTGCCGCAGGGAACTTGCTCTAACGATTATCCATTCTCTCATTTGCTTCTTCAATTTATATTTCATGGCACCATACCCTTAGCCTCTAAATGTAGTCAAGACTAGCCTACTCTAAGGAAAAAAATTTTCTTTTAAATTTTATACCACATATATTAGTTGGAGTGTGCTACCTAATTTCCCAAACAACTCCAAAATCTTAGTAGTTTTATAAACAACAGTTTGGTTCTTGCTTACATCAGAGTACAGTGTGGGTCTATGCAGAGGGTCTCTGCTCCATAAAGTCATTCAGGGATCCTTGCTCATTTCCTCTGGAGGTTCTGCTCTTCTCTGGGCCCTTGTATTCCTCTCCATTCTGTTGCAGTATGGGGAAAGATAAAATGGGGAATCTTCAGTGGGCAGTTTTATGGCCCAGGAGAGTAAGTCATGCATATTTCTTCTGTTCACATCAATACATTGGCCAAAAATAATCACATTGCCACACCTAGATGCAAGAAGGCTAAGGTGCATAGTCAAGTAGAGTGCCAATGGGGAAAGGAAATCTCAGACACCATGAGCAATATCAGTCTCATCCATGCCATTTTGAGCAATACCTCATCTCTTTCTGTTCTTGCCCTTCTATAACTCTTGAAAAAAAAGTTACTAACCTCAGTATAATGGGTTATATTTAACACAGCACTGACCCACCTCAACTCCCATCCTCCTTAGCATTTTATAATCCTTTATTAGTGCCCCTGCCCTGATTGACTGTTCTTAAAGACACCAAAGACCAATTCCATCTATGTAAAAATCTGGTGCCTAGAACACAGTCTGTCACACAGTAGATGCTTAACTTGTATTGAACAGATGAATAAAATATGCAACTTTGAGGTCACAACTTGTTTCTCTACACCAAAGGTACTAATCTCTTTTTGTATGTTAGATCTTGTTCTAGCTACTGAGGACTTTCTCAGTATCTAGACTTAATGGCTAGGTCTTTCACAGCAGACGCTAAGACAGGGTTTAACATACAATGTTTTATTAGGGATAGACACTTTTGGAAGGGAGAAGCAAGAAGCAAAATTAGGTGGATGGAGTAGTCAGCTTGTGGTAGAGGTCTGACTTGGACGACCTAGGAGAAGCTCTGGAGTGGCCCATGGGAAGCTCTGGAATACATCCCATCAGAGTTTTCCACATTGGGATGAAGCTACCAGGCCTTTTTACCGCACCTTGATCAGCCCACTGGCTATGGGCTGCCATGGGAGATGCATACCCTTGGACAAAGCACATTCCTGCAGCTGAGGCAGATTCTGCAGGAGCTGAGAGTTGGGACAAGTTCTTCCATGAATGAGGATCTGAGTGGCACAGCTCTATGTCTACAAAATGGGGCCACAAGAATACATGTAATGTGGTCTTTGCTTCAAGGTTTAGTTAGAGATAAGATAGTAACTAATCAAAATAATACAGTAAATATGGCAATAAAGACACGCAGAGGGAATTTTGTGTGTTCTGAAGGGACATTTTTGGCATGTCTGCATAAACAATGGCATGGGGGTCATTTCTTCTCTTATTTCTTTCTTTTTTTTTTTTTTTTTTTTTTGAGACAGAGTCTCACTCTGTCTGTCGCCCCAGGCTGGAGTACAGTGGCGCGATTTCCACTCACTGCAACCTCTGCCTCCCGGGTTCAAGCAATTTTCCTGCCTCAGCCTCCTGAGTAGCTGGGATTACAGACGTGTGCCACCATGCCTGGCTAATTTGTGTATTTTTAGTAGAGACAGGGTTTCACCATGTTGGACAGGCTGGTCTCTTGACCTCGTGATCCTCCCGCCTTGTCCTCCCAAAGTGCTGGGATTACATGCGTAAGCCACGGTGCCCAGCCTCTTCTGTGATTTCTTTGGCCACTCCTTCTTTTTTGCCATACCAGTTCCTTTATTTTCCCTCTTGCTTCCTAAATATTAGACCTACCTAATCTTTTTACCCTAGGTCCCTTTATACATGAGTTATACTCTTTTTATTAATGTCTTCATTAACCTCCATTTTTAGCAACTATTATCTTAACATCAACGTTTCTCAAATAAAATCATGTGAGAAAATTAAGCCCTAAAAAGTGATTTGAGTTACCCTTTCCTCAGTCTTCACAGAGATGGTAGGGAGCTAATCTTCTTTTCCATTCATGGAAGCAAGTTAATTCATTACGTACAATGGATGCCTTAAGACATTAGTGTGTTTACTTTTTTTTTTTTTGAAACCTGATGGAGAAGGGCCACTGTAGACTGAAGACTAAATTGATATCTCCAATCTCAGCCTCCTTGTCCAATTTCAATGCTGTCTAGTCAACTTACAGCTTCTCCTGTTAAATTTATAATATCACGGATCCTACCTCCTACCTCCTTGCTGTTTCTCACACTGGCTCCTAATTTTTGTCTCTCTGTTTGGTTCAGCGGCATCAACATCCACCCAGACACCAAAGTCCTCAATCTCCCTTAATAGGCAACATACCCAACAGGCTATCAAGTCCTCTAAAAATGTTCTTCCATGGTCCTCTTTGATTCCCAAATGTGTGCTTTATATCTATCAAATTATTGCTTCTTCCTACCCAAACTCTTGTAAAAACTTTCTCTCTCTCTCTCTCTCTCTGTCACACACACACACACACACCTCTTTCTGCTTCCATAATCTCCCAAGTCCAATTTCTCCTGGCTATAGCCACTAGTATTAAGTTACTAAATGGAATCACATATTATTCCCCTGTTTGAAAAGCTTCTGAGCTCCTTGATTCCTTCACACATAGTCTCTGCATTGAAAGCCAGATGCAAGTTATGGCTTTCCACTTTGTCGGCATGTCAATACTGTATAAAACTCCCAGATTAGGAGGACTATTTGATAATATCTGAACAATCAGCTATGCTTAGTTACTTGTAGCTCCTATTCACATGATCAATGGCTCTAACCTGGGATTATTCATGTTCCGCAAATATCTTTGCACCAACAGACTTAGTAGGTGACTAATAGGTGTACAATAAATATTAATTATGAATAAGTGAGTGAATGAATGAACAAGTGAATAACATTGTTCCATCTATTCGAAGACTTCCACTACAATATTTTCACTTTTTTTGCCTAATGCCCCACAATACCATGATTTATAATCTATGATCTAGTCAAATACAACAGCTTGTAATTGACTGACTGTTTTATGAAGTATTGTTCTGAGAATTTCTCATTGCTATGCCCTCCCTGTCTAAGTCTTGGTTTCATACTTTTACTTGTTAAAATCCCATCCATGCTATCATATCATATTCTTCATGGCATTTTCTCTGATTCGTCGCCAGATGTTAATTCTCCATTCCTAGAAACTCTGCAGTACATAAATGTATGCCCTTATCATATTCTTTCTTGTAATATGATTGCCTCCACACACATAATGAGGCCTCCTCTGTGTACCTACCATGAGAATTCCAGTGTGAAATTTCAGTTGAGGTTGTCCAAGATTCTATTTAAGCAGAAACCCTATAAGCCTTGTGGAAATGATGATGATGGTGATGATGATGGTGATGGTGACGATGCTGGTGATGGTGATGATGATGGAGACAGAGAGAGAGGGAGCGAGAGAGAAAGGAAAAGGATATTTGTTTCCCTATTTTATTCCTGAAACCAGCATTACCTGTGCCTTACCTGTAGTTTGGTTTTAGCTATTCTCTTAATGTGTTCTATAATCCTACATTTAAAAAATAAATCTCACCTTTTGCCTGAGCTACTGTGAGTTGGGTTTATGTCATGGGAACTAAAAAATTTTTCTGCCTAGTACACAGAGAGAGACAATATGAGGTGAGATTCAGTATGTATCTCCTCACACTGACTTCTGAATCAACCTTTCCTTCCTTCCTTCCTTCCTTCTTTCCTTCCTTCCTTCCTTCCTTCCTTCCTTCCTTATCTTCTTTTCTTCTCTTCCTCTTTCTCTTCCCTGTTTAAATATTTCTTGGCCTGGCATGATGGTGTACACCTGTAATCCCAGCTCTTTGGGAGGCTGAGGCAAAAGAATTGTTTGAGCCCAAGAGATCTAGACTAGCCTGGGCAACATCGAGAAACCTCATCTCTACAAAAAATACAAAAATTAGCCAGGCATGGTGGTGGGTGCCTGTAGTCCCACCTACTCAGGAGGGTGATGAGGGTGAGGTGGGAGGATTGCTTGAGTCTGGGACAGCCTGGGTGACAAAAAAAAAAAAAAAAAAAAAAAACCACTAACAGATAAACACACACATGCAAGCACACATAAATAAAATCATTTCTTGATACTCTCCTCTCCGATACTCTGTGAAGATAGAGACTCTGAGAAAACACTCCAGTAAAAGGTCCTAGAATGTATGCTATGACTAAGTTCCTGTAAGATGATGGTGAGAAACTAAACAATGCATATCTTAGTACAAAGGACACAGGCTTTGGCCAATACAGGCTTGGGTTAGAGTTATAATTCTGTTACTTGCTGTCTGTGTGATCCCAGAAAATTTATCAACACCTTTATGTTACAGTTTACTTTTTCAAAAAGTTCCTGTGATTGTGACTATTTCACCCACAACCCTTCTAGGCCAGGGCCAGGACTAGGGTGAGGCAAGAGGGACCCCTAGGGTGCCACGTTTAAGGAAGCCCTTACTCTTTACAACTGACAGTGAAGGCCTCCTTAAAAGTTATCCTTAGGGGATTCGCAGCTTCACTTTAGTTCAGGCCTTGAGAATTGTGGTGAAGATTGAATGACTTATTACATACAAAGGGGTCCCAATAGCAAATGGTACATAGTAAGTGTTTAATAAACCCTAGGGATTGTTGTTTTATTATAATTACTCTGACTACTTTTCTTTTTTAGTATTACCTGCCCCAATCACTGTTATTACTATTTTAACTACCACCACCACGAATGTCGGTAATGCATTGGTTCTCACTTGGGTTATAATAAAATTATTTTAACTTTTTTTGCAGAGAGGCTTTCCTGTGCCTCATACTTTTTGAGCAAAATGCCAGCCAAACTTACAGCCTGGAATGTGGTAGCTCTGCAGGGAAAAGCACAGCTACTGCAAAACCAAGGAAAGTTTTATCGGCATAACAACGGCACAAAGCAGAGACTTAACCCAGCTTAAAGTCTGGGGGAGGATGTGTCCTAGAAATACAGAAAATTGCAAACTAATACATCTCCAGAAGGCAGGTGACATGACAGCTAAGAGCTCAGGCTTTGCACACCTAGATTCAAGAAATGGCTTTACTACTTCCTGACTGTGTGACATTGGGCAAGTCATTTCTTCTTTCTCTCAGCACCTATTTTCTCCTCTGTTATAATACGCACCAGCTCAGTTGGATTTGTAACAATAAAATGGGATGATGCCTATAAAGATCTCAGCACAGGAATGGCACATACAAAGTGCCTCACTTACAGGAGCCATTTCGCCTTCTCTGTTGTCTGTTAGTGTTGTCGTTGTTGTGCTACTACTACGCTGCTGTCCCTCATCCCTTTATTCTTAAACCCAGTCTAAAATCACATTCTCTAGGCTACTGTGGTCTGGGAAACCACGACACCCAATCCTTCTGTCTTTGATGAAACACTGGTACAAGGAAGCAGGACCAGGGAGTTTGGCCTCACCAGCATCTTCCACCAAGCCTCACACATGGTAGCACCCATAAATGTAATTTAGATTTAAAAATCCAGATCCCTCAACCAAGAGAGAGAAACACAATATCCCTAATTTTTTTTCTAAGTCTGGCCAGACAGCCTTCTCTTTACTTTTTGTGGGTCTCCTCTGTTTGGTTAAATAACTGACACCTCGGTGACAGCATTCTACAGCTGCCCTTCAGCTCCTGGATTGGGGATGCTGGTGCCCTCCATAATCTACCCCTCTGATGAAGAACATGTATCTCTGCTGAACTCCTGGGTGGAAAAGCTTTGACTCTGAGCCATAATTAAGATTTCATATACTCTCAGACTGAAATTGAGTGGAAGGCGGGAATGTTGCATTGGATGCTGCATAGGACTGGATGGGATTCCGGAGTAGACTGTCCCTGTAAAACAAGCTATATGGTTTTCCTGGCCACTATCAAGTACCCTTTGCGTGGCCACCTTGGGGCATGACTATGACAATGTTTTATAACAGCCTGTATTTGGGCTCCTTTCTTGAAGTATATCCCAGAAGCTGAAGGCTGTGTCATCAATAGAAGTAGTCTTTGACATGTGCCTAATGGAAGGGGAGAAAAGTGGCCTTGGGTCCACTGCCTCTGAGCTTTCATTCTGGAATACAATCTTGCTCCCTGGGAGCAACAAAAAAAGAGGTTGGTCTAGACCAAGGCGATGCAACACCAGGCCTCTTGGCTGAAATTCCATGTACATCAGGGTGTTCCTTCCCTCCCACATTGCTTAAGGGAACCCACACAGAGAAACATCTGGCCAGATGCAATCTACAAAACACGCTGTGAAACATATTAGCTCCCTCAGGCCAATGGGGGCCCACCTAGTAAACGAGCAGGAAAGGACCCCTCAGTGAATTCTGGAAGCTGAGATCCATTCCACATGGGACCCATCTTTCTGTAAAGAGTGAAGTTCAAGCCAATAATTTGTGCTGAGGTCTGACAGCATCTGGGAAGCTGTCTTAGGAGTCAGGACCATTAACATAAGGGATCAGTCAGGACCTGGAGCCATTGTCGTGCAGTTTGTCACAACAGAGAGGAGGAAGGAGAGGGAAGAAGCAGGCTTGTGTTGTCAACAGCAAAGTATTCACAAGGAACTGGCCTTAACTCAGAAAGTGCTGCATCTTCAATTACTGTGCTAAGTGCTTTGGAGGCAACATTTCATTTTATTTTCACAATCACCACAAGGTCTGTATATCCCATTTTGTGAGTCAGGTATACGAGGAAAAAGAAGATACAAAACTTACTCAAAGGCACTTGACTAGTGAGTATGGCGAGGAGGGAAACTCATGTCTGCCTGCCTTGAGCCTTTGTAGCCAGACTGTGAGTAAAGCATCAATTATCTGCCTCTAGACACTTTCTCTAGATAACACCTAAGCTTGCAGTCCTCAAGATTAGGGGAGGACCCTGAGTTTATGCCACAAGCTCGCTCTTCTCCAAAGCACCATTTCCCAGACCACCGAGAATCTGGATTTATGTTTTCTAGGGTGACCGCAATGATAGATAAGTGCTGCTGACTTCTCAGGTTAAAGGTGGACATCTGTGTGCAGCAAGCCCCCCGCTTTTTTTTTTTTTACTGTCCATTGCTCAGGTGTGAAGACAAAAAGGGAGAGGAAAAGGGAGGAGTCACACATAATTAATTGGACAATTTAATAGGTTCCGAACTTCTGATTCCAGTTAACCCCTGAACTTAGTTCTGGCCTGACCTGCTGGCTCTCAGCATGATGGACTCAAGCCTTAAAACTGGTTTTGGGTGTGATTTTCAGCGGCTTCCATAGGGGCCTAATGAAGAAAGGAGTGGTCATGATTGAATTCATGACCAGAACTGTTGTGCAGAAGAACAGGCCAGTGATTACAGGGAGAGACCTCAGACTCAGGGAAGCTGGTACAGGGCCAGTACCTTGATTGCTTTCAAGCACAGAACATTGGAGGACAAACAAATAAATGACTCAGACCTGTGAGCCTGAGATCTGAATCAGCAGCACCACAAATAACCACCTGTCCATTTGCACTTCTCTCTCCCACTTAACTGCTGCATTGTCAACATCACACTTTCCATATCTCTTATTACTTCTCATTTACTGAGGCTGATGGGAAGTGAATACTCCTTGGAATAACTCCAATGGACTTTCTCTCCCTGAGATTCTCCAAGCAAACCAGGCCACAAGATTTGGCATTAAGATGGCCTGGTTCAAATCCTTGCTCCACCTCTTCTCATCTGTGTGACCCTGAAAATAATATTTAAACCCTTTAAGCTTTAAACCTGGGTTTCCTTGTCTATGCAATGCGGATAATAGTGGTACCTATCTCATAGGGGCATTTGGGAGGACAAAAATTAAAATAATGCACAAAAAGACCTAGCACATGGCTGGTGCATAACTATTGTTCAATACAGAGTTTTTTGTGATTTATTATTACTACTATTATTAAGAGTATAATTACAAATGCATTAGTTTTCTAGGGCTACTGTTTAAAAAGTACAAAAGAATTGGTGGCTAAACAACAGAAACTGACTGTCTCACAGTTCTAGAAGCTGGGAGTCCAAGATCAAGGTATCAATAGGGTTGGTTCCTTTTGAAGACTGTGAGGAAGATTCTTCTTCATGCTTCTTCCTTCCTTCTGGTTTGTTGGGAATCTTGGTGTTTTGTGGCTTGCAGATGCATCACTCTGATCTCTGCCTTCATTTTCACATGGCGTTCTCCCTGTGTATTTGTCTTTCTCAAAATTTCTCTTTTTTTAATAAGGACATCAGTCATATTGCATTAGGGGCCAATTCATCTCTAGTATGTCCTCACCTTAACTAGTTATATCTGCCATGACTCTATTTCCAAATAAGGGCACATTCTGAGGCATAGAGTTTAAAACTCCAGTGTATAAACTTTGAGAGGAGAAAACTCAACCCATAACAACAAAAGTAATACTGACTCTACTTAAAGTGACATCAGAGCTGTGTGATTATAAGCATGTATTTTTCAACTTCCTTCAGATTGCCTGTTCATATTTCAGGATGCCATGTTGTCATATTAGGACTTAAGCAAGAACTAGTGGAGATGGCACAGAATTCAGAATCTATAGTTGGAACAACATACAGCTAGAACTTGTGGACTGGTGAAATGTCCATCTACCCAATAGAAAGTGCTCAAATTGTTGCAAAATCAAGTTTGATTCAGATTAACGTAGATCCATTCTAGGTAGACAGATGATACACAGTTTATCTCCACCAAGTAAATAGCAGTGGGTCTATAGCAGATGCTCTGGCTCCAGGTGAAAAGAATGGAGAGCTCTCCATCTACCAGGCAGAACGAGAATGCCAGAAGGAGAAAAGCACCCACTTCACAGCTTACAGCTTGTACAATATATAAAACATGTTGCCATTGTATAATGGATGAGAACTTGGATTAAAGAATGCTCCAATGTGTGAAAACTAAATATTTCATTTCAGAAATATTATTTCTTGCTTTTATTTCTTCTCCATCTTGAGATTTCACACTTAGGCACACATATAGGCAGATGTGTATATCTCTCAAAGCATTTTCTAGAATTTTTTTTTTTTTTAGTTTAACTTACTCTTCACACTAACTCTTTTATTTTGTTCTATTATTATTAACATTTGATAGATTTAGAAATTGAGATACAGAGATGTTAAGAAATCATCCCTTCACATTACCCAGTTATTTAAAAGAAGAGGAAAAGAAGAGGGAGAACGTAAAACAGAAGGAAAAATAAACAAAGAGAACAAGTAGGGGAAGGAAGAATACTAGGAAAAATTCATGTTTGACTGTAGGTATGATCTACAAACTCTTGGTCATTTAGTAATGAACACTAAAATTATCTAAACCAGGGACCAGTAAACGATGGTTCATGGGCCAAATTTGGCTCACTGCCTGCTTTTTTGCAAATAAAGGCACATTCATTTTTGTGTTGTCAATGACTGCTTTAGAGGTATGACTGCAAAGTTAAGCAATTATAGCAGAGACTGTATGGCCAGAGAGCCAAAAATATTTATTAATACTATCTGGCCCTTTACAGAAAATGTTTGCTGACCTTATTCTAAATCAGCTCATGATGTTGGTGTTTCAGACTTATTCTATGCCGGTACACTCTGAGCTCTACCTGAGCAGTAGAGTTAGATTTGCCCTGAACTGTCCGTATTTTTCTCACCATGGTCTTTGAAATCAAAATAACCCATTGGTAAAATGGTGACATGTATAACTAGCAGGGGAAAAAAACAAAAACAAAAAATCAAAAAAAAAAAAACAACAGTAGGCTGTGTGTGGGTGTGGTGGCTCATGCCTGTAATCCCAGCACTTTGGGAGGCCAAGGCGGGCGGATCACCTAAGGTCAGGAGTTGGAGACCAGCCTGACCAACATGGCAAAAGCCCGTCTCTGCTATAAATACAAAAAATTAGCCAGGCATGGTGGCACATGCCTGTAATCCCAGCTACTAAGGAGGCTGAGGCAGGAGAATCGCTTGAACCCAGGAGGCGGAGGTTGCAGTGAGCCGAGATCACACCACTGCACTCCAGCCTGGGCGACAGGGCGAGACTCCATCTCCAAAAAAAAAAAAAAAAAAAAAGAAAAGCGAAACAAACCACTAATCTGTACATAGACATCCCTCTCCCAGCCTGTTCCCTTTCATCCAGTGAGCTAACCATTAGGGATCTAGCCATGCTGCAGTAAAAATCCCCATACCCGTGACTGACACCTTTGGCACAGCTTCCATGATCGATAACTTTCATCTAAATTTCCGTCTCTATAGGTTGCACAAATTTTCAGACATATGCAAATATGACTGTGACTTAATCACTAGGGCTGACTGGTGATTAATTTTTTGATTATGATCAATCACTACTCACAAATCACAAGAAAACACTCAAGGCAATCGGCAGCATGCTCATAATGTGAGTTTTCCTCAAACCTTGTAATGACTTCCCAAACTAGTCAGAATAAGCTCTTTGTTGTAATCTTCATTTTGGAAAGGATCTTATCTGAAAAAGGGAGTTCATAGGAGAAAAAAGTCAATAAAACTATGAAAAATGCTTAATGTTACTCATAAATAAAGAAATGCAGTATAAAGGGAGTAATGGTTTTAGCCCATCAAAGTGACATTTAAATGTTAATAATCCTTGAGATGGAAGCAGATTTCAAGATTAGACCTACTAATAAACACTGATGTACTATTTTTGAAGATAATTTATCAAATTTGCCCAAATTTAAAATGTACTTACTCTTAGACCCAACAATATAACTTCTAAGAATTTCTCCTAGAGAATTTTTTATAAAGTTTTTTGTATATGTGGTAGCTATATATGTATATGTGTATGTGCATGCACATTTAGATATATACATATATCATAATACAAGGCTTTTTATTTTAATTTTGTTTATGACGCTAAAGAAACTTGGAAACAGAGATCAATGTGAGATTGTTTAATGAAGTGTGGTATGTACATAAGATAAAGGACCAGATGGCAGTTTAAAGAATGTGTCAGACATCTATTCAATGACATGAAAAGTTATTCAAGGTCTGCAAAGTGAAAGGAGCAGATTGCAGAGTAATATGTAGAGTCCAAAGACTTTATTATGCATCAGAATCACCTGAATATTTTGTTAAAACACAGATTGCTGTGCCCTCCTTCAGAAATTTTGATTTAAGTCATGGCCAAGACCCAAAACTTTGTATTTCCAACAAGTTTCAGGTAGTGCTGATGCTGCTGATTCTAGTACCACACTTTGAGAACCACTGAGGCAAGATATGGTATCACTATATGCCTGCTTATATATATACAGGCATAGTCTTAGAGAAATTCATATTGCTGGTTTTGCCACATAGAACTGGGGCATGGAAGACAGACAGTTTAAATTATACTTCATAGTATGTATACTATTTGAATTTGTACAACTAACATTTATGACTATAGCCATATTAATAATAACACTTTGGTTTTTAAATATTTGCTGTCACTTGATTCATTACCACTTGCATTTTATGTTAAATACTTATTTGTTATGATCAATTTATAAGTTCCATTTTTTCCTCCTTGTCTGTAAAGAGAGAACACATTGTTGATATGGACTGTATTTGCTTTCTACTGCTCGGTATCAAATTACCACAAACTTAGCAGTTTAACATTAGGAACAAAGATTTATTATCTCATACAGTTTCAAAGTTTTAGGAGTCTAGGAGCAACTTTGCTGGGTGGTTCTGGCTCTTATAAGCTCTCAGTTAAAATGTCAATTGAACCTACCATCTTCTCATGCCTTGAAGTGGGGCTGGGGGAGAGAATCCTTTTCCAAGTTTAATTATGTGGCTGTTGTGAGGAGACTTCTGTTCCTCACCGAGTAAGTCAAGTAATTTTTAATTACTTTCTGGGCTCCCAGTAGATAGAAATTGGTAATATGATCGCTGATCCCTAAAATAAAAGTGTTTATTGTTCATACAACAGGAATATTTCTCCAATGTAAATTAATAAATTATTATCTTAGTATCTTAAGAAGAAAAGGAAGGAAAAGAGGCTAGAAAAGAGGAAGAGGAAGATGGGAGGAAAGAAAGGGAAGGGAGGGAGGAAGGAAGAAGAAATAAAGAGTAGAAATGAAAAATAAGGGAGAGGAAGGCAGGGCCTTCATATTTGAGGTTAGAACTCCTCCCACATTTCATGTAGTAGGATAGTCAGGTGGTATATTTATTAACAATTAACTCAGGATTGGAATTCACTTATTTGCTTTTTTTTTCTTTTTTCCAACATCATCATGCAGCTAGTAAGTGCTAGGCCTGGTCTTGGGAGATCAGCATGCACAGATGCAAAAGACAAGGGCTCTGCCTTCAGAAACTCACATGAAAGAGTAACCTACAGAGAGAAAAGCAAACAAAAATAGCTGGTATTAATTTAACACTGGTATGCTCTGCTACATATTCTTCTTGCATGATTTCATTTAATTCTCACAATAACTGTGGATAGCAGCCACTTAATCATCTCCATTTTTTAGAGGAGGAAATTGAGGCATAGCTAGGTTAAGACTATGTGACCTTAGAGCCCGACCTCTTCATCATGACATTAGCCTAAACATCAGATACTTACCCTATATCTTTGAGATAAACTCTTAAATAGAGATGGGGGAGAAAAAGATATGGGAACACAGAGGAGACTGACTCCACCTAAGGACATCAAAGAAGGACTGTTGACATTGTGACTGGGTCTTTAAGGATGACTTGAGGCTTACCATAAAGAAAAGAAGGTAATCGATATCTTGGCCGAAAGAAAAAAATTACAGAGGAAACCACAGATGGGGACATCTATGCAGCTGTTCTGACTGGATTGGTAAATTCTGGTTTGGTTCTGAATTCTGATTGGTATATACCATACACAGAAAAGTAAATTGGAGTGGGCTAGAGGGCAAGTTTGGGGCAAGTTATGAAGGGCTTTGTGCACCAAGCAAAAGATTTAAACTCGGTAAATTGGAAATCAGTAAGTTCTTTACGCAGAATGAGTCATCGTGACTCATATCTTAAAAGGGTCTCACTGGACCAAGTTGGAGAATAATCACAGGAGGAGAAATTGTTGATAGGGAGACAAGCTGGGAGCAATGTTTGTCATGAAGTCAGAGGTGGTGAAGGCAAAGTCTGGACAGTCATTTTTGTGGATGGTAAGAAGAATAGGCTGGATCAGAGAGTATTTGAATGGTGGGTGTGAGCTGGAGAGAAGAGAGACAAGAAAGGAAGAAGGCATCACAGATGCCCCCAATATACTTTGGCCAATTGGAGGTGGGTTTGTTGTTGTTGTTGTTGCTTAAATTACTCCTTATCAGATATATAGGTTGCAAATATTTTCTCCCATTCTGTAGGTTACCTTTTCACTCTATTAGTTGTTTCTTTTGTTGTACAGAGCTTTTTAGATTAAGGTGATCCCACTTGTTTGTTTTGCCTTTGTTGCCTGTGGTTTTGGTATAATAACCTTAAAAGCATTGCCAAGATCAATGTCATGAAGCTTTTTCCGTATGTCTTCTTCTAGAACGTTTACAATTTCCCCGAAAAAGACAGACAAGTGGGCAACAAGCATATGAAAAGATGTTCAACTACACAGGAAAATGCAAATCAAAACCACAATGAGCTATTACATCACACCTGTTAGGATGACTATTATCAAGAAAACCAAAGATAATAAGTATTGGTAAGGACGTAGGGAAATTGGAATCCTTGTGCACTGTTGATGGGAATACAAAATTGTCCAATGGCTATGGAACAGTTGAAGTTTCCACAAAAAAATAAAAATAGAACAATTACATAATCCAACAATTCCACTTCTGAGTATGTATCCCAAAGTGTTGAAATCATGATCTCAATAAGATCATTCCAGCATGATTCACAGTAGCCAACATAAGGAAACAACCTAAATGTCCATCTATAGGTGAATGGATTTTTTTTAATGTGGTAGGTACATACAATGGAATATTATTTGATTTTTTTTCAGACAAATTTTAGCTCTCGTCGCCCAGGCTGGAGTGCAGTGGCACGATCTCGGCTCACCACAACCTCTGCCTCCTGAGTTCAAGCGATTCTCCTGCCTCAGCCTCCTGAGCAACTGTGATTATAGGTGCCCGCCACCAGTGGGCTAATTTTTGCATTTTTGGTAGAGACGGGGTTTCACCATGTTGGCCGGGCTGGTCTAGAACTCCTGACCTCAGGTGATTTGCCCGCCTCAGCTTCCCAAAGTGCTGGGATTACAGGCACGAGCCACCACGCTCGGCCTATTTGATATTTAAAAAGAAGAAATGGAAAAACATGAATGAACCTCAAGACCATTATGATAAGTGAAATAAGCCAGTCACCAAATGAAAAATACTACATAATTCCACTTAATATGAAGTCTCTAAGATAGTCTAACCCGTAGAATCAGACTGTAGAATTACCAAGGGCTTTAGGAACGAAAATATGGAGTTGTTTATCAACAGGAATAAAATTTCACTTATGCAAGATGAATAATTTCCAGAGGTCTACTGTATAGCATTGTGCTTATAGATAACAATACTGTATTGCACACTTAAAAATCTACTAAAAGAGCAGACCTTATGTTAAATGTCCTTATCAAAATAAAATAAAATAAAAGCGGTGATAAGTTCTTGAGTGCTTACCATACAGAAGACACTGTGCTAAGTACTTTACAAGTACTACCTTATCTTTTATCCTAAGAAAAAGTTACCAATTTTATCAGAATTTTGCAGAATGAGAAAATTGAGGCATAGAAAGGTTTATTAACTTGCTTGTACACACACCACTCACAAATAACAGAGCCAAGATTTCATTCCAGGCCTTTAAATTCAGAACTTATGTCTTAACCACTGTTTTACATGGGTGCGTTATTTCATCTTTGTTTTAATAAAGATGTCTTTGGAAGAAAGGGATGTGAGTAGGTAACATTGTTGAGATGGCAGACAGTGTTAAACTTCATCCAAAGTGCAAAGGAGGCATCAGTGTCTACTACATATTTTCAGAATAAAAGATGATGGTGTTCAGAGGTGACAGATTCAGCATGGCCTGTTCTTAGTTAGAGAGTTTCTTTTCCCTCTCCTCCCACACTAATTGTGAAGATGCATTTGCTCTGAATCATTAACCCTCTCTGGCTGGGTTGCCCTGGTGACCACTGGCATTTGCAAGGCAGCTGGCTGAGGTCATGGGTCAGGTCCTAACTATAGAAAACACACCCCAGGCCTTTGCCTCCTCAATAATCAAGCTGGTCTTACCAACTGGGAGGGCTAATTGGCCCCATCCTTTGAAATGCGGGCCCTGCATCCCTCAGAGTTAATAAAATACACAGGCCAGTGGTTCCTAAGCCTGGCTCACATCAAAATGACCAGGGAGGAGTTGGGGACATACGAATCCCTGACATCCTCTTGAATCAGGATCTCTTTAAGGAGATTCCGGGAACCTGTATTTTTTAATCTTAAGTTTCACAGGTTATTTGTTATGCAAAGCTAGATTTGGGATCCACTAAAGATAGCCTCCTCCCATCTTCAGTGTCTCAGAGAATAATTAAATGGAATGGGCACTTCAGGTGCTGAGCTGGAAAAAAACATGGAAGGAGAGTCAGTGCACATCGTATCTGAAGTTTATTTCTCAGGAGTGCTTGTGACTGGAAAGAGAGATAACAATAATGGGGGGCAGAGGTATAGTCATGAAGAGGTGACTTAACATTCCTGCCTTGGTAGGAAGGAAGGAGCCACTGCTTCTGGATTCCTCCAGGGCCTACATGCTAAGTGCTGGGAGTACAGAAGAGACTGCCACTGGAGATGCAATGTCAAAGCTTGCATTCCTGAAGAAGGATCCCGTCTGATGGAGGCAGTGGTAACTGGAGCTTCCTGTAACTCCCAGGAGCTCCTGGTATAGCAAAGGAAGGAAGGCAGCTGCTCTTCCAAGGGCTTGACTCTTCTGGTGTAAATGACATCCGTGACTCTTGGTTTCCCTGTTTCCCAGGCTGCAAGGGACCATCTATGGGGGGCAATTGGCAAAAGAGGCTGGCATCATTTTAAGGTTTTTGCCCTGAGCTACTCTGGCAGGCAGCAAAGATGAAGCCCAGACCACATCTTCATCGGCTTGTGGATCTTAGTTTCCCTTAACATGTATGGGTATCCAAAATTATGCTTCTGTCACTGTCACTTTCTAAACTTGAGGTCATATAGAGACTGGCAAGCTGGCCTCATTCAGCATCCCTGCCTATCCCTAAAGCATTAATCTTCAGTCATGGTTATCAAGAGAAAAGTTTTAGCATCCTTCAAGGAACTTCTGTGTTGCTGGTACCTTTTTTCGTAGGCATTAGACTGAGAACCAACCAAGTTCTTACTCCTAATGTATGTTCCTTCTCCTGAAGTCTGGGCAGGTTTGATGGTGGCTGTAACCAACAGGATGCAGCAGAAGTGATGTACTCTAGGTTCGAGGCCCAAGCTGCAAGAGACCAGCAGCTGTCACTTCCTATTTCTGGAAATATACACTCTTGGATACCTGAACAATCATTTAAGAAGTCCAACACCTTGACCTAGAGGTTCAAGACTGCAGTGAGCTATGATCATGCTACTTCCATCCTACCCCTCACCCAACCAAACCACTGCCTGAGTGACAGAGTGAGAACCTATCTCAAAAGAAAACAAAGTCTAATAGCTGTTGGAAGATCACTGGAGAGGCCCTGAGAATATAAAGATGTAAAGCAACCCAGTTAAGTACAGCATTCAAAGAGAACCCATCCTCCCCAAGGTGTCAGGCACATGACCAAAGCCATCTTGGAGCTTTAGACAAAGCCAGTCACCAGCTGAATAAAACCTAGAGACCCCAGCCAGTGCCATAAGGAGCAGAAGAACAGCCCAACTGAACCCTGTTTGAATTCCTAACTCACAAAATCATGAGGTACAATAGATGGTTGTTCAATAAGATGGCTAGGTTCTGGAGCACTTTATTACACAGCAACAGACAACTAGAACAGCACCTGAAAGAGTAAGTGAAGCTCTCCTGAAACGTTGGCTGGTCGTATCCCAAGTAAAATTCATCTCAGAGCTAAAGTATCAGCTGCACTTCACCAGATAACAGCACCAGTATGTCCTGGGAGCAGAGTCCATCAGTTCCCATGCTATGAGACAGATAGCCTACACACACAAAAGGCCTGACGGATCAACCTATTCCATAAAACTGCCTGCTCCAACTCATGTTCACAGTCTCCTTCCTTCCCTAGGAGTAGAGGAGACTTTGAGGAAAGCAGTCAAATACTCCACGGAAAAGAGTTATCCCTGTTCAATGGTTTTTGCTGAAATGGTGTCAAAATAAAGGAAAGTCCCTGGAAGGCCAAGAGGGGTGACTTAGAAAAGTAAAATGCAGTGACTTTTGTTAAGATGACTCAGCTGACCTGATCCTACCCCGCAAAGTAGGCTGGATTTGGGGAAAGAAATGAATCCCTGGAACTCAGAGCTGCGGGTAGAGGATTTCAAACAGAACCATTGCTAAATACAGGTTCCAGCACCAATGTCTCCCAAAGAGAAAGCAGTAGTGTTTTTTTGTTTTTTTGGTGTTTTTTTTTTCAGCTAAATCACACACACATTCCCTCTCTTTCTTCCCCTCTCTCATTGTTCATTAGCCTTCTTATTTGATGAAACCAGAAGCACCTGGATCCCCTAAAACTTCAGTCCCAGAAAGACAAAGGCAAACCCCCAGTCATTAGGTCCAGTGAAAACCAGACCTGTACATGCAAAGAGGAAGTGCCAAGGCAAGGGCCCTGCTAAGATTACGGGCTGTTAATAAGGAAAGACAGAAGCCAGAAGGTTTGATGTACAACTCCACAAGCAGAGGTTAAGGGGAGAGACGGGGCAAGCTCATTTGCAAACTTGGTCCTGTTTCATTAAGTGAGAGCAGAGACAGCCTGTCTCAGTCCAGCAGAGAAGGAACTCATTATCCATGTAGGGAGCAAGAGATAAGAATCTTTTAATAATTGCTGGGAATTTTTTTATTATGATGTGGAATGCCAATTTAGGCCTCTCCTCGCAGGCTGGATACAAACAGCCTCCTTGGGAGTTAAAGCCTCTCCCCCCTACCCAGCTGTGGTCATTAAGGACAAAGAGGAGAGAGACTGATGTTTGCTCTGAGAAAGGCCTGCTGCTCAGGGGTGCCCCGCTGGCTTCAGGAGCCAAGTCTCCACCGGACAACTCTGGCCTGGCTGTCCTGCCACCTCCAGAACTTTCCCAGAGCTGAGGCTTGTCATCCGAGACCCCGTTTCCCTACCTCCGGTTGTCCCTGCCTCTCCTCAAGATGTTCAGAGTATCTGCAAAGG
This sequence comes from Homo sapiens, assembly GCF_000001405.40. NCBI lineage: Eukaryota > Metazoa > Chordata > Mammalia > Primates > Hominidae > Homo > Homo sapiens. The sequence continues at coordinate 39,850,714 of NC_000020.11, read as the reverse complement.
GCTGAGCTGTGATTTCCTTTTGCTTTTAAAAACTTCATGTATAGGATCTAAACAGAAACTTTAGACAAGAAATACTTCCTATTCTAAAGGATTCACTGTCAAAATGAGTATAATGGAAACTAGGCAATTCTATTTAGGTTTTACCAAGACACCCTTGCCTACCAGAGATTGGGCTTGTTGTTTAAAAGGGAGCTTAGCAAAGGATTAGGTGTGTTTCCCAATCTGATGCATTTCTGCATCTCATCCCAATCTGATGAGAAACTGAAAGAGAAAGAGAATTAAAAGGGGAATGCTTTTTTTTATTAATGCAATTTGACCTCACAATTTGCAGAATGATCCAGATGGACGACTCTACCATTTGCAGGCCTCTGGTTGGAAGGCTGTGCAGGCACTGAATTAGAATCCTGTGTCCTGAGGCTGCATTTTCTCAGGCAGTGACTGTAGTTCTCCTCAAAAGCTGAGAAAAAGGGAAATCAAGGCCTAACTAGGCCTGCAAGTTGCTGATCCTCCAGTCATGGGCTGTGTTGGGGGCTCCCCTTTGATCCCACCCAGATGGGCTTTTAGCCTCAGCACTCCAAAGGATTTTCACAAGTGGGTCCTTAATGCTTTCTCCAGCTCGGTTCCTCCCTCTGCCCTGGCTCTGTACGGCCCTTCCCTTTTTTATCCCCTCCTCTCTCCCTGCATCATGCCTGGCAGGGTGGATGCTGAATGACAGTGATGGTGGGTTTTAAGTCTGAGGTGTCAGGGGCAATGAGGAGTCTTTGAGTCAGAAGGGCCTTGCTGTTTCCATCTCCACCAGCTAGGGCACCGTGCCCAGGGCCGGAGGCTCCGGGAGCTATCTGACTGTGAGCTCAGCGCCTGTTCCTTGGCTGGATTTCAGAGAGGCCTGAGGAAGTGAGGGGCGTTGCTGGCTCCCTGGTGGAATCTGTGCTGACAGCTCTCAGGCTTCGGCGGGTTCCTGGTGCACAGCAGACAGCAGCTCCAGGGCAGATGTGGCCGAGCAAGCTGCCCTGGGCCCTGCTAGCCTGCTCGCTGCTGCACTGCTAGTGTTGCCCCAAAAGCAATAACTCTATTAATAATCATCATCATCATCTAACAATCACAGCTACTGGGTATTGGGAGGCAACGGAGTGCTGCCCTGAAGAGCAGATGTCCCCAGGTTTAGTAATGTGTTGGCGACTTCCTAGCAATGTGACATTGGAGGAGTGGTTTAACATCTCTGAGCCTCGGTTTGCCATCTATAAGAATGGGTAAGTGCAGTACCTACCTGTGCTGAAATTCAAAGAGACAGAGAGAAAGCTGGCTGCAATCTAAATGCAGTAAGACACAGCAGGTGCAGGATAGGACAGATGAAGCTATGTGCTGACTATGAAGACACGTGACATGAGCCCAAGCTGCTCCCGCTCCTGTCAGTGAACCCTCCTAAGCCTTAGTTTCCTTAGCTAGTAAATGGGGATAATTATACCTCCCAAAGCTATTGAGAAAATGGAAATAATAGCTGTGAAATCTCCCATGAGGAGAATAAGAAATAAGTCCGGTTAATTTCGAAGAAAAAAAGAGAGGAAAGGGTGGAGTTGCAGGATGAAAGTCCTCCAATTTGACTTTCTAGGACCCATGTTTTTGGTCTCTGTCCAATTCCATGCCCCTAACCACAACTTCTCTCCCACACAGACCTGCTCTAACCTGGCGTGTCTCCACATGGGCATAAACCATTTGCAAAACTACCCAGCTTGTTTCTTCTCTCTGGAACGCGCATCTTTCTCCTTTCCATCAGCTGATCCCTTATATAAACCCCTACGTCACCACCTTCAAAGAGGCTTCCTTGACTGATTTTGAACGCTGCAATGAGCAGTGATTAATATTTTCACATAAAATAGCTTGTTGAGGTTTTACAAAGAGGTAGCACTGGAGGTGGCAGAGGTCTCCTGCTCATTGTGAACCTGAGCCAGAAGCCCTGATTATTGTAGGCTGGCTTCAGGGTTAACATCCAGATTGTTTTGTTGATCTGGTGTCTTTGAACTGAGGAAATTCTCCAATGGTGTGTTCTCAACTCCCATGAACACCAGAGATAAAACGTTGCAAGAGGAGGAGGCTTAGTTTAGGTACTTAGAGATTGAGGAGAAGAGAAAGAAGGCAATTTTCCTGGATCACTCAGGATGCATAACCATAGTATTCAAAATTAAATTTTGGAGACAGTGTTACTACCATCCTCATCTTGTGCACTCCAGACGTACACAAGCTCCTTAATTCCGCAGCCTCCATCCCTGTTTCTGGCTCCCCATATCTTGAGCCCTCTTTCCCGCAATCCTCAAATACCCGACTTCTGTTCTATCTTCAGGCTTCCATTTAAATGACCCTTCCTCCAAGAAGACTCCCTTGAATGCACTATAGAAAGTCAAGCAATCCTCATTATTTTCTCTCCCTACCTCCTATTAAATATTTTTGATAATACGTATTGCAATGCAAAATTATTTTATATTTCATAATTTTTACTGGGTTATATTTTTGTCTCTCCCTGTATAATAAGCATTTCATAATTTATCTTGCTTGTCACCATAGCTATAGTGTCTATAACAGGATTTGGTATCAATGAGTGTTTTTTGAATACATACGTGAGGGTCAAAAGAAGTTCTGAGTGGACTATAGAATGCTTTTCTTGAAGGGCTTCCTGAGAAAAAGAAGTCCATAAACTGCTCAAAGAACCTTGGTGACTTTATCTTTGCTCACTTTGCCTCTGCTTACTACTTTCAACCACAAATAATTGCCCCCAAATCAGGACCAGGGCAAAATTAAGCGTTGATAATGATTACTGATTAATCATGATTCCTTTTGTGCCTGAAAACTCTAAAGAAAGGACTCTGGCTTGGATGGTGAGGTTGCTAAGTATAATTTGGGATTATAGACAAAGTACTGGGCCAAGCCATGTAAGTCTTCCTCATTTTGTGCTTTAAATGGTTGACAACCCAGAGAAGCAAGTCTGCAAACCCTATCAGAGGCAGACACTTTGTAGCCTCTGCTGCAGTCGCTTCGACATAATTCCTCAAGTCATTGCAAGCCCAACCTCAGAGCTCATCATACATAGGCCAACAGGTCAACATCTCCCAGTGCGAGAGGGCACATTTCTATAGTGACTAAGAACTCATGTGTTGAAGTGGGATGGAGTGAACTTTGAATTCTGGCTCCCACACCACACTTGACTTGTGAGACACTGGGCAATTCAGTTAGCCCCTCTACGTAAGACTCAGTTTGGCATCTGCAAAACAGGAATAAAAATGCCTTCCCCATGGGACTTATGTGAAGGGCAAGTGAGTCCATATCTGCGACACACTTTACATACATGAAAGATTAAGGAAAAACTTGCAAACATTATTATCATGTGCTTTGGGATTTTCTTTCCCTACTGCAGGTGTGACTCACTGTGTCGTTATACCCTCTTCTCCTCAGATCTTTCTAGATCTACTTAGGATGAAATCAACAATACCAAATGCTTAGTGCATGGCAGCATGAAAGAGTCACTGCCCTCAAAGAATTGATGCACCAGTGAAGGAGAATGCCACACACAGAGATAATTAGAAAATAATTTGGGATATCTGAAATGAAGGTAAAAAAATGAATGGGGTACCTGGAGGAGTGAGCAATCTCACTTTCTGGGATACTGATATAAAACTTTATGGAAAGAATGACTTTTGAATTGGATGCTAGGTCATAAAAATGACAGGAGAGAGGGCATGTGTAAAGGTATGGAAGTGTACATGGGGGCAGCGTTCTCCAGGGAGCTGAAGATTCTAGTGGGACTGCAGAATGTCTCACAGTAGAGTGGTGACATGCAAGACAAGTCACACAGCTGCACTTTCTTCCAAGGCCCTTGGAAAATTAAAAAAAAAAAAAGTGGGGAGAAGTGGGAAGAGCACTTGCTCAGGTTTGGATTGGAAAGGGGGCAAGAGTGATGGCAGGTGGAACATTCAGGAGGCTGGTACCTTAACCTATTCCAGAGATAATAAGGCCACATCTTCACCAGGGCATTGGGAGCAGAGGGAGAAAGGCTGGGGGATATTCAGAAAGCTGTATGGAAGGACACGTTAACTAGTTGCATTGCAGAAATTTGAGTGATGGCTTCTTAGAGCAACAAACAAGTAAATCTAGTGAACCTCATGAGAATGGACCTGTTCTCATATTCCTGCCAGCTGTTTAACAGTCTCAGGAGGTGTTGAGGAAGTTGACATGAGCCCCTTTCTGTTGCAGCAAACCTGTGAAGATGGAGACAGCTTATGACCAAAAGTATGGGTACCAGAGAGGTCAGGGAGGCAGCCTAAAGGATGAGTCTAGAGCCTGCCTATCATCTTCTCAGAGAATATTGTCTTTAGAACACACCCGTCTCTACCTTTTCCTTTGTTTGTTAATTTGATTTGTCCGTGGCATCACCTTTGAGGTAGGGGTAGTGGGGTCTCAAAACCCAGCATTTTGAGAATTAATAAACATCAAAAATAGCCTCTCCCTGCTGCCTTCTCTCTGGAATTTCAGGCCACAAGTAAGGTCAGTCTGACCACCAAGTGAATAGGCCAGGGGCAATAAGGAGAATGGGCAGAAAGGTGCTCCATAGATAAGGAGAAGCTTTTGCATTTGGGCCCAAGACTTTCAGGATACACTGCATTTTGGAATCCACATCTCCAGTAATTAGCACCAGCACACAGGGACCAGTTCCTAAGGCTGAACTGATTCCCTGATGTCAGAGCACTGGCTCTGCAGGTGGACAGCAGCAGAGTGCTTCTTATACAAGGACTGGGAAGGCTGGGGCAGGAATCCTGCATATGTACAGGGGCAAAAGGAGAGACAGAGAAATAATAAGAGAGTTCCTATGATGGACATAGGACGACACCATCTCCTGTGACCTTAACTTGTCCCAGTGACATTCATATGAGGCAGGGTTGTTACTATCCTCATCATCTTTCCCCTGGATAACTACGGTGAGCTCCTTAGAGGCCCCATTTTTACCTACACAGTGGCCAGGGCTACTCCTACAAACTGTAAGTCAGGTCGTGGAGCTGCTCTTTTCAGACTCCTCGGATGATTTCTCATCCATCTCCTTCAGAATAACATCCAAAGTCCTTATCATGGCTGCCTAGGACACCTGCTCTCGCTCAGCAGGTACCACTCCCTCCTCTCTGCCTATGTTTCAGCCCCTCCAGTCTTCTTGCTGCTTCATCTTTGCATACTGAAAGCACATATCTGCCTCAGGACCTTTGCACATCTGTTTCCTCTGCCTGGAAGCCTCTTCCTGCACAAGTGTGCATAGCTTACTCCCACACTTACTCACATCTCTGCTCAAACATCTCCTCCTCCATAAAGGCTTTAGCTGCTTTAGCTGAAAGAGCACTCCCATTACTCTCTATTGCTTTAGCCTATTTTATTTTTTCCTCATAACCTTTATCACCTGACATATCACATCTTTTGTCTTTGCTTATTATTTTCTTCCTCAACTAGAATAAAAGTTTTATGAAAGCAGGGACTTGTTACTCTTCTCTACTGTATTCTCAGTGTTAAAAATGTGTCTGTTTCCTATGGTGTGCCCAATAAATATTTGCTGAATATAAGAGTGAGTGTAGAAATTGTTATGGGCCAGGATAAATGCCTTTCGGTAATTTAATCCTTCCATTAACTCAATGATGTAGGTTTAATTGTTACTCCTATTTTATGAATGAGGAAATGGAAGTTTTTGGAGGTCGAGTAACTTGCCCAGGGTAGCACTGCTAGTGAGCAGCAGAGTGGGGATTGGAAACCAGGTCGCCCAACTCTCTGGCCCACTAGGTGAGGTGATCTAGAAGAAAATGAAAGTAAATTAAGATCTCCTACCCCTGAAATTACCCAGGTAAAGGATAGTTTCATGCCCAGGTATTTGCAATCTGGCCTCTGCCCAGAGTGAATGATTTGGGGAAAATTAGGATAATGCTTCCAGAGAAGGCAGAGGTGTAGGGACTAAAGAGGAGAGAATGTCGCTTCCCCACTTAACCCCATGCCTGCAGCCTTCTGAGTACCCATGGCTCACTCCTGCAGGCTCAGCCAGCCTCAGCCTCAAAGCCAACACCAGCATCAGGCAAACGATTTCTTTATGACTTGGCAGTGGTATTGGGTCTGCATCATTTCTGATGCCGTTTCTTTCTTGCAGCTATGTCTGGTGTTCACATGGTGAGATTCTCACTTTGTTTCCTTGCTCAGAATCCATGGTTTTCCATAACAAGGCCAACCCAGCACCATTAAGGTATTGCCAAAACACATTTTTCATATGACCTGGCACCTTCTACCTGCTTCCAGACTTTCTTAATACCAACTTGCTACCTGCCCTTTCTCCTGTGCCACCTATTTGTACCTTCCTGGATGCCCACCCTTTGTCTTATTCTCTGTAACTCGCTTCTTTATGTCTTTCTCATTTCCCATCTCTGGATTCCAATAAACACACAGTGCATGATGCCACCCCAGTCCCAGTTTGGATATTTTAATAGAAACTCAAAAACCAATGATTAGATACTGGAAATTTGGCATCATTAACAGAAATTGCAAAGTCTAGGATATTTGGGAATACTAAGGAGGGGCTAATTTAAAATTTAAATTATTTGCACACTTGGAGCCTGCACATATATCTTGGTATTGATCATGGCTCTTTGGAAGCTATTTATGTTTTCAGCACACCTATAAGGCTGAGATTTATACTGCATTTGGTGTTTAACTAGCCTCTTAATGCATCCTGTTGAGCCATAGTATTGGTGGCCGTATTGTAAATTTCAGCCTCAGTGCTGAATTGATTTGCTTAGTGGAGTTGAATTTAGGCCATTAAAATAAATAAATAAAATGAATAAGAGGGACTTCCAGGACCTCATGTCATATTAAAATCAACCAAAGGCAGAGAGACACAACCTCCAGAGTCATGATTGGGTATGGTGTGCCAGACACAGAACATGAATGAGTCCTTTTGATATGGCCACATGCAGTAAACACTAGCAACGTGGAATTAAGGAAGGGACCAGGGTACAACGTACATACATGCTGATGTGAAATGAAGAAGACCTGAATCCAAATCCTGATTTTATCTACACTCCCACAGCTGGATTTTCTTGTTTCTGGCTCCCAAATGAATGGCCCAGCCCAGTGATTACATAGAATTCTAGTCCTCTTCCCAGAATCTCAACCCATTGTAGGTAATCCTCCCATCCTCAGATTTTGAGGTATGTCCAGCCCTTAGATTGGAACAAGAGGGGAACAGGTCTCAGCTCTCATCTAGGGTTGATTTGAAGGTATCTCTTGCTTTTATTACCCCTCAAAATTATTGAGGAATCTCAATTATTTCAACATTTTAGTGAATCAAATGGCCTCAGTGCATCTCAGACTACTAGGATCCAGGCCAATTAAAACACGGACCAGCTATTTTCCAAAATATTTATTCCAGATAGAAAATTTATTTTGCCTCTTAGATAGGAAAATCACTGGACAATGTACAATCGCTGTGTTCCTCCTGGTTCTCTGAAATGGCATAATTTTCCTTTGCAGTAAGTACAGTGATGCCTGTCACATAAGCTGGCTTTTCAATGGAACCCAAAGCATGCTGGTCATCAGTCATTGTCAAGAGTAGGCTGCTACTAAAACCTTTTTTCTGATGGAGGTGGCACATGGAGGTTGGTGTAACCAGGGTCATGATGGTGCCAGGGGAGATCTGTGGGGATGAGAGCACCAGGAGTCCTTCCTTTCTCCTCAGCTGAGTGAGGCAAGGTCCCATCACTCATCCAGCCTGGGTCTCTTGATTAGCCATTTCAGAATTTTCTAAGGAGGACATAGTCATTTCTTTACAATGCATTGACCAATGTCTCTGCAAATGCTTGCCCCTTAAATAAAAGGTAGACTTGGCTTATTCACCCTTTCAATGCTTCTCATTCTAATCTTAATTTATGAGCACATGGGTCCCATCATAGAAGTTATGTATTTGTAAAAATGTTGGAGCCATAAAAAAGAAAGGGATAAAAGGGAGAGAACATAAATAGATGTTTGTATTTGTGTACCTCCTTCAAATTATCTTTATTTTTTCAATAAAGAAATATTTACTGATGGTGCTTAGTAATTTTTTATTGACAAGCAGGAAGACAGTAATATAGCAGGGCCCTGGTGATTTCCATCATTTGAAACATAGCAAATGGCAAGATAGCCAGATACTACTTGGAAGGGACCTCTAAATTCCAGGTCAAGGAGTTTGGACATTATTCTGTAGGACAGTGGCTTATATTAAAGGGGTTTTGCACAAGAGTGTGACATTATTCAATTTGTATATTGGAAATATTTGGCTGATGGTGATATGAAGAGTGCATTGTACCTGGGTGAACTTGGAGGCAAAAAAATTAATTAAGAGGCCATTGCTCTGGGTGAGATGTAATGAGGCCTTAAAATTATGAGTAAATTGTAATGCCACCTACAATTGAGATAACCTAAAAGGTCATTCACCAAAGTTTATAATTATTCAATTTACACACACACACACACACACACCCCTACCTCACACCATGCTTCCACACCACAGCAATTGCATTCATTTACTTCTCAACTATCATTAAAAAATTTAAAAATGCATTTCAAAAACAATATGGCTCTTCAATTCCTCTTAGACTATGATCTCTTTAAAACTTTAGACATGTGTGAGAAACTAGAGTAAGAATCAATACTGCTGACTTCACAGAGTTCCTTTGTGGCCTCCCTCATTTTAGTCCAGCCTGAGTATTCAGCTTCCTTTTTTCTCCAAGCACATCTGCAGAGCCAGGGAGAAGTTGCCACAAGCCTCTTCTATGAAACTTGGGCTCTCTTCAAAGCAGTGATTCTGTTTCAGTAAAAAGTCTACACAAGAGTTTGCCCCATTATAAAAATCTACTTAAACAGGCACTGGTTTATTTACTGTAACCAGAGCATAGTGGAACTGGAGCTGGGATAATTAAGCCCTAATTTATCAACACTTTATGGAACAGCACTTTTGAAATGGAGAGTTTAAAATTGGGATGAATGGTTGGACTGGGGTAGGCTGGCCTTGCCTGGATTCTGAGAAGGGGCAAACATTTCCATAAGTTGTATACTAATGCTGACCTACACAGCCTGTGGTGTGGTGCCCTCCAAACACCAATTACCCCAGGTCTTACCTGCCATAAAGCCCTTATCTGTGTTCAGGGGATAGGAGGCTAGCTGGGGTCAGTAGAATAGTCCACCTTAGAGATTTCTATGCACTTCTCACAGACTGATATATGGAAAGCATACGCTCGAAAAGCATTGGGCATCTTCTATGTGCCTGTTGCTGTGTTAGTTTTTAAAAATAAAATTAAGTTCTAGGTTGCATGCCAAGTACACTCTTCTTAGAAGGGATTAAATGAGATTTGTTGCCATCTCACTCTCCACATGCATTTCCTGCCATGCCTCTGAGCCTATCTTCATCTCTCTAGTTACTAACAAATAACAGCTGCTTCTAGAACAGACCATGACTTTCTAAATGTCCTTTGCACATTCTCTTCCCTCATCTGTTCCCTGTATTATTCAAGTAACTCTGACATCTGCAGGTCCCTCTCAAGGGTTTTTTTCTTTGAGACTCTCCCAGTAAGAATTATGTCTTTTATTCTGTCATTCCAATTTTCACTCATTTTTCTGTTTATTTGTTCAGTCAGTCAGCAAATATTTATTGTAACATTTAATTACATTACAAACATAGTTGCAGTTGCTTGAGTTACAGCAGTGAATAAAACAACGCTCCTGCCCACATGGAGTTCACATTCTAGAGCAGGGAAGGGAAGGAAAAAGAAAGACAGTATATCAGGTGATGATATGGCTAGGAAGAAAACAGATATGGGAATAGACCCCAAGAGAGTGGATGTTATTTTACATAAGGTGGAAAGGGAAGATGCCTATGACAAAATGCCATTTGAGCAAAGACCTGAAGAAAGTTAGGGAGCAAACTTGGCAGATATCTGGGAGGCAAGTTTGAGGGCAGAGGCAACAATAAGTGCCAAGGCCCTGAAGGATTATGAATGGTGTATTCCAGGAAGACTTGACTCTTATCAGTTATGTGTACTATACACACACATAATGTTTCATCTTGCTATAGTTTTTCATCTGCCTTTACTCCTAGACTGTGGCTCCTGGAGACCAGAGACTATGCTGTATTCATATCTGTATCCCTAAGGTCCAGGGTCTAGCACTGCTTCCAGACCATCATCAATGCTTAGTAAATACTTGTTAAGTGAAAGAATAGTCTCAGTTATCTTCCCAACAGTCATAAAAAAGAGTTTGACAGTTTGGAAAACTGAGACATAGAGAGTTTAATAATGTTTGCATAGCTATTAAATAAGCAGCAGCATCTAGATTCTGACCCATGACGGTAAGTCCCAGAACAAAAATACTTTCACAACAGTCTTGTTTGTGAAGTCAGAGCGAATCCTTCTGCAAGCCTAGGGTCAGGGGCCTGCAAGGTAGAATTTGTGTGGTATCAGTAAGCATCCCTGAACCCAGCTGATGCTGTCCACTTGCATGCTTACCCACCTGGCTACCTTCCATCATGTCCTTTGGAGTAACTGATGCTACAAATGTGACATTCAGTCTGTCCCATGGCTCATCAGAGAGTGTTGTGTGAGCAGAAAAGAGCTTGTATGAAATGCATCATAGGTTGGGTCCATCTCCGTAGCTGGGTGATGGAAGGAAGAAGGGGACACCAAGAAACACTAGTGATGCCTGGAGTGGAGCACTGTGCAAAGTTCAAAGAATAGAGCAAACAAAGGGTAGGCAGGAAGAAAGAAGGAATTCTCTGTCCACATAGCTAAAGTGCACTGACTCAGGCATCGTTCCAATCAGCAGAATTTTCACTGGAGTTTCACAAGGTTGGGATTGAAAAAGAGAGAACAGTAGTGCCAGTGCTGGGTTGGGCAGGTAGCAGGGCAATGGGGACATCTGGGAGCAAGGACGGCAGGCCTGCAGTGAGAGAGGCAAGGGTGCAGTGCCTGCTGTGTCTGCAGTGGGCAGGTGCAGGCCCAGGCAGCCACAGGGTGCTGTGCAGTGCGATGAGAGGCCCCAAGTCCCTGGCTCTGGTTGATTTGCCCTGGGTCTGGATGTTTGCCTTGGCAGCCCCGGAGCATTAGCCTTGGCCTCTATGTCATTCCCCAATGACCAGGCAGCCGGGCCAGCACACCTGAAAGTCATTAGCTTGGGGTCCCATTTTGTTCTCACATTTCCAAGCAGTGACCCGCAGCCGTGTGTGACGGGGCAGGCACTTTATCATTTTGTGCTTTCCAGTCCACCACACCTTTTGGGCTTCCCCTGCCATCAGTCCTTGCCCAAGGCCTACCAGTCCCCCAAAACACAGAGCTAACAAGGACCCTTTTCTTTCCTCTTCAATAAATACTTATAAGACTTGATTATTATGTTTGCAATCTGTTTCAGTCAGTCTTCATTCTTTTTCCATTAATGAGGATCCTGAGGCTCTGAGTGGTTAAGTGACTTGCCCAGAATCACACAGCAAATAAGGAGCAGAGTCCAGGTAAGAGCCGAGGCCTATCTGACACCAACAGGCTCCAGCCACTCTGCCATGATGCTTGCCACCTGTGACATCTTAGCCCACCTTTCCACCTAGTGTTAACCCATTGCTCATCTTCTTAAAAATATCAATTACTGAAAAACTGATACGCTTTTCAGTGTATTTGTAATCACTTGTATTGTTGTTACTTTCTTTTAAAATGTGATTTTAAATCTATTCCTCTAGAAACATGTTTTTCTAGCTTTTCTGGCTACCATTTCTATAAAGCAGTGGTTCTCAACCAGGGAATTCCTCCCTGCCCTCAGGTGACATCTGGCAATGTCTGGAGACATGTTTGGTTGTCACAACTAGGGCAGGAGGGTAGTTCCTGGCATCTAATGAATAGAAGTCAGGGAATCTGTTAAACATTCTATAATGCACAAGACAGCTTCTCAATTTAAAAAAAAATCAAACCCAAATTGTCAACAGTGCCAAGGTTGAGAAAGTCTGCTCTAAAGCCATCAATATATGTACATAAAGATACATTCTTAAGACCATTATTTTCCTACAAATAAATACTTATCTTTGATAATATGGCACCATGAATCATGTATTTAGTGTGTTATATAGTCAGTACAGTGTTATAGCTCATTGTAGCTGACTGTGTGCATGTCTTCCCAACTCTATGTTCAGTGACAATGTACTGAGCTTGAAATTGACTAAGGTGAGACTTTTATGCCATGAACATTGGCAAACTCTATATCAGGGCTTTTTGTTTTTCTTCTGGAGAGCCAGCTTATTAGCATACCATGAAGAACTTTCTCTGGGATAGGAATTGTACATTGTCTGGTTCAATCTTCACAATAACACTCTGAGGTAACTAATACAGTTATCCCAATGTAACATTAGGAAACTGAGGTACAGAAATTTATAACAATCTGTCATACACAATATTATTACTAAGTGGTGGGGACAGAATTTGAAACCAAGCAGTTGCACTGCAGAACCTACACTTTAAGCACTATACTGCATGAACAAATATTAATTAGAAACAACTGTAATGCACTGTGTTTTTCTGAGTTGGTCCATTTGAGATTGAAGAGTGGATATTTACATTAAGCACATTGCATTCCAATATCACCTTACAAATTTGATGTCCTGATAAATGATAGACTTGCTATGAGTACTCCATTTTAGGTAAATGTATACACTTTAAAATGAGCGACGATTAAACAAATTCACTAAAGAGTTCTTAAAATCCTAAAAGCAGTTCTCCTTCAAATTGCTGCTTAAATGTCACCTCTTCAGTGAGGTCTTTCTTAACGAATATTTTAAAATTGCAGCCACATTACCTCCCCAGAGGCCCATCCTGCCCGCTTCTTTCTCATTTTATCCATAGCACAAACTCCTTAAGGCTGTGTTTTGTTTTGTTTCACTTCATTATTCCCAACACCTAGAACACCACGTAGCACATAATATACTCTCAAAAAAGATATATTAAATGAATAAATAAAGGACAAACACAGAGACTTCCCCAAGAATACTAAACAATCCCATCACTCATGGAAAGGGCATATCCTACCATTTTTATGTATTAAATTCCATGTTTAACATGTATCTATGAGAAATGCAAAATAAGGCAGGATATGCCCTTAAACAAATTTGGTAAACATATTTGCAGTAATCAAAATTGGAAGACAAATTATATACCTAAAACAATTGAGCTGGTTTAGCTATATTGATGCTGGTCTTCTAATTAGATGGAACTTCTTGCCAAAGTCATCCTAGAACACTGAGCATTTGCCACTATCATGTTGGGGATAGACTTGGAACCCATACGGCAGACAGAAATAGGTACTAAATACTACATGTGTGCAGAATTGAATCTGTCAAAGAATAAGTCTTGTAGAAGACAATGTTTATTAAAGAGGGACTTCCTCAACATCACTGGCTTTATGCGACTCGAAGAAACAGAAGTTCAAAATGTCCTCTTACATCAGCGTTATCAAAGAGTTTATGACTAAGTCCCCAAAAGAAAGTGCAACAAAAATAAAAATTGACCAATGGGACCTAATTAAACTAAAAATCTTCTGCACAGCAAAAGAAACTATCAACAGAGTAAACAAACAACCCATAGAATGGGAGAATATGTTCAGAAACTACACATCTGACAAAGGTCTAATATCCAGAATCTATAAGTAACTTAAAACAACTCAAAAAACAAACAACAACAACAAAATGTAAAAATGGGCAAAGAACATAAACAGATATTTATCAAAAGAAGACATAAAAATGGCCAATAAACATAAAAAATGCTTTACATCACTAATCATCAGAGAAATGCAAATCAAAACCAAAACGAGATATGATTTCACAGCAGTCAGAATGGCTATTGCTAAAAAGTAAAACAATAACAGTTGCTGGTAAGGCTACAGAAAAAGTGAATGCTTATACACTATTGGTAGAAATAGAAAAGTTCAGCCACTGTAGAAAGCAATTTGGAGATTTCTCAGAGAACTTAAAACAGAACTACCATTCAACCCAGCAATCCTATGACTGGGTATACAACCAAAGGAAAATAAATAGTTCTACAAAAAAAAAAAAAAAAAAAACAAAACACAAATACACTCCCATGTTCATAGCAACACTATTCACAATAGCAAAGACATGGAATTAACCTACGTGCCCTACGTGCCCATCAAGGGTACCTTGATGGATAAAGAAAATGCCATATATATATATATATATATATATATATACCTATAATATATATATTATATATATTATAGGTATATATATATTATATATTATATATATTATAGGTATATATATTATATATATATTATATGTATATTATATATATATGCCATGGAATACTATGCAGCCATAAAAAAGAATAAAATCATGCCTTTTACAGCAGCACATGCAGCTGGAGACCAACATTCCAATCGAATTAACACAGGAAAAGAAAAACAAGCAGCGGACATTCTCACTTCTAAGTGGGAGCTAAGTATTGGGCACATATGGACATAAAAATAGAAACAATAGGCACTGGGGTCCACTAGAGAAGAAGAGAGGGAGGAGGACAAGGGCTAAAAACCTGCCTATTGCATACTGTGCTCACTATCTGGGTAATGGGATGATTCGTACCTCAAACCTCAGCATCACACAATATACCCACACAACAAACCTGCACATGTATCCCCTGAATCTAAAATAAAATTTGAAAATTATTTTACAAAAGAAAAAAGTCCTCTTGGAAAGGAACATAGTTTTAGTTAACGCTTCAGCCTTCCCAGTATTTGACAACTGTAGATAGGTTTGCCAGATATAGCAATAAAAAATACAGGGTGTCCAGTTGGATTTGAATTTCAGATAAACAACAAATACTTTTTCAGTACCAGCATATACATAGATATTGTTTATCTGAAATTCAAATTGATTCGGGTATTTTATATTTTCTCTGGCAACCCTAGCAGGCAGCTCAGGCCAGACTCTAGAGTTGCCTGGTTACTGTCGGGACCTCCGCCATCCAGAGTGCTGAGGAGGCAAGGATGGAGAACAAGGACAGGAAGTAGTCTCCAGGACACGATCGGTCAACAGTTCTGGGCACAGGCAGTCCCTCCCTTCTGCTTCAGAGGAGCACAATATTTGAGAATCAGATAGCCTGATTTCTGGTGTCACCTAAAACTCTTGTTCTGTTTTGTTTTCACTTATATCTGCATCCACTGATTTCTCTCATTGCTTCTGTTATGGCAACAATCAGAGTTGTCATAAAGCCTGCTTGACTCACAGAATGCAAGAGACGCTTTTAAAGAAGCAGATCCGAGGTCTTATCCAACAAACAGGTCTGGGATTGGACTTGGGGATCTGTTTTTTTACATCTCTTTGGGAGATTCTGATAATTTTCAAAAGTTCTCTTGGAAAGGAACATAGTCTTAGTTAATGTTTCAGCTCTCCCACTATTTGACAACTGTAGACAGTAGGGTTGCCAGATGTAGCAATCAAAAATACAGGGTGTCCAGTTGGATTTGAATTTCAGATGAACAACAAATACTTTTTCAGTACCAGTATATATATATATATATATTGTTTTCTGAAATTCAAATTCAATTGGGTATTTTATATTTTCTCTGGCAACACTAGCAGGGAGCTCAGGCCAGACTCAGCTCAGGCTAGGTTATTTGGGGAAACCCCCTATTTTAGGTGTGGGCCTGAGTTCCTCAGTTCCACCAGATGTTATACGTTGTTAGGAAATGTTGGCATGCAGTTTCATAAGTACTCTTATGAAAGTCAGGGATCCAGGCTGGAATGAAATGTGGACCACCCCAGGACTGGGAGAAATATTGGAAAATATGGCTCATGGTGCCATGGAAGGAAGCATAAACAGCCTAGTATGACAGGGATGACACAACAGCAGGCTATGTTTAGAGCAGGTACACAGTGGTGCTGGAGAAACAGGGACAATGGGATTGGGAGATCCAAGGTGAAATAAGATGGCTGCTACCATAGGAAATCTGGGCCACAATTCTAAATCCATAGAAAAAAAGCAGGTGGCATAAAGGAGGCAGTTCACTGAGCTACCTGGCAGCACAAAATCAGATGATCTAAACATTATTTCACCTCTTTAGGCTTGAGTGTGTTTATATGTAAAATGGGGATTCATTAATGTTTTCACTCATTTATTTAATATGATTACCCACAAGTCAGTCATCTATTGAGTGTTGCAAATACATCAATGAATAAAATATGTGAAATGCTTGACTTCATAGAGCTTACAGGCTATCAGGGAAGGCAGACAATAAACAGGTAAAAGGGCATAAACTGTTATTAATGTAAGTAGTTATAGATAGAAATTTCTAGTTAATACTATAAAGGGAACAAATAGTTATAGTACAGGATGCTTTCAATAAATTAAACACACACCCACATACACACAGAGCTATAGAAATATGATTATAGAAGACAAGGGATAGAGAAACTCACCAGTCAAGTGCAGCCAGGAAAGCAAAACACGTGCAAAGTACTTCAATAGAGAAAATTTAATGTAGGGAATTAGTTTTAAGGTATAAGAAGAACTAAAACAGTGAAGAGGAGATGAAGCAAGAAATTAGCAACTGTAGAAAGTGAGTGCCTTATCTAGGGCTGGAGGGACAAAAGAAGAAAGCAGTTTTGCAGGATCCCAAGAGCCCTGTGGAAACTGGGACTGTGGTAGGCCTGCTAGGCCATCAAGGCATACGCTGTCCAGTGAGAGTGGGAGCTGCAAGAGAAGCACAGTTGCTTCCAGAGATGCTGCCCCAGGTGGGAGAGGAAGAAAATTACCCTGGCCTTTTCCTGTCCTGTGTCTTGCCAAGTCCTTCAGTAGGCCATATCTAGCCAGAAACTAGTGGTCAAGGGAGCCTGTAAATGTAGTTTCCTATAATACAGAGAAGATGGAAAGAAGGGTAAGGAATATATCCGAGTGCAGACAAATGACCAGCACAAGCAGTAGGTAATAGGTTGGAGAAGTGGGATAAATGGTACCCATCTCGTTGGGTTTTTACCATGGTAGAAGAGGCTGTATGTGTGAACTTCTTAGCACTGTGCTAATATGAGTTGAGTGTGTAACTGGTGCATGGTCTCAATTTATGTTAGTTTAATGACCTAGCATTGGCTCCTAGATGTTTTGACAACTGAATTCGTGCGTGGGTCTGGGACAATAGACCAAGAAGAATGTCAGGCCAGAGAAAGGTGTCCATAAGAAGAATACAAAATGCAGAATTCAGAAATAGCTGTTGTGCCAGATGAACAAGATAGGGACTATAAGAGAGAGCCCTAGCAGCTGCCTGGTTTCATTACAAGTCCCACAGGACAGGCTGTGCCTAATATTAGAGCCAAATCCTGGTTCTCAAAGCAAAGCATGAGCCACTTTCAGCCAACCAGTCAAGGTGAGTTGATGGTGTGCTCACTGGGTGGATGAAGTTGCATGTGGGAGTTAAGAAAGCCCTATATTTGGAAAGCTAATTGTCTGTGTCCCCTTTTCCCACTGATCATTGATAACTGGACATTGATAATAGTATGGACGTGACAGGGTGAGCATAATAGAATATAACGTAGAAATGTGCTCCCCATATGAGCAATTAGGTTATTAGGTTTCCTAAAGACCAATGCAGTTGGATATATTACTCTGGATATATGCACTTGGTATATCATATAGGGTGCTTCTATCAAACAAGGCACACTCAAAACTGTTTAGCTGGAAAGAATTTAATAAAGGGACTGTTTACAGAGGTGTGGACTGAAAGTTGGTGGGGCACCCAGGAAGCAGCTATAGAGAAAGCCAAGGGGAGGGAACTGGGACTGGTCTAGTGAGAGCCATGGAACATGCCCACCTAAGAGGAGCCTTTTTAGCTAATGTCAGAACTGCAGTGAGGCAGGGAGAGAGTAGGGGTATATATACTCCCAATTCTCTCTCCTTCTTATTTCATGTATCTTGCCAGTGCCTCTTTTTTTTTTTTTTTTTTTTTCTGAGCTTAGCAAGAAGCAAAAGGTCAAAGGACCTTGAGCAGTGCACTCCTTAGGAGTCAGCCTCCAGAGACACAGGGTCACAAAAGGCCAATAATTCATTAGGGAGGAGGGTAGTGGCAAGCCTAATATCTCACACACAAAGTGTCTCAAACTTTGAGAGCATCAAAAGATGGTTCACTCTCCAGTTGTCCAGCCATAATCTTGAACCACTTTCCATTGGCCAATTTCACCTGGAGATCTCACTCATTTGAAGTTAGGACAAAGATCTGAATAGAATCTACAAACTAAAGGACTTACTCAAGAGAGAGTCTCTAAAATGGTGTAGCTGTAGCAGCCCATGTGAGCTGACGATTAAACTTACAGAAATTTTGTGTTCTAGTTGTTAGATGCAGCTGTTAATAAAAATTACATTAATAAACTTTAAGCTAATAAACTGCATTTTAAAAGGTAATAAGTAAATACTCAAAATTCACTATTTTCAATTATTGTACTGCAATCCATGCTTGTGAGGTTGTTTACATCTATTATATCCATGTGATGGAAATGCTATATAATGTTGTAGTACTGTGGGTCCATTCTCAACATTCACATTCAGTGATTCAACATTGATAGCTTAAAATTGGCCACAGTGGTCAATTTTAAGTTCACACCATGGAAAGTGGCATATGCTACAAATGAAAGTTTGTTCCAGGGGAGCTGGTTTTTGAACATTTACCAGCACAGCGCTCGACTCTCCCACCTCACTTCACCCCGCCCCCCATCAAACCTTGACCAGACTTTTGACAATGAAGAAGGGAAAAAAATGATGTCAGAAATCCTTAAGTGCCTTTCCTTTTTTTTCAGGAGCAGAATCATTCGTGGGAAAGGCAAGCACTAGCTTCTGAAACTTTGGCTTTTTCTCCCTTGCCTGAAGATTAAAACAAACAAAACATTATCCTTTTCCATGTTAAGTCTTTAAACAATTACAGCAGGCTTGAGTCTGACACCCTAAAATAGGAGGGTAAATTGGAGAAGGGCCAAGAGTATATGAAGTGGCAGACTAGGATTAGGCAGCATGTGTGGTTGTAGAACACAACATGCTGAGATGCAAAGAGGCCTGCAAGAATGGGAAGTTCTTGGCTGGGCGCAGTGGCTCATGCCTGTAATCCAAGTGCTTTGGGAGGCTGAGGTGGGAGGATTGCTTGAGGCCAGGAGTTCAAGGCCAGCCTGGGCAACATAGCAAGACCCTATCTCTACAAAAACATTTTTTAAATTAGCCAGGCACTGTGGCATGCTACACGTCCCAGCTGCTTGGGAGACCAAGGCAAGATGACTGCATGAGCCCAGGAGTTCAAGGCTTCAGTGAGCTATAATTGCTCCACTGCACTCTAGCCCAGGTGAGAGAGCAAGACCCTGTCTCAAAAAAAAAAAAAAAAAAGTGGGAACATCTTTATTTATCAATACTCCTCTTTACCAGAAGACTATACTGGAAGAGGGTGGAATTAGTAAGACAGACCTAGATTTGTATTTCCTAACAACATAATATTGAGAAGTCTTCTTGTTTTCTTGCCTACAAATTGGAGATTATAATCGTTACGTCATAGAATGGAAAACATTGAGTGATGGAGTATATGACACAACTGACACAATTTATTTATTTATTGATGCATTTGACAAATATTATCATACTATGTTCAAAGAACATATTGAAGAAAACCTATGCAGTCCTGCCCTCATGAAGATCATAGTTTGGCAGGTGAGACATACATTAAACAATTGCACTTAAAATAATTTCATTATGAAGATGACCCTGCTGAAGGAGCATATGTATCAATTAAGCTAAGCCTAGAAAGATTGGGAAACATTTGGATACTCGATAACACTTGTGTTTTCTTTCTCCATTTCATCCTTCTTTCCTATAGTTGTAGCTTTTCTCCAAAGCAGCTGAAGGCTGCTTTGCCCTCTAGCAGGCAGACAGGAAGTAATGGAAATAACACCCCTGGGATTATCTTCACCCACCATGAGAAATGATTCTATGGCATTCTTTGTCTGCCAGAGTGTCCTCAGCAGAATTAAGTTCCAGATGTCCAGGGCACCTATTTTAGTTGCTGTCCTTTTATTCTTATATCCCTGTTTGCCAACAGGTGTTTTCTGCACCTCCCAAATACGCTACTTGCACACAATTGACTCAGAGCTGATCTTATGGGAACCCAAACCAAGAGAACTCACCTCTCAAACTCATCTGTATCCCAAAGCACTTGTATCTCCCCAAATTGGGTGCAAATGTGGCCTAAAATGCAAGAAAAGACTTCCAGGAATAGATTTGTCATATAAGGTATGATCTGAAGCAGGACATTCTGAAGGGTGAAGGAAGCACCATTGAACATACACCAAGAACACAACAGGCATGAACTGGGATTGTATTGGGCAAACTAAGATGCATGGTCAGCCTGTTTGGAGAATGTTTAACTCTTCCAGAAAGACATAAAGGCCAGCATTCTGGTGGCTAACTGGAAGTCTGAGCACTCCTCAAGAGAAAGCAGCTTATTTGTCAAAAACTCAAGACTTATCTGTCATTCTCAGAGCCAACAGAGCAGCAGCCTCCCATGATGCACAGAGAAGCACATTTCTACCCAGATCCCTCATGCAAACTCACAGTTTTTAAGAGAAAAACAACAAAGATTTGTTAATGTCCTTCACCTCTTTGGGGCAGCTGCAGCTTTTTAAGAGCCAAGGGGTCCCCAGTGAATGCAAATCACACCAGCGCATGAGAAATGATTGACTCTGAGAGCTTTGCCGAAATGACTACTAATGTTGAAATCACACTCAGCTCAGTACATTTCCTGTGGGCTGGTGCTGCAGTGGGTGTACTGGGGGCAGGCAGGGGGGATTCCCAAAGAGGGAAGTTTCTATGCAAACCCCGCAGCCCAGATCAGGTTTCAGCCTCTCTTTGCTAATTCCCCTTGCATTTTTCTTTCCCCTAAAACATTTAAACTTAAATAGCTATATAAGTTCAAATGTTCTTTTATAGAGTGAAATAAACAGCTTTTATAGCCTGAAAACAGCAAGCTTAGAGATCAACTGTTCACCACTGAAGCAGGCATGTTTAAGCTAAAGAAATAGATGGCATTCTCTTCGTTATCGTTAGCTATATTTTTCCCCCAAACTAATAGGAGGTAGCATATAAATTAGCTGCCATATAAGTTGTCAGGGAAAGAAGTTAATGCAGCCTCCAGGCATTTTGCTGCAAGGCTGCCCCCCTCTGGCTCCCACCACGACCCACAACATGATTTGTGCAGAAAGCAAGATGTTTCAGAAAGAGCAGTTCAGAGGTGGGGCAAGTCCTCTGAAGGGGTCCAGGGGCTGGTCACTATCTCTCCACCTACTGGTTACTACTCCTGGCTTCTCAGTCCATCTTACACTTTCTGTCTCCAAACATATAATTCAGGTTAAAGAGAAATTTGGCAACCCATGGTTCCTAAACGACATTCGATGAGCGAGTTAGGTGGAAAGGCAGGGAAGCATGGGGAAGACAGAGGTACAAGGAACACTTCCTCCCCTTTGCTAGGGCTGACCTTTTCATTTCAGGGAAAATGAGTGTCTTGCCTTTGGGGCTCTTCTTTCACCAGGGGACTACGAAACACCTGGAACACTCATGCAATAGGCTATGTGGTAGAGCCTGATGCTGGATGTCCCATGGCTTGATTATTTGCACTGAAGTAGCCAATTCTTCTTGATTCATTCAACAAATAGCTTTTGGATATCTGTTATTACCAGGTATACTGTAGACTTATCACAGAGCAGCCCTCACGTGATTCCGATGCCTCAATACCTCTCTTTTCCCCAGCTTTCCTTTAAAAATGTTGCAACATCCCAACACGTGCCTTCGCAATTCATTCCCTTTCTCTTTCTCTACAGCCACACTTTGCATCCCTCTCTAACGTGCACTCCTACAACATGAGGCATTTTCTCATATTCCCAAAGTCTACCCTCCTCAAGTGACTGAAGCCCTATTCTGGCCCCCTCAGCCTGAAGGTTAATCTTTAGCAGGTTAGTCTTCTCTTAATCTTTAGAAACTATAAAATGTTTGTATTCTTTTGCTAGGGCTGCCATAGCTAAGTGTCACAAACTGGGTGGCTTACACAACAGAAATTTATCCTTTCATATTTCTAGAGGCTGGACATGCAAAATGAAGGTGTTAGTCAGCATGGTTGGTTCCTTCTGAAGGTTGAGGAAGAATCTCTTCGTGCCTCTCCCCTAGCTTCTGGTGGTTTGCTGATGATCTTTAGGGTTATTTGGCTTGTGGAAGCATCACCCTGATTCTGCCTTCATTTTCACATGCCATTCTCCCTGTGTGCATGTCTCTGTGTTCAAATTTCCCCCTTTGTATAAACATACCAGTCCTATTGAATTAGGGCCCTAATAACCTTATCCTAACCTAACTAATTACATCTGCAATGACCCTATTTCCAAGTAAGGTCACATTATGAGGTACTGAGGGTTAGTTAGGACTTTTGGGGGAGAGATACAATTCAACCCATAATACTGCCCTTTCCATGAACCCATTCAACAGAGTGAGGAGCTCAATCCCCCCACCTTCCTGGACACATAATTAATTTTGTACAATGCCCATGATATAGCAATGAACCTATTTTTCTTCAATTGTTTGTTCAACTGTCTCCTGTATTTTTTTTTAAGTTGCCTGAGATCATGACTCCATTTAGTCCCTCTGTTACAGGAAAGGGGTCCCGATCCAGACCCCAAGAAAGGGTTCTTGAATCTCACTCAAGAAAGAATTCAGGGCAAGTCCGCAGTGCAAAGAGAAAGCACATTTATTGAGAAAGTAAAGTGATGAAAGAACAGCTACTCCATAGACAGACTAGGACGTTCCTGAAAGTAAGAGGAGGAATATGTCCACCCTAGGTACAATGCTTGTTTATATACAGGATAAGAGAAGATCACTGGGAGACGTGCTCTGCTACAGGGTTTGTGACAAAGGATTGGTTTTCTTAATTACTATATTTTGCAAGAATCAATATTATTATTATTATTTTGAGATGGAGTTTTGTTGTGTTGCTCAGGCTGGAGTGCAATGGCATGATCTTAGCTCACTGCAACCTCTGCCTCCTGGGTTCAACTGATTCTCCTGCCTCATCCTCCCAGATAGCTGGGACTACAGGCATGTGCCACCATCACTGGCTAATTTTTTTTTTTTTTTTTTTTTTGTATTTTTAGTACAGATGGGGTTTCACCATGCTGGCCAGGCTGGTCTCGAACTCCCGACCTCAAGTGACCCACCCACCTCAGCCTCCCAAAGTGCTGGGATTACAGACATGAGCCACCACGTCTGGCCAATATTATTATCTTTAAAGCAAAATTAGGAATGCCTTTGTTCTCAAGATATCGGGATATTCGGAGAGTCCCAAGTCTGGATCTGTTTAGTAAACATTATCAATCTGTTCCCTTAAGTGTAAATATCTAGAGGCTAGGAATACCTTTCTGGAAATGCAACTCAGCAGGTCCCAGCCTCATTTTCCTAGCCCTCACTCAAGATGGAGTTGCTCTGGTTCGAACGCCTCTGACACCTTCAGATGTCCAGTAACTATTTCTTGAGTAAATAATAGCTCATTCTGAATTTCCCCCTCTTTGCTAAGGACCAGAGGGAAAGCATGAAAAGTAAATTCATAAAGACACTCCTAGCTACCTTCCTTTATCAGAAAGGAAAAAGGGTGTTTTCCAGGGCTATCAGATTCACTTCTTCTTGTGACCTTTTCCCCTTTAAAGTCATTAACCTTCTGCTCATTTCTCCTGCTCTTGCTGTTTTCCTTTTTATTTATTTCCAACTCTCCTTACTTCCAGCTGCATATGCCCCTGATATGTGTTGAATCTAAACAGTTATTGTCATGAGGTTGAGGGAAGTGTGGAAAAGTAAGAGTTTATCAAAGTTTTCCTAATACAATTTATAGGCTGTCAGCAGTTGTTTATGCCTTCATATTAATTCTGGGATGTATATTTATTTTATTCTGAGGATATAATATGATGCATAATTGATTTTGAGAGTTTGGAATTGCTTTTGTAAAAATGTGGGTCTTGAGTCATGAATCCTAATGCCTGGCTACCAACAGGATTTTGTTTCAAGTTTCTTCTTATTCGGGAGAGAAAGTTTCACACCCTAGTGTGTTCATAAAAATGGAGAGAGTGTTTGATCTTGATCTTGCAGCAGGTTTTCTGGGAAGTTCTTAGTTGGGGCTACATGTACTACACATGGCAATGTTTGAAGTGCTGGCCAGATCTATAACCCTTCATTTGGTCATGATTCTTCCAGTCCATTCCTAAAGAAGGAAGCTAAGGAGCCATGTGTATACTGGGTGACTGCTCCTTGGTCCTACCTGAAGAGTTCATGGGCAGGTACTTGACTCAAGAGGAGCCAATCATCCTCGTTCTTGAAAATATAAAGTAAGCTCACAAAACATGTGGTAAGATTGAGATTGACTCTGGATCAATAACGTCATGTAAGGTTAGAGCCAGGGTTGCCACCACAAACCATAGGCAAATGCAAGTTCTAGGTAAATGGAAACTTACAGCCGTACAAAGGAAGTGAGCTGCATAGAGGAGAATGCAGAATGTGTGCAGAGGAAAGCAACCACATGAAGCCACATTGACAAACATCTAGCTTCCAGGTTATCTAAGGACACATTTCCCTTTAATATGCCCCAGGAGATCTTCTGTTTATTGTGGCAAAACAGTCCATGATGAAGATCCCTTTGTGTGGAAGCTCCAAGAAAAAAAGGCACAACATAGTCTATTCTGATTTAGAGTTTAAAGTAAAGGTAATTTACTGGCATGTAGTTTCCAGGAGTCAGGAATCCAGGAGCAGCTTAGCTGGGTGGTTTTGGCTGTTGAAGCAACAAATGGGCTATTGGCCAGGTGTGCCTTCATATAAGACATGCCTGATCTGCAAAATCCACTCCCAAGGTGTCTCATGCCTGGCAAGTTGGTACTGGTTATTGGCAGGAGGCCTCAGTTCCTCACCACATAGTCTTCTCCGTAGGGTTGCTTGAGTGTCCTAATGATAGGGTAGCTGTCTTTACCCACAGCTAGGAGCCAAGAGAGAGCAAAGTGGAAACATATCGTATGATCTAGACTTGGAAGTCACACCTTAATTTTGACAACATCGTATTGGCTCATGGTCAGCCCTATTAAGTGGGAGTAAGGACCACACAAAGACAAGAAAACCAGGAGGAGGAGATCATTAGAGGTCATCTTGGACCCTGGATATCACAGTCTGTGACTAAGAAAGACACTAGACTAATTAATAAGAGAACAAATTGAGGCAGTGCTTTTTCCTAAGCCTGCTCCCAGGCATTACCCATGTATATATGATCTATCTGCCAACACCACCTTGTCTTCCTACCTGTGTGCATCGTGTTCCTGTGTTTTCAATGTCCTTCCTTTCCACTCTTACTTAAACTCTCTACTCATCCTCATCCTCCTAGGCCCTATTTGCATGTCATGCCTCTTCTACTTAGCTCTTCCTGATCTTCCAGCACCTGGCAATAATAGATTGTAGCCCTCTGTGTGTTTCACAGTGCTCCCTGTATAGATGTCTTTTTACATTGATTCTACTCTGTGGTTGCATCTTGAAACAGGAACCTTGCTAAGAATCGAAGATAGACAACAAGGCAGGGATTGGTTATACAGGTTTTGGAAAAGCTGAAAACCCAGCAAGCACAGTCTGGACCCTGGCTAAGGCCTGAACTGGGCTGTGACTCCCTGGAGTCCAGTCTCAGTCTCTGGGTTAATCTCAGGACCTCCCTAGAACTGCCAACTCCAACTCAGGATGGCATGATCTGCTGAAGGCTGAAATGAACAGTGCTCAGTAATTCCAAACCAGCACTGGGAACATCTCAGAATACATGTTATTTTCCCAGGTTTTCAAATTACTAAGTTGCTCTCATCTGTCACTTGGTGGTGAGTAAATCCAGAGTGATTCCCTGGAAAGACTGAATTGGAGCTTATGTGTGGATGGACCAATGACCTCAATTCTCTCCTTCTTTTTGCTTGTTCCTTCCAGCCTCCTGACAGGGAAAATGAATCAGGACATTTTCCTCTGGAAAGTAGGGAAAGACATGCCCTGGGCAGAAGAATGTGTGTGTGTTCCTTCTAAAGGAGACGCATACACCAGGCCCTGGGAGGAGCACCCAGAGGATGGAGAATGAGGTTCTGTTAGAGGCCTGTTTAGCAAAGTCCTGATGCAACCTTTTAGAGGGTTCTCCATCCCTGAGAATTAATCCTATTAACTGCCATTTGTGGCTGCTTATTATGCACCAGGCACCATGCTAACCTCCTTACATCATTATTTCAATTCAAGCTTATAATACTTGGCAAGGTAAGTATTATTATTATCATTCCCATTTTGCACATGGGCAAACTGAGGCTCAGAGAGGCAACACAACCTGCTCAGAGTAAACAGTGGCAGTGAGATTGGAGGCAAGGAGTATCCAAATCTGCACCTGCACTCTAACTGGAATACTATGTTGCTTTCGTACTGAGCCCCTGAGTATTCTTGACTCTTCAGGGCTACTATTTGCTTACCTCTTAAAGGAGAAGATGAGCGTGCGCAATTCTTAACACCCAACACACATTAATAAGTCAGTCAATGACTGCCTCCGCAAGAGCAGGGAGGTATGAGCAAGGCCACCGTCCATCCCAGTTGGCCCAGTTCATGCCAGTTGTCTCAATGTTCTATTGGGTTTAGAATTTATCCCACTCCCTATTACCCTGAAAAGTCCCAGTTTAGGTGGCACATCCTATGGTCACCCCATGTAGAGACCCTGTTGGCTTCAGTGACTGAAACAGTAGCTTCTTGAGAAATATTAGTCTCAGGGGAACAGTGACATTCCCAGACTGAGGTGGTAACCCCTAAACACAACCCATAGTCTTAAACTAGGCAGCTGAGGGCCCTGCAGCCAGAAGTGTCCCACACCCCAAATGCCATCGAGCCTGAGGGTCTCGCCCCTTGACCTTGGGTCCCTGGCACCATGATGTGTCCAGCCCTGTTTTTCTCCCACTTTCCCTTTGCCTCTCACTCCCTGCATACATGTCCCCCTCCCTCCCCTGAGTCTGGTTACTAATAATGCTCATTCGTGATGAAAAGCCCCAGCTCTGTGGGAATCACATAGTAAAGGAATGTCAGCATCTGCCGGCCTGGGTCATGCCGATGTCAGTGGCCTCAGCCTCCTCTGTGGTCACTGCTGGCCCAGGTTTAAAGACATTAGTCAGCCTCAGACATAACCCCTCCTTGGGGGCCCAGAGCTTTGATCCTTTGCAGGATTCTGACCATAACCACATTCCAGGCCCTTGCAAGTTGTAAACGGCTATGTCTGCCCTCTTTGGATGCCTATGGTACTTTGTGCCTCTCTTTCTTTCCTTTCATAGTTGAAGTCCTCATATTTGCTGGACATGTGCCTGGGTTCTTCTTCTCCAGACCTCTGCCTGGCTGGCCCTTTCTCATAATTTATAACTCAACTGCCAAGCCTTCGATGCTGAGAGGCCTTCCATGACTACCTTCCCAAATTAGCCCTAGGCACACAGCTTATTAAAAGTTAAATTACTCTATTTAGTTTTATTGTTTGGTTTCTCCACTGGAATATGAGGTACCCAAAAAGGCCAGGTATAATGTCTGACTTTCCATCACTGTCTCCCCAGTGTCTGGTACTGGCTGAATATCAATATTGGCAAGATCTGGATACATTTCCTTTTGCACTGTGCTTTATCTCCCAGGGCTGTGATGATTCATATTCCTCTAAAAACAATCACTTGGTGTTTCACTTTTGCATTCATCTGGGGAACGAGTCAACTTTCTATATTTTTCCATCTGACACCTTCTTAAACTCCATGAATTCTCTAAAGTCAAAGACAATAACTCATGCTTTCAAGTGGTTATTTTATTATCCTAAGATGAATTGTTGATTGTTACGACCGAGGGGGATTGGGTGAAAGTGGGATTATGAAAATTATTGGGTTTTGAGGACTACTCTGTGCCAAGAGCTGGGCAAGAAACTTTATATACTTCAAAGAAACTAATAAAATACATAGGAAATTGCTTTGCTAACAATGATCTGGTATCTGGAAGACTGTTTAGAAATCTTAGTTCCCATGGTTTGGTGATGGTCACCATTAGTATTTGCAGCATTAATTTACCATTTCTTGCTTCTCTCCTCTATCCTTTGTTTTGATATGCCCACGTTTCCTTCATGTCTCATTGTAATTTTAGCCATCCAATAACCTTATATATGTTATGACTGTTATAGTTACATTTAAGAGAAACGTTAACTCAAATGGACTTAATTGATAAGGGGAATGCAGTGGTTCATGTAACTAAACAGCCCAGGGGTACCCACTTCAGGTGCAATATGATCCAGTACTTAAATGTTATAACAACGACTGGGTTTCTGCCTAGTTTTTCTTGGCTCTGCTTGTTTATTGTGGGCAACATTTCTGAAAAGCTCTTCTGTAGGTCTGAGGAAGAGTACCAACTGCTGAGGCTTATAGCATTCCTCCCTCGTGTCCTGTGTGCATGTTGGGTAGGTAGGGGCTTCTTATTTCATTCTACAAAGGAATAAGCCATCCTTTCCTTGCAAACTCAGAAAACATCCTCTCAGGCCAAAGGTGCTGGTTGGGTTACATGCTCGGTTCAGAAGTCATCACTGTGGCCATGATGGAATAGGCAGGTTGTCCTAAGCCCATCAGACACCCTGGGCTGCCAGTCAGTCTCACCTCAAATGCACAGTAGGGTATGGCAGAAAAATGAATTCCCCTATTGGAATTTAGCATACTGTTGGATAACCCAGTAATGAGATACTGGGAAGAAAACCAAGAAATATCCCTGCTATAGTCTACCTATAGAGTCAGGTAGGTTTTTTGAGATGCCAGTCGATTGTTAATTTGTTCAATGAAGGAACTTTATTCTACCACCTACTGTATGCCGAAAGAGCTGAGGTTATAGAGATAAATATGGTAGGGCAACTGCTAGTGAAGGGCCCAAAGTCCACTGTCAATTACTGTTCACCAGAACAAGGCTCCAACAGAAATATGGATTCCTGTGAGAACCCTGAGGAGGAAGTTAATATCTGGAGAACTAAAGGGCACAGAGTAGAGGTAGCACCTTCCGTAAACCTTAAAAGATGTCTGGTTTTCTTGGTAGAAGGGGTTAGGGTGAGAGTGGAGAGAAGTCACTGCAGGGCAGAGGGACTTGGGTATGCAGTGACATAAAGGCTTGAACATGTAAGGGTTTCTAGGAGAGGTGGAAAGCTACGTGAAGAGGGAGCCCAAGATGAAGGGATGAGAGAAACAGGAAGGAGGAAGATAAGAGGAGCCAAGCTGTCACAGGCTAAATGGACCAGCATTCAAACAACTAGTGATATTATATGAAAGGGTTTTGTTTGTTTTTTTTCATTTTTGAGACCGGGACTTTCTCTATCGCCCATGCTGGAGTGCAGTGGCATGATCACTGCTCAGTGCAGCCTTGAACTCCGGGGCTCAAGCAATCCTCTCACCTCAGCCTCCTGAGTAGTTGGGACTACAGGCACACACACACTTATGCCCAGCTAGTTTTTATTTTTATTTTTGTAGAGACAGAGTCTTGCTATGTTGCCCAGGCTGGTCTTGAACTTGTGGGCTCAAGCGATCCTCCCAAAGTGCTGGGATTACAGGCATGAGCCATCACACTCTGCCTGGCAGTGGATTTTTAACCACAGATCAGAGAGAACTGGCTAAGCAAACAGAGAAGAAGTTAGCTTTTTATGTCTCACTATAAAAGAATATAAATTATGTATATCTTAAAAAGTTAAATTTTAAAGTGAAACTATAAAAACATCTTGGGCTAGAAAAGACATTATTAAGTCTTTCACAAAAGCTGGAAAACATAATGACTAAAACTGACACGTAAATATTTGAAGTCTCTTAAAATTAGCAACTAAACATAAAATAATTTTTTTTTGAGACAAGGTTTCACTCTGTAACCAAGGCTGGAGTGCAGTGCTGTGATCACAGCTCACTGCAGTCTTGACCTCCTTGGTTCAGGTGATTCTCCCACCTCAGCCCCCTAGGTAGCTGCTGGCACTACACATGCACACTGCAATGCCCCAATGCACAGCTTTTTTTTTTTTTTTTTTTTTTTTTTGGAGAAACAGGGTTTTGCTATGTTGCCCAGGCTGGTCTGGAATTCTTAGGCTCAAGCAAGTCTCCCACCTCAGCTTCCCAAAGTGCTGGGATTACAGGCGTGAGCCACCATGCATGGCTGCACAAAATTTTTTTTCAAATGGAGAAAGTATCAGCCGTATATGTGAAAAATAAGTGTTTATTATCTTCAATATAAAAAGAGATCTTATAAATCAACTATAAAAATATAAAGAAATGGGCAAAGACTTGCAAAATAATAAGATTATGAAAACATATTCATTTTGATTGGTAACAAAATGAATGCAAATTAAAATAGATTATACATTTTCTATCCAACTGATAAAGTTTTTATTATTTTATATTTAGTTATTTATTTATTTTGAGATGGAGTCTTGCCCTGTCTCCAGGCTGGAGTGCAACGGTGCGATCTCAGCTCACCGCAACCTCCGCCTCCTGGGTTCAAGCGATTTTCCTGCCTCAGCCTCCCAAGTGCGCCACCAGGCCCAGCTAATTTTTGTATTTTTAGTAGAGATGGGGTTTCACCATTTTGGCCAGGATGATCTCGATCTCTTGACCTCGTGATCCGCTCGCCTTGGCCTCCCAAAGTACTGGAATTACAGGCGTGAGCCACCGCACCTGGCCTAGTTTTTATTTTTATTTGTTTTACATAATACTTACTAGTGCTGGCATGTGGTGGGTACCCTTTTACTAGCATAGTCTTTCTGAAGGACAGTGTTACAAAAGCTATCAAAAGTGTTAAAAATAAGACTGCAGTGTCACCAGTTAGAATTTATTTAAAGTACATCATTAAGGATATGAACATAAAAGTATATACAAGGATGTTTATCTTAGCATTGTTTATACTAGCAAAACATTTCTATAAAAGGAAATAACCTACTGTTCAATAACAGGTCAAATTAAGCAATGGATATCTATACTGTGCAACATTGTCCAGTCAATTAAAATTGATTTGGTTGATAAATATGTATTGACATGGAAAGATAGATATTAAAGTTTACAAGTATGTTTTAAAATGTTATGTGTATTCCAATACCAATTTTGTTAAAATTTATACATACACATATACATATCTGCTCTAGAGATATAGCAATTATCCAGAGTGGTAAAATATAGACTCTCTTTTTCATTTATTGTATATCTGTATTTTCATTTACTCTTTCATTTTTTCTATCTGTTATTCTTTCTGCTAAATATTAAACACATAGTATACAATAAAATGCATAATTTTTATGTAAGTTATTAAGTTAGGAAGCCATTCAACTTAAATGCAGTGAATGTGATGTTCAGGTGATGAAAGTCTGGATGAGGAAGAGGTAGAAAAGAGAGATGGAGAAGTGAGTAGTCGAATAAAAGCTCACAGAGGGCTGGGGTCTGGTGGGTAGGACTAGAGCAGGATGGCTATTAGAAGACCTGGGCTCTGGCTGACCAGGCAGGAGAACTGGGTGTAGCACACAGTGTGCGGGGGATGGGGACTGGGATTGGGAGGGGCTTAACACAATCTCTATATCAGTGAATGGGTGAATGAGTGATTAGATGGTTGCATGATAGAAAGCCCAAGAACTTTAGTTCCTGCAAAATAGGGATACTACCTCTTCTTCTTTTTCAAAAGGTTTCTGTAAGCATTCAAATATATTCTGAATATAAGGTGCTTGCAAGTTTTAAGGGTATAATTAGACATGAGGGATTACTGGTTGGTATCCTTCACTATTGCAGACTGTTTTGGGAATAATTAAGGGTGATGTTTTCAGAGTAGAAGACCTCTATAGAGGAGGAACTCTGGCTAAACAGAGGTTCCCTTCTTTTTTTTCCCCTGTAGGTTCTCACATAATATTTGGTAACACTTATGTAGGCCTTAACCCAGCATAATTCTAAGCACTTCTATATATATTAACTTATTTATTTACACAAAAAATTGTGATATAGTACAGTTATTTGATAAAGATCTAGTGGCTATTATGGGGCAGAACAGGGTTTGAACATGGGCATTTTGGCCCTTAAACTAATGCTTTAACCACTATTATTCCATGTCACATGTTGAGTCCCAAATGCAATAGGACAGGTGGATGGAGGATGAAAGACAAGAGGATTAGGTAGGAGGAAAGAGGATGAATGTAATAAAAGCTTCGTCCTGTATAAATGACATGCCATAGTGAGGAGACATTTAAAAGGGGAAAAATCATTTCCATTTAACTTGTCAAGCATTTATTGGGCCCCTTCTCTGGCAAGGAACAGAGCCATAGGGGGTTAAGCAGAGTGAGAGGCTCTCCCCTCTGTTCCCAATGAGCTAATAGGGAGAAGCAGTTCCTAGCAGCCAAATTTGCTCCAATAATCAGGGAAGATTCTGTTTAAAGAATATTTTCTCTGTCATAAATTCACAAATAATTTCCTCTGCCTGGCTCAGAAATGTGGAACTTGACATTGCCAGGAGAAAGAGGTGAACTCTCAGGGCCTGAGGCATCCCTGAAGGCAGGGGCCTGGCTGCCAGTGGAAGCTTTCCTCTATAGAAACTGTAGATTTGGATCTTGACGTCTGAGTGTCACCAGCCAAGATGCCTATTCTTGGTCCTCCTACCTCTGTGGCTTCAGTGCTCTGGTGGGTACTTAAGCATTCATTGCTTATTGAACTTGCCCACTGATATGGTTTGGCTGTGTCCCCACCCAAATCTCATCTTAAATTGTAGCTCCCATAATTCCCATGTGTCATGGGAAGGACCCAGTGGGAGGTAATTGAATCATGGGGGTGGCTCTTTCCCACACCATTCTTGTGATAGTCAATAAGTCTCATGAGATCCAATGGTTTTATAAAGGGGAGTTCCCCTGCACATGGCCTCTTGCCTGCTGCCATGTAAGACATGACTTTGCTCCTCATTTGCCTTCCGCCATGATTGTGAGAATCCCCAGCCATGTGGAGCTGTGAGTCAATTAAACCTCTTTCCTTTATAAATTACCCAGTCTCAGGTATGTCTTTGTTAGCAGCATGAGAACAGGCTAATACACCCATAGTACAGGCCACCCTGCCACATTGCTGAAGAAAAGTTGGCCTCCAATCTGGGACAAGAATGGTGCAACTTGCCTTACGAAATGCAAAGAAAAACTGGTGGGCTGTTGTGCTAAACAAAAGCCTACATTATGATTCAGAAATCTCCCTCCTCAAGAGATGCAAGTTGTGTATTCATCAGAAGACACGTACAAAAATGCTCAAAAATGTTGTTTTGTTTTGTTTTGTTTTTTTGAGACAGAGTCTCACTCTGTCACCCAGGCTGGAGTGCAATGGTGTGGTCTTGGCTCACTGCAACCTCCACCTCCTGGGTTTAAGCGATTCTCCTGCCTCAGCCTCCTGAATAGCTGGGACTACAGGCACGTGTCACCACATCCAGCTAATTTTTGTATTTTTAGTAGAGACGGGGTTTCACTATGTTGGCCAGGCTGTTCTTGAACTCCTGACCTCGTGATCTATAAAAATGTTTAATTCAAATAGCCCCAAACTGGAAGCAACTCAAAGGTCCATCAACAGAATAGAGCAAATGATTGTAGTCTATCATACAACATTGATGGGACTCACAGATTTGCCAAGCAAAAGGAGCCAGACACAAAGAGAACTCACTGAATGAGCTCATTTATATGAACCTTAAGGACAGGAAAAGCTAATTAAAGGGTAGAGGTCAGAGGGTTCACTGTTTTAGGGATATTGATTGAGAAGGAGCAGGTGGGAGCCTTCTTGGTTGCTGGAAATGTTCTCTCGTGTTCTGAGTGGTGGTTACATAGGTGTCTGCATCTGTATAACTGATTTGTGGACTTTACTGTATGTAAATTATGTCTAGAAAATGACTAAGATACTTGAGCAGAAAGGCTTCTAATGTGTTATTTAGTGTGTCCTGAAAATATATATGGAATTTAAATGTGTAGAAGTTGAATTATTGATTTTCATATCATGAGTGATTCATTTCCCCCAAAGCCAAAGTAGATTATAAAACTCCAAATAATATTAATATGTTTCCAATATTTCATGCATATTAACCTTTGAACATAGTATTAAGCCTAATAAGGAGCACCTGATTAAAGGTAATGACAGTAGCTAATATTTATATAATGCTTACTGTGCACTGAGCATGGTCTAAGTCCTTCAAGTAATTGATTAAATTACATAACAAAGCTATGTGATATCACTAGCACCAGGAACATTTCTATGTCATATATGCAGAGCACAGAATGTGTAAATGATTGCCCAAGTTTGCATAGCCAATAATTAGCAGCACTAAGGTCTAAGCCCAGGCATTCTGGCCCCAAAAGCCATGTGCTTAGCCCTACCTCATACTTCTACTTAAATAGTCTCTTCTTTGCAAGCCTAACAAATACTGTCTTTATCTCAATTACATTACATTTAGGAAACTTGCATTTTTTAACACTGGCATTAGCCGTTTAATTTGTCTGTATCATATTCAATTTGAAATAATATTATATGCAAACTGCAATTAAAGATTATTTTCCAAGAGTGTTTTATTACAGGATTCCATCTTTTGAATAAAATTTTATCTTGAATCCAAAAATAAACAAAAAGTTTAGCTCTTCCAACTGAAGCAGGATGAATAGGTTGGCAGTTGTTGAAGATGATGGAGTGAGTTGGTGTGGAGGGAAGAAGGTGTGGATCTTGGCAGCTGCTCCCTCCCTGTGAAATTTTTTTCTAGAGAAGCTTTGGGCAACAGAATCAAAATAATAGTCTCAAAAATAAAAGCAACAAGATCACAAAAACAGAAACAAAGATGACAACCTGCTAAAACAGAACCGTTGACCAGCAGATAACAACAACATATGTGTCAATTTGAAATTGGCTTTTCACTGGCTGATGCAAAGTAGCCTAAATTTGGTTTCAAAATAGTATAGCAGAGTGTATGAAAGGGTGAGTTGATAAAACATTGAATGTAGTTAACCCCAGGGTCACACGCACTTTGGGAAAGAAAAAAATAGAGTTTTGTGGCAAAATACCCCAGCCCTCAAGTCCTTAAATCAAACCCAGCCACTTTCTTCAAGAAATATTCTCCGTGCTGGGATGCAATTTGATGTCCAAAATGTATATATTCCTTAGTTTTCCTGTGATGCCATTTTGAAAAGTCTGCACTTTCAAACTTTACGTATCGACAACCTCATACTGACTTTTCTGTGTTCATATTGCTTTTAGCTTTTGCTTTCTTTTAATTTAAAAAATGTAATACATGGTTTAAAAATGAAATAAATAAAAACTTCAAATGGTACTGAACAGTATCTTGAAAATATGTTTCTTTTTTACCAGAATACTAGCTGTAACCATTATAATGGTTTCCATTTTATCTTTCCAAAATTTTCACTGTAATGCTGAGTTGTGTATGTGTGTGTCTTTTGTATTTTATTTTATACACTCTTCTAAATCATGTCATTGTTATTTTCATTTGTTTGTTCTTATGTTTATTTTTACTTAGAAATACATCTTACAAAGTTTGTAAAAGTTTGCCTCATTCTCTATAGAGATTGGATATTTTCCTACATGTTGATAAAACAAATTATTCAACCAGTTCCCACTGACAGTTATCTAGGTTGTTTCTGATACTTAGTCACTGTAAGCAAGGCTACAATAAACCTCTTCATATATGTGTTGTTACAACAGTTTTAAGATAAATTCCTGAAATTCTAATTCCTGGAGCAAAGTGTATGTGGATTTAACAAGTGATAGATATTGGCAAACTGCCTTGCTATTCACTCTCCATATAGCTTAGACAGGGGCCATTTCTCTCCACCCTCCCCAGCACTTTGTATCATCAATTTCAAATGTTTTCACTTCAGCTAAGGAAGGAGAACTTGGATGATGGAATAGGGGTGCTCTTTGCCGGCCATATGTTCAGTTTATGTGGAGGCACCATCTTTATCTGTAAAACAGTGATTATTTGATAAAAAATTCTAGTTATTACCAACTTGAGGAGATTTCCAGTGTCTCTAAGAATGACAAGGTTGGGTCAATCGTGTCCTTATTTTGGTTAGCCCATGCTGCCTAGTAGACATTTGCAGCCTACATCTGTGGCTAATGCAAAAACAGTATGGTGTATAGGAACTTCCAAACATTAGAGGGAAATCTGAGAGAAGTAACCACAGTATCACCCTGCCTCAGAAGCAAGGTTCTGACTGGCTAAGACCAGCGAATGGGAATCGACTGGTGTTTTCACATCCAGCACTGGCACACACTTTGCATAAAACAAGGGTCCATGCCAGGATGATCTTAAGCACCTGTGAGCAGTCTGTCCCTTTGATGGGGTAAGAGAACCAGACATACCTGAAAGCCCGAGGCAGACAAACCTGCAAGCCTAGGCTTAGGTGGGCGTGATTTTCATTTATAAAGTGCCTGCCTTAGAGATCATTTTAAAGAAAGGCCTTAACAAGAAATTTTTGGGTCATTGGGCCAAAGTAAGTGTGGCTAAGTGACTAAGGAGAGACTGCTTTCTGATGCCTACCCCAAATTCTACATTCATGGAGATTGAATTAATGAGATTTTACTATGCAGAACTCTGAACTCACAGAATAGACAAATCAGTAGAGGCTTAGACTGAGGTTCAGAATTCACTCTGGGTTTAATTTAAGAAATGCTCTAGGTACCTACATTTAGAATAAGCTTTAATTTGCTGGGGCAGCTCTGGTACAGAGAGAAAAGCAGGACTTATTTCCCGGCAGAGTTTCCATTTATGGGCTGTGAGACCTGGGAATAATATCTACTTCACAGGTGTTAATGCGAGCACTGAAACAGATGATGTATATGAGGGCTTTGGGAAAGTGGAGTGCTATAACCCATGTGCAAGCTTGGCTTTCCAGGACACGGCAGCCCTGAAGAAGAAGCAGGCCCTGCACACATGGCTCCAGTTCTACCCCAGCTGGGAGAATGAAAGGTCCAGCTCTACTTACACACTTCCTCGAGTATTTTGGGGCGTCCTCACAGGGTGTCTTTGGATTCTTGCAAGCATGGACTTTTCTCTCACTCCATAGCATCCTTCGTGTTCTTCATTTCTGCTTCTGCTCTTACTGCTACAGTTCTTGGCACCCTCAAGCAATAATGAAAGTGTGAGTGCATCTCTGGCTCATGCAGATGCTGTCAGGGCCACCTCCCACTCAAGCCCTTAGAAAATGACATCTTTTTTGGTCATGGAAGTTTCCAGTCCATGCAGCTTTGTCTCTCTCCTATGCAAATAATATTGCTCACAAAGAAAAGGAGCTTTCTCTGATTATCTATGGCTTCCCCAACATATCACCCCACATGCCATGTTGCTTCAGTAATGATGGTGTTTATTTTGCTCATGAATCTGCAGTTTGACTAGGGCTCGGTGGAAAGATCATCTCAGTTCCACTTGGTGTCAAAGGCAGGGGACTGAAATCATCTAAAAGCTCATGCACTCCCATCTTCCACAATTGATGCTGACTGAGAGCTGGAACCTTAGCTAGAGCCAGGACAAGAACACCTTTATGTGATCTTCACATGTAGCTGGTTGGTTACATGTGCATGGCATGGTTTTGGGCTCCAAGGGTGTGGGTGCCTACAAGAGAGAGAAAAGGCTATATTATCTCTTGTAACCTAGCCTCAGAAACCATACAATACCATTGCTCTGTATAATATTTGTTAGATGCAAGTAATTTCTAACTTCTAAGGCTGGAACATAATCAAGAGGAAGGAAATTAAAATCCACCTCTTGGTGGTAGGAGTGTCAAAAATTTATAGACATATTCCAAAACCAATGCATCCTTATACCTACCTCTACAAGTATGACATTACACAACATGGGCTAAAAACCTGCTTTGCCTGGCAGTAGCAGGTTTTGAGTCTCTATTATAATTTATTAATGAAATACTTCTTGCCATTTTTATTGGCAGTGTTTGCTTGCAGTCCGCTTGCCCTGGGACTCAGATGTAAATTTCTTCGTGCTCCATTGCGAAAATGACACTCTTCTGTATTCACAATTATACATTTATTTAGTAACCAAGGTTTCATTTGTGGACTGTATTATTAACCACTGTTGTGTAACAAACCATCTCCAAAGTCTCCCAATTCTGCAGAATGGCTAGTTCAGTTGATCTCTGCTCTGTCTTTCAATCTCCTGTAACCATGGGGCTAGTCAGGGCATGTTTAGCTCACAATGACGGTAGAAACATAGAGCAAGTGGAAGCAGAGGAGGCCTCTTGCCCTAGTCTCTGAATCAGCCCACTATGACTCCTACCCATATGCCATTGGCTAAAACAGATTCACGTGACTACTCCAAAGTCAAGAGTCAGGAAAATGTACTGCATCCATGAGGCCAGGGTATGTGTGTGGAGACAGGAAAGGGTGCAGGATAAAAGCCAATCATGCTGTCTCACCCATTAATCAATTTTGTGTATGTTGACTTTCTCTGGTCCTTAAGGCAGAGATTGCAAACATCACCACCCCTGACTCCTGCCTCAATGACAATTTTGGTGAAAGGATTCTGCATTCCTTATAGATGATTTGCAACACTCCTCAGAATGTTTCTCAGTATGGTAATATGTAGATTCACTGGTAATTGATAAGATCTGGTAAATGAAATAAACCACGTTTAGAGAAAATTCCATCCCAAGTGGCTCCTGTATTCCCAATTCAAAGTCCCAATCCCAACCATGCTAAGCTCTCCGGGCTTGCCTAGACATGTAGAGATGCTAAGGTGTGAACAACTGAGGCTGCCAATAGAAAGTGTGTTGAGAATGGTCTTTTGAATTATACACACCATTTTTGCTTACCTGTTCCTTCTTGAATAAGGGAGACCAAATTGGTATAATCATGCACACAAACCGTGAACTAAGGAAACATTGTTCTGAACTCTATGATTAGTCTATTTTCAAAAAGGTCTTTTAAAATCACCTTTCTTTATGTATGGGGAAAGGATGGAATCCCTCACATGCTAGAGGTTAGACTGAAAGTTCTGTGTCACATGTACACATATACATACACATCATATACACATAGGGAACTATTCGAATCAGGCACCCAGAGGTGATTACTGCTCTAAGAGTCACATTTTCCTATAAAGGAAGATAGTGATGAGGACACTAGAACATAATCCCTTGTTCCTTTTTAAAAAATTGTTATGGCCACTCAGAAGCTGTCATATACTAAGAAATTAGTATAGTTGTTATTATATTATAAAAAAATGAGAAACACTTTTCTATGTGTTGTAACCATTTAGAAGTAAACAATTTCCTTTGGGTGCATTAATAGCATCTTAGAATACAAAAGAAAAAATTAATTAATCAGAACATACTCCTGTAGAAGTGCCTCCCCTCCTCCTTGGTCCCCAGCCTTCCCTCTCCTT
This sequence comes from Homo sapiens, assembly GCF_000001405.40. Lineage (NCBI taxonomy): Eukaryota > Metazoa > Chordata > Mammalia > Primates > Hominidae > Homo > Homo sapiens. The sequence continues at coordinate 39,811,175 of NC_000020.11, read as the reverse complement.
CTCTGCTACGAGGCCAGCAGAGGTCAACAGGGCAGGGTTGGTGTAGGGAACCAACACCAGTGAAGATGAGAGGCAGAGCTATCAGGGAAGAGGGCAGGTAGGCTAGGTGCCTGCAGTCTGCAGAAGGCTGAGAGCAAGGATGCTTCTGAAGAAAGAAAAATAAAACCAATTCTGGAATCTGTATCCAAGCTGACAATGACCATACAGATTAATGTGTTCAACAGGGAGCTACTGACCTTCCAACCCTCTAGGCAAGCTTTCTTTTTTCTTTTCTTTTCTTTTCTTTTTTCTTTTTCTTTTTTTGCCTCTCCTCTTCACAGTGCAGGTCTGGCCTAGCCCACCAGCCCCAAAGCATGATAGTCATCTCTCAGGGGAGAATTGCTACCTTCTGAAGAAAGGCTGACAGTTTAGGATTGAAACATTAATAATGTCCCTAGGGCTAAAGCATTCCCTTTTCCAGGACAGACTGGATAACCCATCTAGATGGTGAGGGGTTTAGGGAGGCACATTGGACTGGTTCTTATCACAAAACATTCAGTGAAGAAGTTGCTAAGACACATCAGCCAATCCAGCCAAAGTGCTAATTGGTTTGCAATTCCCCTAATTAGTGTGTCATCTACCTGGACAGCTTAGCAGCTGGCTGGAAGCCCAGACCCTGCCCAGCCAAATTCACAGTTCCCAGAATTTGGAAGTGCAACAGCAGTGACAATTCCACACCTCATCCACACGTGGGCATGCCCACCCGCACATACACACCTTCTTGCTGAGATGTAAAGATAACAGGTTCTCACAATGTTGCTAACAATCTCATTAGGCTGTTTGATGTGAGGAGGAAGCAAGAGTGGTTCTAACTTTGCTCTAACACTTTGTGAACAGACTATAGAGTTGCTCAGATTAGCTTCATCATGAAGCAAAGACTGCAGTTATGAGTAAAAAGTGTAAAGAAGGCTTAAGGCTCTCAAATATCTCCTCCATCATAGCTAAGAGACACTACGACAAGCTATTAGCCCCTCAGGATTAAGCACCACCTTCTCTCTGCATCCCACATATTCTCTAAATAACTGGGACACTTCTTAGAGTTCCAGGCTTTTAAACTTGGGTGGCATAATGGCCTTTTTGAAGGGAAAAAAAATTACCTGTATGTCCAATGTTTATATAAATTATTTGTCATAATATAACTTCAAAGTATATAAAATAAAGCTCTATATTAACTGTTTATCTTCATGGTTCATGTATGACTATAGCAAAAAACACATTTACAACTTCAATGGAAACAAAACAATAATAACCATTCCATTTGAACTAACAATATCAATTCAGTGTGGCATCTTGTATTGTGTTCCTGAAATTAAATTGCCATTTGAAATCTGAACATGACACTGATAGCTATATTTTTACAGTATCTTTGCCGCCTGACAAGCCCATACTATGGTGCACTGTGCCATGATTCAATTCCTGTCCCCATCCCCTCACGCTGTTTGCCTGTTTGAACTGCTATGAAAGCTTTATTCATACAAATGAATTGAAGATATCCACTGACCTTCACTTAGAATGAACACCTCATTTATTCGGTAAGATCTCTTATCTTTTTTTTTAAATTATTTTGGTGGGGCAGGGTGCTGGGCTTCTTGCATTAAAACACAAATGCAAGTATAGTGAAATAAAAGTAAAACTAAGAGTAGTGATCTTTATGACCCAGAATATATTTGTATTACTGCTTTTTTCTATTATTACCAGAGCAATAAAGACACTGTTGGCCAAACAATTAACACTTACTCATTGTAGAAAATTGCACACCTCCCTTCTCTCTCTCCCAGAAGATTCCTTTACTCTGCATGTACATTGGCCCCCAGCAGTATTCCAGATGCCTCTCAATATTAGGGTGAATACATCTCAGATTAGCATTACAATTCTTGCTATATTTGTGCAGCTACAGTTTTTGTAAGTTTTTGTTTTGTTTTTTTTCCAAACGAAAGCTTTGCAAAGCCCTATGTTTATGTAACATAACCTAGGACAGGCTAAAGTTGTCAAAAAAATGAGACACTTTGAGACTTTGAAATGTCTAAATTCACCAATACATGCCTGGAAAATAAGGCAGTCAATATTTGGATCTTCTTCAATGTACAGAAAAGTCTAGAGAGGCTAAGCCCCTTGGGAGAAGCTGGGTGTTTGCTCTGAACAAGGGCCAAAACTAGGATAAGTAAGTCACTCAGCCAAAAAATTAAAGGAGTTGTCAAGAAACTCAGTAATCACGGTAAATAATAATTTAATACAATATATTTTTAGACATTAAAATTTATGCAAAAAAAATCCATGATGAAAATAATCAAAATTTTAAATAAAGACTGTTGATCTATTTAGCCATATTGAGCCTGAGGCAAAACATGTGTGTGTGTGTACATGCACACATTTCTATACATATTTTTATGTGTTTTCCTAGTGGTTTTTTGCAGAATATTAAAATAGTTGAAAAAATATTGAAAAATGAAATGTAAGTATTAAAATAAACATTATTCTCAGCTTAAGTATAGTATATATACCCAAATATATTTATGATCATTTTAATTTAGCTTCAGTTAATGAAAATGTATTCAAAATTGTCACTGGGTGAAGAGAAATTGTCAGTATGACAATTCTCTTCTTTGAAAATGAAACTAGCAATGAAGTAGATTTTGAAAATATTGTTGATGTGTTTACTTCCATTATAGCCAGAGTATACATTTTTCCTTCTGCCTCAGGCACCAATAAGGCTTGGCACAGCAGCACCCTGGCCAAGGCAGAGGGTAGATTTGAAGATTAATTGATGCCTGGAACAGAATAAATAGTTATTAAATATTAATTGTTATCATTGTTATCATAATCCCTTTTCATGCACTCCAAAGCAGAGCCAGGCCTTCTGGCTAACTGTGCCAAATTCAATTCTGAGAATTTGAGGGGAAGATGCGGGGAGCAAGCTTGACAATAATAATGACTTCTTAAAGTCTCCAAGTGCCACTGTGACCCATGGTGCTGGCATCCAATTTGCACTATCTCCATAACGACCTCAGGAGTAATGCGTGCCTCACTGCCCCCCTTCTCCTAGGGCCTTCTGCCCCCCTTGACCACTTGGGCAGAGGAAAATTTGAATCCTGTAGGAAAGAGGGGAAAATGGAAATAACAAAATGTTGCAATAGGATTTGGGTTAAAGTCCAGACAGTGTCCAAAATTTATACCCCTATGTTCACCCTTACATGAAAATGGGGATATTAAAACTTACTTCTTAGAGATGTTTGGAGAATTAAATGCCCTGAGTTTTATAGTGTCTGAAGCTGTACCCTGCACATGCTATGCCAGAAATAAATGTTTATTAATGGAAAAAGAAGGAAAGAAAGGATGTTTATCTATTTCTTATTACTGCATAATAAATTACCATAAGCTTTAATGGCTTCAAATAACACCATTTTTATCTCACAGTTCTATAAGTTTGGAAGTCCAGGTGGGCTCAACAGGTTTCTCTGCTGAGTATTTTGCAAAGCTCCAGTTATAGTGTCAGCTGGGCTGGGCTCTTATCTGGAGAAACTGGGGAAAAAACCTACATCAAAGCTCATTCAGACTGTTGAAAGAATCCATTTCTTCATTGCTATAGGACTGAGGTTCCTGTTTCCTCACTGGCTGTCAGATGGGGACCATTCAGCTTCTCATGTCTCATCATGCCCCTCCATCTTCAAAGCTACCATCAAATTTTATTATTATTATTATTAATTATTATTATTATTATTATACTTTAAGTTTTAGGTTATTACTCACAATAGCAAAGACTTGGAACTAACCCAAATGTCCAACAATGATAGGCTACCATCAAATTCTTATGATGAAAATCTCTCTGACACCCTCTGCAGTCCTCTTCTGTTACCAGCTGGAGAAAATCCTGTTTTGAAAGGGGCTCGTGAAACTAGATTAGGCAGATAATCTTTCTGTGTTAAAGTTAACTGTGCATTAAAATGTAAGATAATCATGGAGGTGATAGTTCATAGATTCCGGATATTAGGGTATGGAAACTTGGTGGCTGTTATTAAAATTATGCCTACCACCAGACAGAAGGACAAAGTTAAGAAAGAGTGAAATAGTAGCATGTTCTTCAAATAGGCTGGTTTCATGCAAGATATTTTCTCTTTCACTTAATCTTCATAACAGCATTACATGATAAGTAATGTGCCCATTTTATAGATGAGGAAACTTCAGCTACTGAACCTGTCTCCTAAAGTCTCAGTGTCAGCAAGTCTAATCCAAGACTCCACATTTGTATGTCAAAATAAGAGAAAAACAAATTTTATATAAAAATTATAAAGTAATTAAAGGCTTGATTTCTTTTAGGGAAAATGATATGATCATTGACAAGCTTATCCAAGACAACTATTCACCATATTACCCCCTGCTTCCATATTTCCACTTGTCTTCACTCAATTCTTGGTGATCTTGGGTCTACAGATTTTATGCACAATAAGCTATACCCTTCCCTGTGTCCTTCCAAAATGTTGCAAGGAACATACTGGTTAGATACCAGGCTTTTTACCCTAGCTAATATGGACCCATGTTGCTGTAACAATTGTTATGTTTTTAATTCCAATTGAGAGTTGTTCCTTTGCACATGACTTTGTTTTCTTTTTTTTTACTTTATTTAAATGAAGTTTATTAATAGTTGATTATCTGTACATAAGAAACTGCTACTAAAAGTTACACTGGCTTTCAAAACTCTGCAAAACCATTTATGCCATTAGAAATTATCTGAAAATATATTTTTTTCTTTTTTTTATTATACTTTAAGTTTTAGGGTACATGTGCACATTGTGCAGGTTAGTTACATACGTATACATGTGCCATGCTGGTGCGCTGCACCCACTAACTCGTCATCTAGCATTAGGTATATCTCCCGATGCTATCCCTCCCCCCTCCCCCCACCCCACCACAGTCCCCAGAGTGTAATATTCCCCTTCCTGTGTCCATGTGATCTCATTGTTCAATTCCCACCTATGAGTGAGAATACGCGGTGTTTGGTTTTTTGTTCTTGCGATAGTTTACTGAGAATGATGATTTCCAATTTCATCCATGTCCCTACAAAGGACATGAACTCATCATTTTTTATGGCTGCATAGTATTCCATGGTGTATATGTGCCACATTTTCTTAATCCAGTCTATCATTGTTGGACATTTGGGTTGGTTCCAAGTCTTTGCTATTGTGAATAATGCCGCAATAAACATACGTGTGCATGTGTCTTTATAGCAGCATGATTTATAGTCCTTTGGGTATATACCCAGTAAAGGGATGGCTGGGTCAAATGGTATTTCCAGTTCTACATCCCTGAGGAATCGCCACACTGACTTCCACAATGGTTGAACTAGTTTACAGTCCCACCAACAGTGTAAAAGTGTTCCTATTTCTCCACATCCTCTCCAGCACCTGTTGTTTCCTGACTTTTTAATGATTGCCATTCTAACTGGTGTGAGATGGTATCTCATTGTGGCTTTGATTTGCATTTCTCTGATGGCCAGTGATGATGAGCGTTTTTTCATGTGTTTTTTGGCTGCATAAATGTCTTCTTTTGAGAAGTGTCTGTTCATGTCCTTCACCCACTTTTTGATGGGGTTGTTTGTTTTTTTCTTGTAAATTTGTTTGAGTTCATTGTAGATTCTGGATATTAGCCCTTTGTCAGATGAGTAGGTTGCAAAAATTTTCTCCCATTTTGTAGGTTGCCTGTTCACTCTGATGGTAGTTTCTTTTGCTGTGCAGAAGCTCTTTAGTTTAATTAGATCCCATTTGTCAATTTTGTCTTTTGTTGCCATTGCTTTTGGTGTTTTAGACATGAAGTCCTTGCCCATGCCTATGTCCTGAATGGTAATGCCTAGGTTTTCTTCTAGGGTTTTTATGGTTTTAGGTCTAACGTTTAAGTCTTTAATCCATCTTGAATTGATTTTTCTATAAGGTGTAAGGAATGGATCCAGTTTCAGCTTTCTACATATGGCTAGCCAGTTTTCCCAGCACCATTTATTAAATAGGGAATCCTTTCCCCATTGCTTGTTTTTCTCAGGTTTGTCAAAGATCAGATAGTTGTAGATATGCGGCGTTATTTCTGAGGGCTCTGTTCTGTTCCATTGATCTATATCTCTGTTTTGGTACCAGTACCATGCTGTTTTGGTTACTGTAGCTTTGTAGTATAGTTTGAAGTCAGGTAGTGTGATGCCTCCAGCTTTGTTCTTTTGGCTTAGGATTGACTTGGTGATGCGGGCTCTTTTTTGGTTCCATATGAACTTTAAAGTAGTTTTTTCCAATTCTGTGAAGAAAGTCATTGGTAGCTTGATGGGGATGGCATTGAATCTGTAAATTACCTTGGGCAGTATGGCCATTTTCACGATATTGATTCTTCCTACCCATGAGCATGGAATGTTCTTCCATTTGTTTGTATCCTCTTTTATTTCATGGAGCAGTGGTTTGTAGTTCTCCTTGAAGAGGTCCTTCAACATCCCTTGTAAGTTGGATTACTAGGTATTTTATTCTCTTTGAAGCAATTGTGAATGGGAGTTCACTCATGATATGGATCTCTGTTTGTCTGTTGTTGGTGTTTAAGAATGCTTGTGATTTTGGTACATTGATTTTGTATCCTGAGACTTTGCTGAAGTTGCTTATCAGCTTAAGGAGATTTTGGGCTGAGACAATGGGGTTTTCTAGATATACAATCATGTCGTCTGCAAACAGGGACAATTTAACTTCCTCTTTTCCTAATTGAATACCCTTTATTTCCTTCTCCTGCCTAATTGCCCTGGCCAGAACTTCCAACAAATATGTTGAATAGGAGTGGTGAGAGAGGGCATCCCTGTCTTGTGCCAGTTTTCAAAGGGAATGCTTCCAGTTTTTGCCCATTCAGTATGATATTGGCTGTGGGTTTGTCATAGATAGCTCTTATTATTTTGAAATACGTCCCATCAATACCTAATTTATTGAGAGTTTTTAGCATGAAGGGTTGTTGAATTTTGTCAAAGGCTTTTTCTGCATCTATTGAGATAATCATGTGGTTTTTGTCTTTGGCTCTGTTTATATGCTGGATTACATTTATTGATTTGCATATATTGAACCAGCCTTGCATCCCAGGGATGAAGCCCACTTGATCATGATGGATAAGCTTTTTGATGTGCTGCTGGATTCATTTTGCCTGTATTTTATTGAGGATTTTTGCATCAATATTCATCAAGGATGTTGGTCTAAAATTCTCTTTTTTGGTTGTGTCTCTGCCTGGCTTTGGTATCAGAATGATGCTGGCCTCATAAAATGAGTTAGGGAGGATTCCCTCTTTTTCTATTGATTGGAATAGTTTCAGAAGGAATGGTACCAGTTCCTCCTTGTACCTCTGGTAGAATTCGGCTGTGAATCCATCTGGTCCTGGACTCTTTTTGGTTGGTAAGCTATTGATTATTGCCACAATTTCAGATCCTGTTATTGGTCTATTCAGAGATTCAACTTCTTCCTGGTTTAGTCTTGGGAGAGTGTATGTGTCCAGGAATTTATCCATTTCTTCTAGATGTTCTAGTTTATTTGCATAGAGGTGTTTGTAGTATTCTCTGATGGTAGTTTGTATTTGTGTGGGATCGGTGGTGATATCCCCTTTATCATTTTTTATTGCGTCTATTTGATTCTTCTCTCTTTTTTTCTTTATTAGTCTTGCTAGCGGTCTATCAATTTTGTTGATCCTTTCAAAACACCAGCTCCTGGATTCATTAATTTTTTGAAGGGTTTTTTGTGTCTCTATTTCCTTCAATTCTGCTCTGATTTTAGTTATTTCTTGCCTTCTGCTAGCTTTTGAATGTGTTTGCTCTTGCTTTTCTAGTTCTTTTAATTGTGATGTTAGGGTGTCAATTTTGGATCTTTCCTGCTTTCTCTTGTGGGCATTTAGTGCTATAAATTTCCCTCTACACACTGCTTTGAATGCGTCCCAGAGATTCTGGTATGTTATGTCTTTGTTCTCGTTGGTTTCAAAGAACATCTTTATTTCTGCCTTCATTTCGTTATGTACCCAGTAGTCATTCAGGAGCAGGTTGTTCAGTTTCCATGTAGTTGAGCGGTTTTGAGTGAGATTCTTAATCCTGAGTTCTAGTTTGATTGCACTGTGGTCTGAGAGATAGTTTGTTATAATTTCTGTTCTTTTACATTTGCTGAGGAGAGCTTTACTTCCAACTATGTGGTCAATTTTGGACTAGGTGTGGTGTGGTGCTGAAAAAAATGTATATTCTGTTGATTTGGGGTGGAGAGTTCTGTAGATATCTATTAGGTCCGCTTGGTGCAGAGCTGAGTTCAATTCCTGGGTATCCTTGTTGACTTTCTGTCTCGTTGATCTGTCTAATGTTGACAGTGGGGTGTTAAAGTCTCCCATTATTATTGCGTGGGAGTCTAAGTCTCTTTGTAGGTCACTCAGGACTTGCTTTATGAATCTTGGTGCTCCTGTATTGGGTGCATATATATTTAGGATAGTTAGCTCTTCTTGTTGAATTCCGGGAAGCTGGAACTGGGTGGAGCCCACCACAGCTCAAGGAGGCCTGCCTGCCTCTGTAGGCTCCGCCTCTGGGGGCAGGGCACAGACAAACAAAAAGACAGCAGTAACCTCTGCAGACTTAAATGTCCCTGTCTGACAGCTTTGAAGAGAACAGTGGTTCTCCCAGCACGTAGCTGGAGATCTGAGAACGGGCAGACTGCCTCCTCAAGTGGGTCCCTGACCCCTGACCCCCGAGCAGCCTAACTGGGAGGCACCCCCCAGCAGGGGCATACTGACACCTCACACGGCAGGGTACTCCAACAGACCTGCAGCTGAGGGTCCTCTCTGTTAGAAGGAAAACTAACAAACAGAAAGGACATCCACACCAAAAACCCATCTGTACATCACCATCATCAAAGACCAAAAGTAGATAAAACCACAAAGATGGGGAAAAAACAGAACAGAAAAACTGGAAACTCTAAAAAGCAGAGCGCCTCTCCTCCTCCAAAGGAACGCAGTTCCTCACCAGCAACGGAACAAAGCTGGATGGAGAATGACTTTGACGAGCTGAGAGAAGAAGGCTTCAGACGATCAAATTACTCTGAGCTACGGGAGGACATTCAAACCAAAGGCGAAGAAGTTGAAAACTTTGAAAAAAAATTAGAAGAATGTATAACTAGAATAACCAATACAGAGAAGTGCTTAAAGGAGCTGAAAACCAAGGCTCGAGAACTACATGAAGAATGCAGAAGCCTCAGGAGCCGATGCGATCAACTGGAAGAAAGGGGATCAGCGATGGAAGATGAAATGAATGAAATGAAGCGAGAAGGGAAGTTTAGGGAAAAAAGAATAAAAAGAAATGAGCAAAGCCTCCAAGAAATATGGGACTATGTGAAAAGACCAAATCTACGTCTGATTGGTGTACCTGAAAGTGATGGGGAGAATGGAAACAAATTGGAAAACACTCTGCAGGATATTATCCAGGAGAACTTCCCCCATCTAGCAAGGCAGGCCAACGTTAAGATTCAGGAAATACAGAGAACGCCACAAAGATACTCCTCGAGAAGAGCAACTCCAAGACACATAATTGTCAGATTCACCAAAGTTGAAATGAAGGAAAAAATGTTAAGGGCAGCCAGAGAGAAAGGTCGGGTTACCCTCAAAGGGAAGCCCATCAGACTTTGTTTTCTAATTCTGCAGTTTGGAAGATATAGTTCTGGTGCCTAAATACTGGAAATTCAGGAATTTGCTAAAGTTCTGTGGGAGAATGTTTTGAGAAAATTTAAGTGCATGATCATTGGATTACCTACTCTACTACAGACTTTATATGAGCCTCAGAAGATTTGTCTGTGAATACCACAGCCATAGCCTTGATCCTCATCGAGTTGGGAGTTTCATGAGATTGTGGAACTATACCTTGGTTCCTTTTCCATAAGATGGGACCAAGAAATATTTAAAACTAAAAACAGATGTCACCTCACCCAAGGGCTTTCCCTAAAAGATAAAATTAATGGATGGTGTAGTGATCAGTACTGTGGGTCCTAGTAGTCTAACTTAGGCCACTTAATATAATCTGTATTTAAAACTAAATTTGATATGAACTTTGGAGTCTTTAAAAACTATTTTTCTATTTAACCTTTTTGTCTCTGTTTTATCCTTGTTTTATAGTTGTAATTCTTTCTGAAAAGTTCTAAATTATTCTGGAGAACCAAAAGGAAGCAGGATTTTTCCCCCTTTTAAGTCAGGATAGACAGGGAAGCAATATGACTCTAGATAATTAACTTGGGAGTTCTGGCTGTCCTTGGGAGAGGGCCAGTGTCCCAGGAGGAAAGCCAGATGGGGTCAGAGACCTCAAACTGACAGATGTGGCAGTGGAGGGTTCCAGGAAGAAAGATCAGAGCTTGCCCAGAAAAGAGAGCCACTTGCCCAGATGCAAAACCCCAGAGGACTGAAGGTAAAGGCTTGTGCAGTATTTTGGCTGAGTCATGGGAGAAACTAGTCAGCAGCTAAGGTCAAGTTTAGGACAAAGAAACGCTGCACAAGGAGGCTGAGAAAGAAGAAACAGGATAGGGGAGAAGATGTCTGTAGGACCCTGAGGAGTAAGTAGTATCTATGTAATGCTTTTATTTAACCCTTTTTGTGGTCCTACCATGTATATAGAAATGTAACAATATATCCATATCTTGAAATTCAAAGAATTCTAGGAGCAGCAAATAAATTTGCCCCATTGTTTTTGTGTTATGGAGAAATAAAAACTAAAATTTGAAGAACAGAGAGTAAGACGAAACTGTCTGTGAAAACTGTCCAATCTTTCTCAAGTGTGTCATCACAATGTTAAGTTTCTTCTGGGTAACTTGCTGACCCAGAAGCAAAGGATAGTCTCAGGTATGACTCAGTCCTCTATGTCCGAGACAGCTGACACCCACTCACTTGAGAGAGGATGGAAGGCTTTATCCTGGAGACTTGTCTCATTTATGTAAGGGGTTTTGGACCACAGTTTATGTATTCTGATGATGTTTACAAAGTGCCTTTGTCTATGCTAATTTTTAAAAGACCTATTTAAATTACAATTCATATAAAGTTTATTGAATAGCACAATTTACCATGTTTGCCTGCTTTCTTCTTTAAAACAATGATGTTGCTTGTAATATTTTTATAATAACACTAAGCAACTAACGAGAACAACTCACACAAAATAATACCTTCTTTGGACCAGACTGACCTAAGCAATGAGGACACAGATGGAAAAGACATGTCAGAATTCCAACTAATAAATATAGAAGGAAAGATGAGATTAGAAAATCACCACTTGGCAACCACAAGAGTAATAATTGTTTCAGGCAAGGATCATCAATGGATGCTAAAATTAGTAGGTGAAAGTACTATGAGAAACAAGATATTTGCATAGTCTCAAAGTATTTCCCCACAAGATACTAATTAATTGCAAAGAGAAAAATAGTAACTTCACAGTGGAGAAGCCTGGCAGACACTCTTTTAATGAAGCAATTATAGTTAACATCACAAAAAAACAGGACAAATCAACATCATGTGCCTCATGATATGATGCACCGAGAAGGATACAGCATGACTTCTGTGGTTTTTCTGCCAAAGTTGCATGGTCTGAATATAATTATGAGGAAACCTCAGACAAACCCAAATTAAGAGACATTCTACTAAATACCCGGTCTCTCCTTTTCAAATGTGCCAAGTTTATAAAAGACAAAGAAAGGCTGAGGAACTGTTCCAGATTCAAGAGTAACAAAAGGACATGATGGATTAGACAGACATGGCAACTAAATACAACCTGTGAGTGTGGATAAGATCCTGGACTTGGAACCTTGGATTTAGTGGGACAACTAGTAAACTTTGAATAAGGCCTCTATTGACTAGTTAATAGTACTGAATCAATGTTAATTTCTTGATTTCGATCATTTAACTGTGATTACATAAGAAGATGCCCTTGATTTTAGGAAATTCGTACTGAAACATCTAGAGGTAAAGGAGTATCATGTGCAACCTTCATTTAAACATTTCATAATAAAGTGTGTATGTGTGTCTGTGTGTGTGTCTGTGTGTGTGTAGATAGGTGATAGGTAGATAGAAAGATAGAACGGTAAGCAAATGTAGTACATTTTTAAAATTTGCAGACAATCTAAGTAAAGGTCATATACTCTTTTAAATTTTTTCTATAATTCTGAAATTATTTTAAAACAAAAAGTGAACGATAATAACACATAGATAAAAAGAAAAAAAGACAGTCTCTGCCATCAAGGAGCTCACAGCCTCATGAAAACAGATGGGCAAGTCACCATAAAGACATAAATGTAGCTGAGCAAACTACAGAGTGTTATAAGGGCATGGAGGATAGGATATAATTTCTAGAAGTAAAAGAGAATAAAAATTGTCTAGGAAAGACAGTAAGTTTGAGTTAAGCAAATTCATTGTCTTCCTAGCCTTTAATAAATTATTTAGGCTCATAATTCTGAAAAGTCAAGTCAGTTGTTCTGTGTTGATACAAGAAAGGCTTTCGTTCATAGAACAATTTGTCTAAACCATCCACACATTCATCCATCCATTAACATGGCTGTAATACTGTAATATAATGAGAAATATATATTTGGTCTCTGCCTCCAGTTCATAGCACGGAACTCCTAAAACCCTTGTCATTTCCTGAGTAATAAGAGTCTTTTCTGTTCTGAGGCATCTCTTGGTGTGCTCTTGGATAGTGACTGGGCACCAGGAAGACCAAGCCATCATTATGAGCTTGGAGCTTTCAGCTCCACTCCCTTCCTCTGAGAAAGGGAGTGGAGCTGCAGATTTAGTTAATAATATACTATGCCTAACATGATGAAGCCTACGTAAAATCCCCAAGCTATAGGAGAGCTTCTGTATGGCTGAAAGCATGGAGATTTCCTGGAGGAAGTTCAATGCCTATTCTTTCTTCATCTGGGTGTTTATTTGCATCCTTTGTAATACCTCTTCTAAGAAATCAATGAGTGTAAATAAAGCACTTTCCTGAGTTCTGTGAGCCACTCTAGCAAATGATGGAAGCCGAGGAGAGAGTTGTGGAAATCTCCCCTGTATAGCTAGTCAGCCTGATGTTCCTGAGGCCTGAGTTTGTTATTGGCATCTGAAGTTTGGTCGGGGGTGGGGGGGTCAGAGCAGTCCTGTGGGACTGATCCCTTAACCTATGGGATCTGAGTCTAACTAAATGTAGATAGTCAGAATTTAATTAAATTTCGGGACACCTAGTGGGTGTTCTGCCAGAGGATTAATGTGTGGGTAAAAATTTACATGTTTGATGTTAGAAGTGTTCTGTGTACTGCGTTGAGTATGAGAGTAAGAAACATGATTTGTTTTTTCCTATCTCACACAACGGTCATCTCTCTACCCTTGACTTCTCTAGAGTGTCAGCACAAATTAAACAGTTTTACTCTTTGTACTCAAGCTACAGTTACACTGAGCATCTCTGTTTGCTCACAAAGATCCAAGTACTTTTTATACCCCCCTGTTAATTGCTTTGAGGATCACCAGAGGGACAAGATTCCATGAATGGATCCTCAGCCTTATTTAAATTTATTCTGACAAATCCAGAAATGTATCCACTTCTCTCTAGGTAGGCAGAAGTAGATACCTGCTAGGTATTGAGGCAGGTGTTTATGTAAGTAGAGGAAAGAGTTTCCAATCACTTCCATTGACTGCACTGAGGTAAGGGGATATTAGTAGCTCTGGCTATTGGAGCAAGGGATGGATTCTCAGGGGCCAAGGAAGAAGTGAGATTTTGGCAGCTGACAAGGAAGTCTTCCCAAGGTGATGGTACCTGGGCCAGAATAGGAAGCCCCTGGCAAGTTTGAGCTACTGAGAATTCAAAATATCTTCTTATCCTCAACTCCAATAATGCTATTTCACCTCTTCCAGAATCATTGGCTTTGACTGAATTAGTAAATTAATTGACTTCTGAATTCACATCATACATGACCTGGCAAACAAGATTTGGAATCCAAATAGAATCAGATTCTTCCTGATTCTTCCTGACCGATCTCCAGTCAGTTCCAGGATGAGACCCTTCAATCCCATCACTGGGGCCTTCCATAAACATTTATCTATGACGAAGTTGTGAGTGCTTTCATCTGACATGGCATCCATGTTGTACTTAAAACTAAATTCCTAAGAAAATGTTCCTCTTTACTCATTCAGTATCTATTCACTCAATAAGAACTGACTGAATGTCTCTGAAGAACCAGGGGCCAATTGCGAACCTATTGACATGTCATCATAGCTGAAAAAAAGCTGAATTGAAAGTCAGAAGGTCTAGTATGTGCTCCACTTATGTCACCATGTATGTATAGGTAAATGGCTTCTCCTCTCTGGCCTTTGGTTATTTCAGCAGTAAAGTGAGAATGCTTTAACAATCTCCTTAGTACCTTCCAGCATTGTAGTGTCAATAGCCAGGACTAATTGTCCACCTGAAACCTCAAAGGATTATGACTGTACACTGAAAAACTCATTCAAGGACACACATACTAATGATGAGAGGGGATAGACACTGTTGCAAGATTACTTAGTACAAGTAGGAGTGTGATTTCCCCAAAGGTAGGGAAAGAGTCTCACAAAGGAGGTTATAAAAAAGATAAGCTTTGAGATAAAATAGAACCTGACCATGTCAGAAAGAAGGGAGGATCTTCTCAGATGAGAAAGTGATTGTCTCTTCTAATACCTGGACAGGACAGGTGCAGACGAAAGTGAAAAATGGGAATGAAACATCTACCAGAGTTTCCTTGCAATGAATGAATTTAGCCTTTAAAAAATTTACAAGGGAAACTTGTGAAATACCCATTCTTTATAAAGCAAATGACATTTTCATTGACTTGGGAAAAAGACTGAGACATGACTTGTAAGATATTTCCCAGGTCTAAGACGCCATGATAAAACTCATCAAGCAATCATGTTGTTTAATACCAGACTCACTGTTCCAGAGGGAGAAGTATTTTCTTTGAAGACACTTAGAATGTTTAGACATTTGATCTGTCTCCTTTTCCAAATGTGACAAGATTTTGAGTTATTGCCTCATGAAGGAACTGGAAAACACCCTGAGATGCTGTTTATTTCTCAACTGCTTTGCTGGAAGCTGCTGTTTTAAATTCTAAACAGCTTAGTAAAACTTTCCAACAATTTCAGCGTTTTCTAAATTCGAGAGGCCATCTTTACAGCTTTTGAAGAAAGTCCAGGAGTATTGTCACTAAGCAATTTCAGGCAGAAACCTAATTTTAACAGATGAAATAATAACAAGTGGAGTGATGTCATTTAATATTCCCTAACAACTCAGTGTGCATGTGACTAACACCCCATTACCTCACCAGCTGATTCAGAGAGATAGGTTTACATTATACAGGAAGGTCCATCCAAATGTCTATCTCAGCCACTTTGCCTTCAGTCAATGGAGAAACTGACTGATTCAGATAATGCATTGAACTCAAGACTGTGAGTATTTAGGGGTCCATATGGTTTTGGTCTAGGATAGTGGGAGGAAGTCAGTGAGCAAAAGCATGGTGGTAGGCTTACATCTGTGGCCTTTACTTCCTTAAAACCAAGTGTTTGCCAGACAGACCTGGAGCCAAGCCAAAGGCTTCCCAATGCTTGTGGCAACATCACTTCATTCTCACCACCATCCAAAGTAGACAGGATGGTTTCCATTTTTTTTTTTTTTTTTTTTCAAAAGAAACCAAGGTTCAGAGAGGTGAAATGACTTGCCTTAAGCTCACTTCTTGCAGAGCTGGGATATGAGCCGAGGTCAAACTCCAAAGTTCTTCTAGAAACCCATGCTGCCACACTTTAGAGAGTGGCTGTCCTTTGCCTGGGCTCAGGTTGAGACCTTGTCTCTTTCAAACCTGATTTCCACTCCTCCCCTCCCCTCTAGTCACCCCTACTACTCTCCTTGGCTGTTGGCAACAGACTCATCTCCTTCCATTTCAGGCCATAGCTTATGTACCTGTCCACTCTTTCTTGGCCTCATGATATGACATGTCTAGAAAGCAGAAATGCAAGTAAGCTTTTAATGGCTGATCTTGGCAACAGATCCATCACAGAATCAGTCCAGAAGCAGCCCATGCAAATTAATAGCTGAAACAGACAGCCCAGCAGGGATTGACCAATGTGCTTGCTGAGGAGGATCTTGCTTTTCAGTAGACTTCTCCCTCCTGTTCCAAATGTCATTATTGGCACAGAAGGAAATGGGGTATAAAGGTTTGCATTGTGACTGAGATTTGGCAGGGCCTGAATTCCTTGAGTTAAATATTCAGATGCCCCAGAATTCCCCTCCTGTTGCAGAGCTGATGGTTCTTTTCCTCTATATTAAAGGCCATATTAGGCACCTGGTAATACTGTACACCACTATAGGGGAATAGAACGATCTTTCCCTTTTTCCTGTTCATAGGAGACAGTGCAGGTGCTCACGAAACTTCTGCCATAACATCAGCCATGTTTTTGCTGTCCCCAGTGTATGAGATATAAACCCTTAAGCCCAATAAAAAGTATTTAACAAACACCTCCATCTCCCTCGCCCGTGCCATCATAGCCAATCCATTGTATATAAAGCCCTGTGGATTTTACCTCCCAAATTTCTCTTGAATCCACCTACTCTTCCCCATTTTCATTGTCATTGACCTATTTCCAACCATCATTATCTATATACTGGTTGGCACAATTATCTGCTAGTTGGTCTCTTTGCCTTTACTCAGCTCCTGCAATGATCCATTCATTGCCCAGTGAGCTTCTCAAAATGAACATTCTCATTTTGCCTTCTTGATTTTGGCATTTTGATTATTCCACATTGATGTCAATATAAAAAAGAAGTAAACCCAGTAATGTGGCCTGCCTGGACCCACAATGTACAAGCTCTGCCTACCCTTCTGACTATCAGACACTGCACTTGTCCACACTCCCTTAGAACCAGGCACACCGCCCACCAAACTGTCTCTGACTCCAAGCCTTTGCATATACTCTTCCCTCTGCCTGGAATAACTTCTGCACTTTGGTGAGTTCTCAGCTCAAATACCACTTCCTCAGAGAAGCCTCCCCCAACTCCACACCACTGGCCATGTCATGTTCCCCATTCTGTTTACTCCTTATACTTTGAGTCTCTCTTTCTTTGTAGCCATGACAGTTATAGTTTTAATTCTTATTGTGATTATTTCTTTGATTTTTTGTTTCCCTTGCCAAGCAGTTAACTTTTGAGTTTAGAAACACTTTTTTTTTCTAACTATTGAATTCCTTGTGCTGTGGAAGATTGTGAGATGTCTTACAAAATTAATCTCTTCAAGTTACTTTTAAATGTTTGTTTGCATAAATCAATGCAAAGAAGACTCTCAAAAGTGTTGCTAGCTTAATACCACTGTTCTCACAGACAGACTTGGTTAATTACAAGCTTAGGGAAGCCTTAGTCAATGGGCTAATTAATACAAGATAGATGAACACACTTCACCTCTTATGACAGCCATTGTTTCAATTGTAAGTGAATAAATGTAATTTTCTACAACAAACACTCCAGCAAATATAATTTTCAATGACTGACACTTAAGTCTGAAGGCTGTCAATATTCTTTGTAGATACATTAAAACAAATTCCTAAATGTTATAGGAAAGCTCTTTGTACATTTTAGTAAACTCAGTTAGACGAAAACATAGCATTGACAGGATACAGACTAAGTATAGATTTAACTTCAAATAAAGATGCACTGATATGTAAATATTTTTTAATCTTCTTTCTTATCTTTCTTAAAACATGTAAAGCAGCATGTTGGATTCTCAAAACATTTGTGTATCAACTACTTCCCTGAAATATCCTCCTTTCTATACTACTTAGACCTGTGGCATATGGGTTTTAACTATACTTTTGACAAATATTGAATAACTTCATTTGATGTTTTAATAATGTATGTCCACAGAGCCTAACATGGCATTGGCCACTTGGTTGGTGCTTAATAAATATGACTGAATGAATGAATGACCAACCAAGCTATGGAGTGACCTAGATGGGGCAGGATGAGATAGGGTTCTGCATTGATTTCCATGCCTTTCCTCTGGTGCAGTTTCTCAATGTGGCACTATTGACATTTGGGGCTGGCTAAGACTTTTCTGTGTGAGGGGCTGACCTCTGTGTTATAGAATGTCTAGCAGCTCCCCTAGCCTCCACTCACTTGATGCTAGTAGCACCCGCCACCCCAGTGGTGGCAAAACATGTCTCCAGGCATTGCCAAATGTTCTCTGGGGCTCATTTGAGACCACTTATCTAGAGCTGTAGATGAATAGTAATTACATGGGCAATGCTCACAAATTTCTCAAAGTGGTGAAGAATAAGAGGATAGAATATATTCATGACCTGTCCTCTTGGCACAGTGGAAAATTCAGAGACTTTGGAGTGAGAAAGACTCCCGTTTGTATCCTAGATCTGCCTACCTATGTCCTGGCTATGTGATACTAGGCAACTTACTCAACCATCCAAAGCTCTCTGTCTATAAAATAGAGAGAACAGTAGGATGGTTATAAAAAGTACATGAGCCAATACACATGAAGCAATTACAGTATCTGATGCAAAGTAAGTACTCAATAGGCCAGTGGTTACTGTCAGTGTTATTGCTGATATTACTGCCAGCTACCTCCACCCTGCCTTCCTTGCTTGAAAGCTGTTGTGCTCCACCCTTTCCCAATCTCTTCCTCTGACTGACTCCTAGAGCCATCATATATATGCTTTCTGGAACATTTTATGTTACTTTCCTGAGCATTTAACAATAAGGCTGTACAATAATATGCCAGCTTTGGTGCCCTGGAACACTGTTGTCTTACCTCTGGTCATCGCTTCTGACAAAGAGCTGTGTCTTCAGTGTGCCGTCTCTTGCTAAGAGGTCTTATTGTAACAGGCATCCTCAGCCTTGGCTCAGGACACAGCAATTCAGTATAGGCAGCAGGCTGCAGATGTCATTGAGCCAAGTGCTTTTCTCCCCAAACACTGTACAGCCAGGTTGCTTGATTACTGTCATTTGCACAGAGGTGTAGGCATGAAGAAAATTCACAGAATAAGCTCAGAATGTCACAGGCTAGGGGAAGAGAATTTCCTTCAATGAAGGTTCTCAATGGATTGGAGATGCAGAGAACAGAGACAGGCAACTTAATCCAGCCTGATCCAGGGTATCCTGCTGTCTGTACAGTCTCTGCGCTTCTCCAGCTCTGACTGGAAGCTGCGCTGGCTCCTCTCTACTGAAACATCTCATGGGAATGAAGGAAGCATCCTAGGATAAAAAACCTAAAACCTGTAGGTACTTACAGGTACCAGAATGGTAAATAGCTGCCACATCCCTCTGTCATCAAAATCTGAAGCATCTTTGAATGATACATTAAATCCACATAGGTTTTTTTTTTAATTTTGATTTTTTTATTTCAATAGGTTTTTGGGAAACAGGTGGCATTTGGTTACTGAGTTCTTTAGTGGTGATTTATGAGATTTTGGTGCACTCATCACCTGAGCAGTGTACACTGTACCCAATGTGTAGTCTTTTATCCGTCACCACCCCCTGCCCTTTCCCCCACGGGTCCTCAAACACTAATGTATCATTCTTATACCTTTGCATTTTCATAGCTTAACTCCCACATGTGAGTGAGAACATACAATCACATAGATTGTTTTGCTTATGATTTTTCATTTTGTCTGTTTAAAGAGTGGGACTGTCACATTTCTCATTGCTTTTCTAAACCAAACTTAACTTAAGCTTACAGATGAGTCGCATTATTTCCTCTTTATCTCATGTGCTAAATGTGGTGGGCCTGCTTTCATTTAGAATTCACTAATTCATAATTTGTGAGTGTGGAACAGAAACAGGGTTTAGGTTGACCTCAGGTCTACGTGAGAAATGTTTTTTGGGAAATTGATATTTTGGCAAGCATATGTAAATAAATAAGTATAAATTGCTTCCATTCTGCTGAAGACACTATTTACATACAATAAATAGGAAATTATCTTTGTGTATTAAAGGAAGCTGTCCAACAGAAATATAATGAAAGTCACATATGTACTTTTATTTATTTATTTATTTATTTATTTTTGAAACAGAGTCTCGCTCAGTTGCCTAAGCTATAGCGCAGTGGCATGATCTTGGCTCACTGCAACCTCCGCCTCCCAGGAACAAGTGAGCACATCCTGTTAATTTTTGCATTTTTAGTAGAGACGGGGTTTCACCATGTTGGCGAGGCTGGTCTCGAACTCCTGACCTCAAGTGATCCTCCCACCTTGCCCTTACAGTGCTGGGATTACAGGCATGAGCCACCACACCTGGCTGAATATGTAATTTTAAATGTTATGGTGGCCGTATTTAAAAAGTGAAAAGTGAATACAATTAATTATAGTAGCATCGTTTATAATTATAGTAGCATCATTTATTTAACCCAATATAGGCAAAATATTATGTCAACAAGAAACCAATACAAAAATTATCAATGACACATTTTCTGTTATTTTTCTCAAACTCCTTCTTTGAAATCTGGTGTGCGTTTTACACTTACAGCAGATTTCAATTCAGACTAGAGACATTTCAAGTGCTTGCTAGCCACATATGACTGGTGACTACAACACTGGATGGTCCAATGCTAGAAGACTTCATCCCTTTTCCCTTCTTCCTCTGTTCTTCCTGTTCATGAAGTCATCAGCATTATAGAACTTTGTGTTGCTATTGTTTATTTACAAAGATAATATTTACAAAGATAACAAATATTCACTCTAGTACGTTATCTTCTTTGTCTAGAATCCCCACTGGGAATTAGCTATTATGTGTATTGGTTCACATTTTCCAACTCCAAAATACAAGGTCAGGGGCTGTCAAGTTCAAGTGAAAACGAAATTTTAAGACTGAATTTTTGAACAGAAACACATCATGGAAATTCTGGAACATTCAGTTAACTGCTATATGGCCTTTAGGGTTTACAGAGTAGAAGCTGAAGGTCTGCCACACTGAGTTTTAGCAAAGCTTTGAACATATACAGCCTGAAATTTTGGCCTACTTGGTCTTGCATTTCAGGAGCTCTGTGTACGGAGGCCACTCACAAGCCCAGCATCGTTGTCCACACTGGCCCATCAGATCAAAGCACTAACCTGTTTTGAAGGAGCAGATGCATGAGCACCCAGAAATCGAGCAACACAGAGCTTAATTGTGTGCCCTTGGCAAAGCCCATGAAAATATTTAATTCATGAAATGTATTTTTGTGAATTTGATTCCATTTGCAACTTTCTTGTTGACCACTGTATAGAGGTAACTAAACCACAGAAAATAAAAAAGTCTTCATGTGAAAACTCAGCCTTCTGAGATAAAACTGGTCTTCAATCAATCATTTCCAATAATGAGGAAGATTCATGTGTACTAATAGGGTAAGGTGCTTGAGATATCATCAGGAAGAGCTTCACTTGTATTCACTGAACCTTCTTAACAGTCCTAGGGCTTGGGTACCGCAGTTTCATTTTAGAGATGAGGAAACCAAGACATAGAAAGATTGAGTCAAAGACCCAAGGGCACACAGCTGGCCAGCATTAGAATCAGAATGTGGTTTGGCAACTCAGTGACGGTAACCTGATTCTGGTGTTCTCACACCACCCAAAGGCCTGTGGGCAGCAGGTGCCTGCACCCTGAATCCTCAACACAACAGTCCCTTGAATTAGGCAAGATGCGGTTTTTTTAAGGGAATAAAATTTCTGCTCCATCCTACCTGAGGATAGGTGGTAGCCAGAGTTGACAATCTACTAAAGTTGCCTACAAAATAAGGCTGTCAACTTGTTGAAGTGCAAGCCAGGAAGAACAGAATGCCCAGGGAAGGCCAAAGTGGGTGTTTTCAGCACATTGTCACCATTCTAATGACTACAAGTTTTGTTTTAAAGAGAATTTGGGCTGCAAAAAGTGTTACTGCCAACAGGCTGCAATTTTAATGATCTAGCTTTAATTGTGAAAATGAATCTTATGCTTATGAGAAGTGTGGAATCCATCAACAGACTGAGTGAATTATCTTGAGTGCTGCCTGTCTAATCGTGTTGCTTGTCTGTAATCTGCTTAGTATTGAATTATTTTTTAAAAATGTAATTATCATTTCTATTGTTATTATTATCCCTATAGGTCTTCAGGTTACAAACAATAACAAACACCACCAAAGGTAATGACTGATAATGAATTATTAAAGTCTTTTTCCTGTTCTTAACTAATTTCATAATGTTATCCTTAGAAACATCACCAGTCATCACATATCAGCCCTGAGTGAATTTTGATGTAAAGTGTCTTATCCATCCTTTAATTCAGATATGCTTTTGAAAATTTAAAAACCAATGCAGTGAACAAATTTTAAAGATTATCTCTCCCCAAAGCATTTCCTCTTAAACTGTAAGATTTAGAAATTTGGGGAAAATAAAGTCAAGTTAGTCATTGTGATAACGTTACCTTCCCTCACCACTCCCTCCCTTTTTCTTGCTGAATGTAACAACTCTTATGCTTTGAAAATTCTCTGTTAAAGCAATTTTTTCAGAATAATGGATTTTTCTTTTGCACAAATCACTTGAGTTTAAGCACTTTGGCCTGTCTACAAGTACTCTGCAACCCCCCAATTGTTTCTTGATGAACCCATTATATTTCTATTTAACTCTAAGCAAATTGCTTCTTTCGCCACTCAAAGATGTATTTTATCAAAATATCTGGCTGCATCTGAAATACATCAGTATTGTGATTTGTTTGAGCATGTCATTTTCCTCTCTGTGCCTTTCTTTTCTAATTTGTAAAATGGGGATAATAATTCATATTCTGCAAAATTGCTGAGGCAATTATGGAAGATGATGGGTATGTTTAGCACAAATCACAAATGGTTTCTTTCTTTCACCAGGACAGGCTTCAGAAAAATGGAAAATTGATCTAACAAGGAAGAAGTATTATGAAGCAATGTTAAAAAGAAATTGGTAAATGCAATGGCAAATCTTTTAAAATTGCTCTAAAATGTAATAATTGTAATAATAACAATGCCTTATTTAGTGGACAGCAGATCATAGGGTAAATAAGATACTAGAAGCTGTAGCATGAAAATGGAAAGTGGGTAAAACCAAGTTAAAGAATTTTAAGGTTTTTTGGAAGCTAAGAAAGAGACAGGTTGCTTAATTTAAGACTTTGTTAAGATGATTATGCACATAAAAAAACTTTAATGATAACTACTAAAATAGTAGGCAATATATAACTTCCCGACAAAGAAAAACAAACACGAAAACATAAAATAAGCTGGATCATCTGAAGAGAAAACAGGAAATAGGATGGGGTGTGGAGTGAACAAAGAAAATACATGGTAAATAGAAAGCACAGAGGAGGCATGTTCAAATCTGTCAGACAAATACATTTTAAACATTTACCTATTACACATAAGTAAGTAATGTGTGTGGTAAATCTTAGAAATACATTTATACAGTCAGGAAAGACAAATAAGAATTGTAGAATACAAGTTACCTTTGGATTTGAGAAGAGATTGATTGAAAAAAACAAAAGCTTGAAGAAATGAAACTAGAAATTATTCTATCAATCAATCAGCTGGAAACATCAGGATGTAGAATTACATGACACCTGTCATCCCTTCGCTGATACTTTCAAGTTGGTTAACATGGGACCCAACAGACCCATAGGACAGAATTTTAGCCTTGCTTATGAGTAAAGTTCAGACCCATGTAGACATGTCTGATGGATTGCTTGGAACTGGCTTCTGGCTGACTATTAACATTCTACTTTAAGGTAATAATTGCCAACAGAGAAAACCCTTCAAAGAGAGTTGCTGCTTTTCCTAAGGGTTTCCAAGGATCCAAAAACCTTCGGAAGTTCCAAGGATCAAGTCCCAGGATCTAAGGTGAAACTTCATATTCTGCTCTTTTTAAAACTCATGTCTTTTTTCACTAAGGACCAGCTGTTGATCAGGCCCACAGGGCTTGACTCCTCTCTTTTATGTTGGAGAAGTTTGTTTTCCTTTTGCCCTTCATTATTGTTTGCTGAAATCTAGGTCCCAACCTCTCATCCACTATTCTAATTCCATGACTCTGACTCTGCCTTGAGGCCCACACCTCATTTCTGATAGCTGCCAATGACAGGGGTATTGGCTTTAGTTAGTGTCCCATTTTCCCTTTGTGATGTCCCACAAAATGCTACTCTCTAATTTGAGTCCATCTCAAACCCAAAAGTGTTCCAGGGCCAGGCAGACAGAATAACTGGGTGAAGCAGGCTGAGTGGAAGGGGTTGAGAGGTGGGCAGCTGGTAGTTCATCTTGGACAGATTTTTATCGTTAGTGAATAGGGCATGTGATATGGTTTGGCTGTGTCCCCACCCAAATCTCATCTTGAATTGTAGCTTCCATAATTCCCACATGTGGTAGGAAGGACCCAGTGAGAGATAACTGAATCATGGGGGCTGTGTCCCCCATACTGTTCTCTTGGTAGTGAGTAAGTCTCATGAGATCTGATGGTTTTATAAGGGATTTCCCCTTTGGCTTAGCCCTCATTTTCTCTCTTGTCTCCCTCCATGTAAGACATGCCTTTTGCCTTCTGCCATGATTGTGAGGCCTCCACAGCCACATGGAACTGTGAGTCCACTAAACCTCTTTTTCTTTATAAATTACTCAGACTTGGGTATGTCTTTATCAGCAGCTTAAAAATGGAATCATACAACATTAAATAAATGAGGGGGAGAGAAAAGTGGGGACACTGATTATCAAGATGGCTGAGATATCCCAAGAGGCTACAATCAACCTTTGACTTCTCTTGGGTATACGCCTAAGAGTGGGGTATACGCCTAAGAGTGAAATTGCTGAGTTATGTGGTTAACCCATGTTTAACATTTTATGGAACTGCCAGACTCTCTTCCAAAATAGCTGCACCATTTTATATTCCCATCAGCCATGTATGAGGGTTCCAATTTCTCTACATTCTCAGCAGCACTTGTTTGTCTGTCTTTTTTATTATAGCCATCCTCGTGGGTGTGAAGGGGTATCTCACTGTGGTTTTGATTTGCATTTCCTTAATGACTAGTGATGCTGAATGTTTTTTTCATGTGCCCAATGGCTAATGTAAGCTTTTTAATATTGGATATAGATGTTTTCTATGAAAAGGGACATTTCTTTCCTCAGGGGGCCCACATGTCTGCCCAGGGGTATGACGTTCATTCAAAGCTTTGAGACTCACCAGTTACTCATTTCCATACTTACAGGCTGGAAAGGACAGATTCCCAAGCAAGAGGCAGAAGGCCAGAGATTTATGCCTCGTTCTCTCTTTTCTCCCTTTCCTGTCAAATGCAGCTGGACCTTTCCTGGAACAAATTCCTTCAGACAAATTCTCCACCAGACCATCAACTCAGGAGGGCAAACAAGGAACTTGTTTTCAAGAGCTGGAGCCAAACCACCCAGAGTTTCCTGTGCCAGGTGAGCATGAAGAGGGGCCGAAGTCACCCATTACTAACCCCTCACCCATGACTGCCTGAAAGGTATGTCTCAGGCTTTAACCATGAAACCTGTTTCCTCTCTCCCCTCCAAAGTCCAGCCCAGAGAGGCATGATAAAATCACTTAGCAAATGGAAAATATTTTGTGCTTATTCTAAGAAATGTGATCCATCAAAAATGAGCTGACAAGTCATTTCATTTCCAAGGACAGTGTCCACATACTCCAGGCAGCCTCTGGACCTGGAATAAGACACATCTAAGCCACAGGCCAGTAAGGACCATACAGCTATAACGTTATGAGTGATTCTGTAGCATGGTTTTAAGGCACCAGCTGCACAGTCAGACTGCCTGGTTTCAGCCCAGCTCCCTCATTTGCTAGCTGTGAAAACTGGGTGAATTGCTTAAGCAACCCTTAATGACATTTTGTTGTTTTAAAAACGGCAATAATAATAATACTCCCTTCTTCATATGATTGTTTTGAGATTTGGATAAGGCAATAGGTGCTTTATTCGATAAGGACCCTAGAACATACAAATCTATTTTAAAAATGCTATTAATATGGTTTTGCCCTAAAAAGGCAGGTTCTTCTGTTTCTCAAATCTGACAAAGTTTTGTCAGACTCTTGAATTCTCATTAATAGTTCCAACACAGACTATTAATGCTGTTAGTTTTGACCAAATACATGACTCATGAATTAACTAACTCTTACTTGGTAATCTGAAGGAATCAATAAAATCCACACTTAATTCCCCCTAAATCAACTGAACAACTATGGACTATGGAATTGGGGAGATCTGTCTAAATGGCAGCAATATCAACTACGAAAAATATTTATTTAGAGTCTGGGTAGGTACCAAGTTCAATGAACTGCTTAGAGAGTCTGTGTTGCTTTGGTGACTGTTCTAGGCAGTGCTAATTTTGCTACAATTTCCTTTCTTAAGTAAGTCACAACCAGAATAAAAACAAAGTTCTAGAAATCCCATATTTTTACAAACTGGATTGATGAAACCAGTTTTTAAAATATCAGAGGACCAGACTGAAAAAGAAACCAGGTGTAGCAAAAGGCAACTCTTCTGGAAACTGAAAATTCAAAGAAACATGGTAATCTCACTGTATTAATTTTCTTTTCCTCTTGTAACAAATTACCACAAGCTTAGTGGCTTAAAACAACACAAATTTATATCCTACAGTTTGTGGAGAAGTATGAAGTGGGTCTTCCAGGGCTAAAATCAGTGCTGGTAGAGAGGGGGTACAGAGAATCTGTTCCTATTCTTTTCAGCTTCTAGAGAAAGCCTGGGTTCCTTGGCTCAAAGTTTCTTCCAGCAGGGGCATCTCTCTGACCTCTGTTTCCACTGCCTCAGCTCCTACTCTCACTCGAACCCTCCTGCATCCCTCTTATAGGAACCCTTGTGATTACACTGAGCCTTCTCAATCAATGCAGGATAATCTTCTATCTATCTCAAGACCCGTAATGTAATCACATCTGCAAAGTCCCTTTTGCCATTTGAGGTAACAAATCCATAGGCTCCAAGAATTAAGATATGGACATCTTTTAGGGGACCATTCTTCTGACTACCATACTCCCCTAGCTGAAGAATTATTGTGTGAAACAGGGATAAAGGCAGAACTAATATAAATGAGTCAAAGTGGCCAGGAGGTGAAATTTGGCTCCAAACAGAAGAATCTCAATAATGATAAGAGGTGAGTGAAAAAGGACAGGAGCTTTTGAGGAGGATGTGGGCTCTTTATCACTAGGGCTGAGCCTCTCTTTCTAAACATTCACTCCCTCTGCCCATGTTGGGGTTTTGATTGCATGGCATTTGAGGGTCTTTCCAATTTTAAGCTTCCAGGTCTTTGAAAATTTGGAAGGTGTGTCAGTCAGTGTATAGGCTAGGCTATGCTGGGTAACAACCAATCCCCCAAATCTCAGTGATTTCAATCAACACATCCATTGTTGGACTGCATTAGCTCTGGTCGTTGTGGTCCTCTAGGGACTAAAGAGACACCACCACTGCAGACATAGCTAGCCACAGTGCCAGCAGGATAGAGAGTTCTGGAGGGTCTAGAAAGAGCAACTGATACCCTGGTCCACAAGGGTCACACAACACTTACACTAACAGCTCCTCAGTCAGAACTAGTCACAAGTCTCTGGCCAACTAAAAGGAAGACCAGGATAAAGAGCCAATCTGGAAGGCAAAGAAACAGAAATATTGACGAGTGCAAATAGTGACTGTGACAGGAAACAATTGACCCTCTCCATCAATCAATTCACAGATTTTAGTCATAAAAGGAGTCATAAAACTCTTTTGACCCCTAAAGAGTTTTTCTAAACAGGGTGACGGTCAATCGATTATCCTAGGCTCACTGATGCAACAAGATTGTCTTAAGCATGTTCTTCTTTCTTGATTTTAGCTCCATGGTTAGGGTTTCACTTTCAAAAGATTAATAATAAGGTGATAATGATGATGATAATGATGATGATGATGGTAATGCATGCTTTTTGAAAATCACAGTGTACTGAGCATTGTACTCAGCATTTTCCACATTTATTTTTTGAATCTCAGGCATAGAGGCATGAGTGAATCACACTTCTGATTTCATAGCATACTTCTATTGTAAGACTCATACAAAGACTCTCTCATGGTGTATTTTATTCATGTGTCCCCTCTCCTCATTTTATCAACCATAATGTCTTTGATATGATACCTTAATATTTTGTATATTTTTGCAAATTGTATAGTGTTGTTGTTATGTAGGTATTTTTAATTCTATAAAAGTATATTCATGTATACTGGTTCTGTTTATTTCTTCCTTACATTCGGATCTTACTGCATTTATGAGTATATGTCTCACGTAGTTAATGTCTTATAACAGTAACGTAATATTCCATACTGTGTGTCCATTATAGTTCCCTTAGCTTTTCCCCTGCAATGGAACATCTAGGTTGTCTAATGTTCCCTGATACTTTAAACCAGGGGTCAGCAAACATTTTTTATAAAGAGTGACACAGTAAATATATTTGGCTTTGGGGGTTCTGAAGTCTTGGTTTTAAGGATTTTGCTGCTGTTATACCATAAAAGCAGCCATAGACAGTGCACAAATACATGCCTGTGGACATATTTGGCCCATTGGTCATATTTGACAATCCCTAGTTCAAACACCATGGTGATGAATATCCTCTATGTGTTCCCTTATGAAATTGGGGCTAGATGTTCTCTCAAATATACTGTACAAACAAGAGTGAGATTGCAGCATCATAAGATATGCCCAAACATCATTAGACTAAGTATTTCTGGTTGCATCAGCCTGTTCTCTTAACAACAGTTAATAAAAATAAGAGCCCTCAGAAATAACGCCGCATATCTACAACTATCTGATCTTTGACAAACCTGAGAAAAACAAGCAATGGGGAAAGGATTCCCTATTTAATAAATGGTGCTGGGAAAACTGGCTAGCCATATGTAGAAAGCTGAAACTGGATCCCTTCCTTACACCTTATACAAAAATCAATTCAAGATGGATTAAAGACTTAAACATTAGACCTAAAACCATAAAAACCCTAGAAGAAAACCTAGGCATTACCATTCAGGACATAGGCATGGGCAAGGACTTCATGTCTAAAACACCAAAAGCAATGGAAACAAAAGCCAAAATTGACAAATGGGATCTAATTTAACTAAAGAGCTTCTGCACAGCAAAAGAAACTACCATCAGAGTGAACAGGCAACCTACAAAATGGGAGAAAATTTTCGCAACCTACTCATCTGACAAAGGGCTAATATCCAGACTCTACAATGAACTCAAACAAATTTACAAGGAAAAAACAAACAACCCCATCAAAAAGTGGGTGAAGGACATGAACAGACACTTCTCAAAAGAAGACATTTATGCAGCCAAAAAACACATGAAAAAATGCTCACCATCACTGGCCATCAGAGAAATGCAAATCAAAACCACAATGAGATACCATCTCACACCAGTTAGAATGGCAATCATTAAAAAGTCAGGAAACAACAGGTGCTGGAGAGGATGTGGAAAAATAGGAACACTTTTACACTGTTGGTGGGACTGTAAACTAGTTCAACCATTGTGGAAGTCAGTGTGGTGATTCCTCAGGGATCTAGAACTAGAAATACCATTTGACCCAGCCATCCCTTTACTGGGTATATACCCAAAGGACTATAAATCATGCTGCTATAAAGACACATGCACACGTATGTTTATTGCGGCACTATTCACAATAGCAAAGACTTGGAACCAACCCAACTGTCCAACAATGATAGACTGGATTAAGAAAATGTGGCACATATACACCATGGAATACTATGCAGCCATAAAAAATGATGAGTTCATGTCTTTGTAGGGACATGGATGAAATTGGAAATCATCATTCTCAGTAAACTAAACTATCGCAAGAACAAAAAACCAAACACCGCATATTCTCACTCATAGGTGGGAACTGAACAATGAGATCACATGGACACAGGAAGGGGAACATCACACTCTGGGGACTGTGGTGGGGTGGGGGGAGGGGGGAGGGATAGCATTGGGAGATATACCTAATGCTAGATGACGAGTTAGTGGGTGCAGCGCACCAGCATGGCACATGTATACATAAGTAACTAACCTGCACAATGTGCACATGTACCCTAAAACTTAAAGTATAATAATAAAAGAAAAAAAAGAAAATATTATGATCATCTTCTATAGAAGGAAAATTTTAGTATAAAATTTAAAGATGCTTACCACTAAATAAATATATTCTATAAAATTTAAAAAAATAAAAAATAAAAAGTAAAAGATTATTGTTTGCCCATATTCCTCCCAACATTATACAACTATTTTAGCTTTTGCCAATTTGATGGCATAAAGTAATATTGCATTTTTCCACTCATATTTCTGTTTACTAATGAGTTTCAGTATCTTTTTATTTATTTATTGGTCACTAGGACTACCTTGTCTGTGTATTGCCTACTCATACATTTTCCCTTCATTCTATTTCTATGACTTTTGGGTGTTTCTTATACATTATAGATATTCGTCCTTTGCTAATTTTAAAATTTGCAAATAACTTGCAAGTAATTTCTGCCAATCTGTCAACTGTTTATTAACCATGTCTATGGTATTTATGATCAGGGATTCTTAACTTTGACAACATATGATTTGTGATATTTGAGACTTTTTTAAGAAATCCTTCTGTGCTCCTAATCTTAATAATATTTTCTTTGTTTAAACTTCAAGTTTCATGTTTTACACTTTGGACTTTAATCCATCTGGACACCCTTTTATTTGTAGTAAAAGGATTTCCATTGTCATCCACGTGGTAAGTCAAATTTCTCAGCACCATCAGTTAAAACTTACAGATAAAATGTTATCCACTTATTTTTGTTGTCATCTTTTATATATATATATATATATATATATCACCTGCTCAGGTATGCATATAACTCCCTGAGAATGTTCCTTTCTGTTCCACTGATGTGTTTATTCATTTTGGGGGCCACTGCCATACTGTTTTCACTTCTATGACTTTGTAATATATCTTAACATTTAGTGCAGTACATTGCTCTTTTTTGTTCTTCTTTTCCAAAATTGACCTATTTATGGGCTTTTATATTTTTATATCATATACATTTGTGTGCATTTTTCTAGTCTCTAGATATTTTTAAATCTGTCTGAAATTTAGGTTGTCACTGCATTAAGTTCATAGTTTACTTTGAAGATAATTGGTAACTTTAAATATTAAGACATCTCATTCATAAGCATGGAATATCTTTAAAATTATCAGATGGTTTTTTATGTCCTTTATTAGAGTTTTGACACTTTCCCCCATAGGCTTTATATATTATTTGTTAAGACAATTCCTAGACATTTTAGAGTTCTCATTGCTATTTGAAATAGACTTTCTTTTTCTAGCTGATTTTTGCTGGTATAGTGACTTGCTATCGTTTTGTGGGTTTATTCTGTTTTTCTCATATTTGAATCCTCACCTTATGAGAATAGTACTGTTATCTCATTTTATAGGTGAAGAAGTTAA
Organism: Homo sapiens; assembly: GCF_000001405.40. NCBI lineage: Eukaryota > Metazoa > Chordata > Mammalia > Primates > Hominidae > Homo > Homo sapiens. The sequence continues at coordinate 39,779,663 of NC_000020.11, read as the reverse complement.
GAAATTTTCCCAAGATCATTTAGTTAATAAGGAGTGCAGCTAGTGTACAATGCAAATCAGTGTTTCCTATCGCAGGGAGTTTTGGTTGTGTGGAAGGGTAAATAGTGACTGTACACTTAAAACTCTCTTGTACTTGAAGAAGTGCTCAGTTTACAAAATGAAAACTCCACATGCAAATATTTTTCTTTGGCTATTCCTCTACTGACGCCTGCTGACTCCCAGGAACATGGCTAATGCAAGACATGCTGTCCATGGCCCTGCAAATAACAGTACAAAGAGAGAAAAAACACTTCCTTTCCCAATGGGCCATTCTAACACATTCTTCTACCAAGTTGAAACCGGCCCTGTCAAGGCAGCATGATGCTCTGAATAAGGCTTCCCCAGGCTCCCTGGTCGGCTGGCACCTCCTGTCATTTCCCTTGTCATTTTTGCTGAAGCCTAGCCCCAGCCCCCACATTAGCTCCCACTTGGAAGTCTCCTGTCTGGAGCCAGTGAGGTTTGTCTGCTTTCTTGGGTTTGGCTAATAAATTGGGATTGTGGGGTCAGGCAGCAGGGGAACTGGCACCCAGGGAGCCCCTGACACCAATTTTATTAGATTTCTCTTTGCAAGGCCCAGGATGCCATCCCAGCAGGGAGTCCACAGTTGCTCAGTAACCAAGATTTTGTCGTCTCTTGTTTGACAAGGTCATTTTTTACTAGAGGAGGAAAAATCCCACATTAATTATACAAGCAAACTGGGGCCAAGGCCATTAGAGCTGGCCTCCCTCTTCTGTGAGGTGGGGGGAGAAGAGGAGGTTGGTTTCCTCTGTAAGTGGAGAGGAGAGCTGGGAGAGGAGTCTGGACTTCTCAGACCCTCAGTCTCTGAACTGCATATGTGCTGTCTAATTCCTGGTACTCACTAGAATGTATGTTTATCTAAAATAGACTGCAAAGGGACTGAGCAAAGCAACATACAAAGTTATTCCCCACTCATTCATTCTGTCAATATGCTTTTATAAGTCACCTATTAGGCACCAAACACAGAGCTAGGCATTGAGAAAAAAATAGGAAAGAAACGTCATAGCTGCCTTCTTAGTGGTTTTCTCAGTATCGCATGAGGGCTGGTTCTCAATACCCCAGGATTATGCCAAAAAGGTGAGCACACCATCACTCTTTTTCTGAAAGTTGGAAAATGCTTCCATCCTCCTTGGTAAACTCTCATGCCAACTCAGTCCATCCTGAACCATCATGCCATCGTATCATTTTGACATATGATTGTTGTTTTCATTGAATAGGCCGGAGTAACTACGAATTTGAAGCCTACATTTGTTTTCTAAAAACATGATAACAACTGCTTGACTCATAAAGATGGAAACAGAAAATAGAGGCTTTTATTTCAGAGATGGTACTGCTTTGTCCGGGAATCACAGTGAAAGATTCAATTAATCTATGAGCATGTATATCAATGTTTATTGGAATGAAGTGGACAGGTTTCCTGTATCCCTTACCTACATATCTCCATTCACCATCTTACTCTATGATTTACTTTATAATTGGAGCCAGTCCCTCATCTTCCGTCTTCTTTCACAGCTCAGCTAGGCTTTCTGATCTGAAGTCTCTGGGAAGCTCGTGTTTTCCTGTGTGCAGATGCTCCAGTAGCTACAACCTTCACACACTGGTTGTCTTCCACCTCCTGAAAAATTTACCTTGATACACTAGATTACTTCATGTCTTCTCAATAAAAAAGCCTCTCTTCTGCCTGTTTCTATCTCCTGCTAGACTTCCTCCTCCTGAGGTGAAACTCATTATGTTTTGTACCACCTTCTCCTCCTGAATCTAAACCCATCATGTTTTCTACCACTTCCTCCTTCTGAGTCTAAACCCATCATGTTTTCTGTCACTGTTCCCAAAGCACTCTTGACACAGAGCAGTAAAACAGCACTGGCAAAGAGCATGTTCCCCACAGCATCTGCAGAAAAATGTTCCAGAACCTCAGTATGACACCATGGCTCTAGGATCTGAGTTTGTTTCCAAATTCTGCCACTTCTGAACTGGATGACAATTAGCAAGTAACTTAATCTCTCTGAATGTTTTAATCTTTATCTACAAAGTGTAGATGGAAATAAAACCTCTCATAAGGAGGCTGTGAGGCCTAAGTGAGATGTAAAATGGTGACTTATTGTCATCAATAGTATTGTTACACTAAAAAGCCCTCTTCCTCTCTTGCTTTCAGCAGATAACCTGAGAACCTGCATTTATACGAAGGTAAAGGCCATCTGGTATGAATGGAGCATCTCCGTCTTCTCTCATTCTCAATGTTCATGGAGGTATCCCCTCACTATCACAATTTCTCTACATTGTCACCATTTTTCTTTCTTCTGGCTTGGTATTTTTTTTCTTCTTTTTGCTTTAAGGCCTCCCCAGTTAGCTTCCTGTCTACATCTCCAGGTCTGCCTGGAACTCTTTTGTGAACATTCCATAAAGCCATTGCTCACACACTTCCCCAGCCTCAAATGTCACCTCACTCTCTTGCTTTCCTTAGTTATACTTTTCAATCCATTTGAATTCTTCCAAAAAGGCTTTGTCTGCTGAACCTTCCTGTATTATCCATCACTGTGTACCAAATTACCACAAATATAATGGACTAACACAACATGCATTTATCATCTTGTAATTTCTGTGGGTCAGCAACGAGGGCACAGTTTACATGGGCTGTCTGGTTCAGGGTGTCTCAAAGTATAACTGAAACCGTCAGCCAGGGTTGAGGTCTCATCTGAAGGCTGCACTGTGAAGGATCTGCTTCTAACCTCATGGAGTTGATGGCGAAACTCAGTTCTTTAATGGCTGTGGGGCTGAGAGCCTCAGTTTCTCCTTGGCTGTAGTCTGCCCTCATTTCCTTGCCAGGTAGGCCTTCCCAACATGGATGCTTGCTTCTTCAAAGCCAGTGAGAGTCTACTAACAAGATGGAATTCACAACTTTACATAACCTAACCATAGACGTGGCAGCCTATAAGTATTGCTGTATTGTATTGGCTAGAGGAAAGTCACAGGTTCTGCCCACACTCAAGGGGAGAAGGTTACATAATGACGTGAATACCAGGAGGTGGGGATCATAGTGCCCTCTTAGAAGCTGCCCACCATATCCTTTTTGTTAAATTATTTCCTTAATCCATAAGCTATTTTTAACTACTCCATAATAGCATATGGAAGAAACTGAAAGAGTGATAAGATACGGCCATTTCTCTTCAGTTATAAAGGAAATGGACAATGCAAGGAAGTATGAGGTAAAAATCTCTAAACTTGCTGCAAAGTGTTCATCCCCTCAGTTCAGAGGAGAGAGAGAAGACCTGAGGTTGGGGTTCTTGTGAAAAGCTTAATGAAGGCAGCAACATTGGAAACTGTAGGTGATACTTGGAGGACAGGCAGAACTCAAAAGAGCAAAATTGGTAGATAGGGAAGAGGCACATTCTAGGTGATGGCAAATCCAAGAGAGATGAAGGTGTAGGAGATGGGCAGAAAATAGAAACTATTAGATTGCTGCAAAAGTCATTGTGGTTTTTGACATTGAAATTAAAGGCAAAAACCACAATGACTTTTGCACCAACCTAATGGTTTACTGTACTATAAACCCCCATAAATAATGGAAAGCAAAGGTGAAAACAAGAACAGGTCAAAATGGGTGGCTGGAGATGCTGTGGCCATCAGAATCAGCCAGACAAAGACCAGGACTGTCTTATCTTCTCTATCCTGAGCTCTCAGTACAAGTGCTGGATACACCTGAACAAATAAACCAACTGGGAAATGCATTTTGAAATCAGGATTACTAACCAAGAGGATTGCAATTGTCCTGTAAGAGGGAATCACTGGGACAACATTGGGCCACTGCAAACTAAATCTGTGACTCAGTTTCCTATTCTGAAAGTGAGAAAAATAATAGAGCCTATCTGACAGGGTTATTGGAAGAACTGAATGAGGTAGGACTTTAAAAGTGTTTGGATAAGGCCTTACATGAAGTAAGTTCAAAATAGCTGTTAACTATTATTTATTATTGTTATTCATAATCTACTTCACCTGGGTTTGCCGTCTTTGGCTCACAGCCTGGAGTTTCTTTGCTGTTCTCTGTCTTTCCTGGCTCAGAAACACAGTGAGTTTCTCTTTCCTGCTGACCCTGGGATACCCCCCAAGGCTTCTCTGAAGGTCCTGCCTTTGTGCCTGAGTCTCTGCTTCTGATGTGGTTCTGCAGAAGCAAACTAGAGCATCCCCAGCCTCGTGGACACCTCCATGCTGAGCTCAGCGCTGAGCTTTGAGGGTGAGTGACTGACTCCCTGGTCGGCACTTTTATTGTGGTTTCCTGATTGGTTCAGGATGGCTGGGCCTTTGCTACCCCATCCCCAAGTGGATTTCCAGTCCTGCCAGAGGCCAAAAGGAGAGTGACTTAGTCATTAGCTCCTCTGGCAACAGCCTCTGGCAGCAGTTCAAGGCAGCTTAGAAAACAGGGCAACAAGTGGCTGCAATATGTATTTCAAAAGCCTAGCACACAAGAAAAGGAAATGAAAACCAGAAAAAGCAGGGATAGTAATGTCTGAACCTGGAGGCACATCCAGACATGATTGGGCATTGCAGACCATGCTCCCAGGCCCTGGAAGTAAGGGATATGGAAGGGTTGTACCAGTAAGGAGCTGGGTCTGAATGGCAAGGCTGAGGCCCAAAGCCTCTCTTCCCTTCTGACATGTGCAAGGCATTAATGAATGAAGACCCTTTGTGCATCCTAGAAAATGATGTCCAGGTACACCTGGCTTAGGGTTTGTGTCCAGAGCACAAGAAGGGTTCCCTATTCTGTGCCAGTCCCTTGCAGAATTCATCTGATTCAAGCATGTTCAGATTTAGGGCTTTGCTGACCAGAATCTTTAGAATTCAGCCTCTACCAGAGAATGGATACACAGGGAGCAATGATGAATAAGCGAGGGTCTCTTCCATCGATTCCATCTTAGGTCATCTAACTCTTACAACACAAAGTGGGTGTTTTTATTGACTCCATTTCACATATGTTGGTGGAAACTAAGGCACAGAGATGTTGCATAACTATTGAATTAATGTCTTTCTTATTTGTCTTCTGCCTATCTAATCAGAACAGAAGTTTCTTGAGGACTGAGACTGTCTTTCTTTTTCATCACTTTATTGCAGGTGTCTAAAACGGTCCCTGGAATGGATCAGATGCTTAAAAAAACAGACTTAATGAGTGAACTTTACCAAAGATCAGAGATTTTGAACAATGCACCCCCAACTCTTAGTATCTACACTAAGTGTTCTCTGATTGGGTGTGATCTGATGAAGATTGTAGTGTTGGCAGGGTCTGGGGCAAGAGAGGAGGGGGAATGTGGTACACGATCACATTTACCAGTTAACGCTCAACTTCAGGAGCTCATAAGAAAGCCTTTATAAAAAGTGAGATGATGGTGTTTACAGTTTGAATGTGGGAATGATCCATCCTTCCTTGAGGACATGACCTTCCTTGGGTTGATCTTAGAACTAAGGGAGATGGTTCCTGCCCATCACTCCAGCCTAATTTTGTACCACCATCACTTCCTGCCTGCCTGCCTTATTTTCCTTCTCATGTTCTAGTGTCAAAGATTTGGGTGGGTAAAGAATAAGATGTGGGGGTAAAATCTAAGCATATCAAAACAATAGTTACTGACTTCAGACACTCTTCTTTACCTCATGCTATTCTTTTTGCTTCCTCTAGAAAAAGGCCAATATTTGGGAGCCTCAAGCCCCTCCCAGTTGTGCTAAAAGGACTCCAACTTTACAGCCAACAACATTTATTGCAGGGAAAATGACTAATGGGAAATACAACTGAGGCCAAATCCTAAAAGCCAAAGCTGGTTCTCACTCAAGAAAAATAAACAAATCACATTAGGCAGGGCACAACCCTGAAAACAAACTTTCATGAGAAAGAAGTTGTCAGTGGGTAAATAGTATAAGGCCTCCTGCAATGAAAGCCTCATCTGATCTTCATAAGGGTTTGTCTTTCTCCGCAGAGAGGCTACCGAGTTCCATTCTCAGTGTCTAGATCTTGGGGTACACACATATGCCACCTAGAGGGCAGGGTGATCCTTCAAGAAAGGGAAACAGTGCTGCCTTCTCTACAAAGCTGGATGGTGGCATGGATCAGGTCTGAGAGCACATGAGGGGCCCTGAATTCTCCCAGCACTCTCTGTTGCAGGTGATGGAAATTCAACTCAGTGAAGCTGCGACAGACCTCGCCTTTGCGACACTCATGTCTCTTCACCCTCACCTCAGTCCACACTAGCCCAACTTAAATTGGCCAGCCCTGCATTTCGTTGCCTGAGGGCTTCCTCTGGTTCTACGAGCCCATGCTGCCACCCACCCACAAGGCAGCCAGAACTTCCAGGAATTGATGTCTCCTGGGATCACAACTCAATAACTGACTAAAGGGCATAGTACATAGATACCCCCAACCCCTCTCTCCACAGGTGGGATAATCTGCAGACACATTTTTATACTGGCTCCTAAGGTTTCCCAAAGAGATTACGCTCCAATTATGTATTGTGGTTACTGCCTGGATAAGAAGACTTTTAGTGACTGTCTTCTGTTCCTTGTTTTGCTTCTCTTCTTTCATACTATTATATCCTAGTATTATCTCTAAGATAAAGAACTTGCACTTAAATCCTTGTCTCAAGGTCTGCTTCTGGGGAAACCAAACTGAGATACTGGTTTAAGAACATAATGGAATTGTTTGGCCTATATAACAAGGAAGTTCATGTTAGTTTCAGGAATGGCTCAATTGAGATTCTCAAGTATATTTGTTATCTTTCAAGTGTGGCTCAGTCCAGACCCTTTACCATCATCATCTTCACCATGAAACTAGAAGAGATGCTCACTGTTAGCCCCCGACATATTTTTATAGCTCAGCAAACCAAAACAAAGTATTTCTATAAAAATATATATTACATATTTTTAATAATATATATATTTCTATGCTAGACATAGAAATATAGATATATAGAAATATATAAAATATTTATTTTTATAGAAATACTGTTATATAAAAGTATTTTATATATAAAAACAAAGTATTTGAATATACATTATGTATTTTAATATATGATATATATTTCTATATAATATATAATTATATATAATATACAGAAATATATAGAATACATGTAGAAATATATAGATAATATATATATTTTCTATATATAATATGTAAATAATATATAGAGAAAATAGAAAATATGTATTTTCTCTATATATATTCTATATATATTTCTCTATATATTCTAACATATAAATATAATTTAAATATTAATAAATATATAGAGAGAAAAGTGTATATTTCTATAGATAAAATATTTTTATCTATAAAATATGTGTATTATATATAGAAAAGATATATATCTCTATATAAATATTTTTATGTGCCTGCATATATATATGCATCATTTCCAGAGAAGAATTTTGGTGGGTTCTGTGGTTATCTGTCCATCCTGCTGCAAGGGAGTGGAAGAATGACATCAATAGTCCCATGAAAAATATTTGCAATAAGGGGAAATGGTTTCACCTAGGAAATTTCAAACTAACTAACTGCAAATAAACAAAAAAGTAATACAACCAGCAAGATTTTATCCACCAAGGTCTTTGTCATGATCTTGTGAAAAGAAGCCTAGGTTGTTAACATAATGGCCTTTATTTACACTCCTTTACCTTCATTTCACCAAGCTCAAAGCAAATACTGCTAATCATTCATGATACTCCCTGTTTAGCCCAGATGTGCCTTCAAAACATTCCCAGCAGTGCCCAGCCATCTCCTTACCTCTCAAACCATCTATCTTCCATTAGTCCCAACACAGCTATCAGATCCACACTCTGCTGATGTCTTACATTCTCAGCCTCCCTTTTCCACGTGTGGTCCTCACCTAGAATGGGTAGATGACACAGCAACTTACATAATGTAGTTAAGGGACAGTGAAATAGTCTTGTGAAGCCCCAATATCACTTTCATTGTCTGTCATTTTGCTTCCATCTCTCCAATTAAATTGGCTATTTAAAAATGGGGTTAAATGGAATTCAAATCCTGGTTCTTGCATTGAAGTCTCATTGAATTTAAAAAGTCATTTAGCCTCTTCGACCTTACTTATTTTAAAATGTGAGTAATAATCTCAGTCATCTTCCCTGATGCCCCCCTACTTGGAGTATCTCAGTATCTTGGGAAAATTCCAAGGTAATCATTCTTGGTTCTTTATTACACGAATATACATAATATAGAATGCAGATAATGGGTACATGTGCTACCTCTTCCATCTGCTCTCCATGATTGACACGGCTGATCAATAATAACACCCTCTCTTAATGAATTCAAAGAAATGCTCATATTTTTCTCAGCATAGGTTCTTGCCTCAGTACTAGAGAAAGATTAGTCGTAGAATAAACAATGTTCTGGTCTCCCCTAACAAATCTTAAAACACAAAATTCTAGAGAACCAGTTTTCAAGTAACCTTATTCAGAACAAAGGTTAAGAACATGCACACACACACACATGCAAGCATCAAACATCCAAAAATGCAAACTTCACAATATCTGGTACACAATCAAGAATTACCAAGTATGCAAACAAAAACTAAAATAATAAGAAAAAAATCAATAAATTAAAACTTCCCAGTATCAGCACAGATATTAAAATTAGTAAGCAAGGACATTGGATGTATAATTTTTCTCATATGTTTAAAAATTAAGTAGAGACAGGACAAATATAAATATAAACCAAAATATTATTGGTAAAATGTAAAATGTTTGAGAGAAAGATCTATGATGTATGTAGCTTAGATATAACTGGAAGAAACATTAGTAAACTTGAAGACATGGTAATAGAAATGATGCAAAATCAAATACTTTAAAAAAGTAAAAAAGAAATGGAGAAAAGCATTAGTGATCTATAGGACGATTTTAAGAGATCTAATATACACTAAATTGGAATACCCAAAAGAGGAGAAGAAAACAAAAATTGAGGAAACAGTTGCCCAAATGTTTCCAAGTTAGATTAAAACTATAAATATGTAGATTTGAAAAGCCCTATAAACACCAAACATAGAAAACTAACCCAAAGCAGAGCATAACCAAATTTCTCAAAACAAGTGATGAGTACAAACTTTCAAAATAGACAAAGAAAAAGGACATGTTAAACACAGAAGAGCAAGTTTAGGGATAACAGTGAACTTTATGTCAGAAACCAGAAAAACAAAAGACAGTGCAACAATCTTTTAAAGTAATAAAAGGGGTAAAAAACTGTCAATGTAGAATTCTATACCCAGCAAGAGTATTTTTCAAATATGAAAGCAAACTAAAGTTTTTTTCAGACATAGAAACACTGAAATAATTTACCACCTACAGATGGTAAAGTTACACCACAAGACACAATAAAGGAAATACTTCAGGCTGAAGGAAAATAAGACGATGAAAATATGCATCTGAACCAGTGTTTCTCAAGTGTTTCTTATTATCATCCCCTAAGGAGTCTTTTTAGACTTTTTTCCCTAAGTACTAAGTCATAAAGTTTTAATGCCACAGATACACTGTATATCTATTTATGTACTGCATGCATATTCATGATTTACACACAAAAAGTAATATTTATACATAAAAAAGTATGTTGGCATCCAAGAACCAATTTCATCCTCTTGGGGGTGATGGTATTCTCACTGATGATACATCATGTATTAGTTTTCTATTGCTACTCTAACAAGTTACCACAAACTTGGTGGCTTAAAAAAACAAATTTATTATCGTATAGTTCTATAGATCATAAGACTGACACAGAGAGCACTAGGCTAAAAATCAAGATATTGGCAAAGTTGTGTTTCTTTTTGAAGGTACTGAAGGGGAATCTGTTTCCTTACCTTTTCCAGTTTCTAGATGTAACCCACATCCTTCCTCTGTCTTCAAGACCAGCAATATTGCAATCCTATGATCATTCTTCTATAGTCACGTCTTCCTCTGACCTCAGCCTCTGACTTCAGCCAGGAAAGGTTCTTTCCTTTTAGAGAATTAAGTGATTAAGTGAGGGCCTTCTGAATAATCCAGGATAAGCTCCTATTACAAGGTCCTTAACTTTGATCACATCTGCAAAATCTCTTTCATTATATATGTTAAAATATTCAAAGGGTCTGCAAATTATGACATTGACATCATGGAGGTAAAAGACTATTCTTCTGCCTAATACACATGTTTTAAACAAATAAATAGCACAAGAAATATTAAGTCTGTGGACAAATATGTAAGATTTTGTTCTTATTGTTTAAATCCTTCAAGATGCAATTGGCTGTTTAAACAAAATAATAAATATGTGATGCATACTTTATAACATATATAAAACTAAAAGGTATTACCACAGTAACAAAAAAGCCCAGAAAAGAATCAGTGGCCCACTCCTGTATTCCCAGCACTTTGGTAGGCCGAGGCGGGTGAATCACAAGGTCAGGAGTTCAAGACCAGCCTTACCAACATGGTGAAACCCCGTCTCTACTAAAAATACAAAAAAATAGCTGGGTGTAGTGGTGGGTACCTGTAATCTCAGCTACTTGGGAGGCTGAGGCAGGAGAATTGCTTGAACCTGGGAGGCAGAGGTTGCAGTGAGCTGAGATCATGCCACTGTACTTCAGCCCTGGAGACAGAGTGAAACTCTGTCTCAAAAGTAAAATAAAATAGAATAAAATAAAATAAAAATAAAAAAGCCCAGAGAAATGAAATAGAAATAGAAGTATACTATTTTAAGGTTCTTATAATGCATACAAAGTATATAATATCACTTGAAGGTAAACTGTAGTAAGTTAAGAATATATATTGTAAACTATAAACTTTAAAGCAACCAGTAAAATGTAATAATAGACAAGAGCTAAAGAATATAAAATGGAATCGCAGAAAGTACTCAATTAATTAAACAGAGGGTAGAAGAAAAAAACAGGAGAAGAAATTAGTCAGACAGAAACCAAAGAGAAAGAGAATAGATTTAAACTGAACCATATTAATAAATATATTAAATGTAAATGACCTAAACTCTCAAATTAAAAGGCTGAGATTGTCAGATTGGATAAAATAACAAAACCTAACTAAATGTTACCTATAAAAATATTGGAATATAAAGATGCAAATAGACTAAAAGTTAAATGATGGGAAAGGATATATTATACTAACACCAGTGAAATAAATACTGGCTTTTAGCTCTGACATGTAAAGGTCTTGAAGGTTATCACTTCTATTCGTACAATAAGAAAAAAAAAACCTGAACAAACCAAAAATCATGACTTTTTCTGAGTCCATCAGAGAATTGAGGTCACAGGGCAAAGTACCACCAAGAAATCTAGAAAGATAAGAAACTGCATGGTTCTGCAGCCATGACTAGCTTACTTGGAGCAGAAGTAGCTGGAGCCATTAGCTGATAGTAATGCTTAAATCATAATTTTAATAAATTGCTGGAGTCTTAGTGTGAAGTAGCTGGAGAGTGAAGAATTCCTAGAAACCACACTCTTAGGGAAGCCTCTACTGTTCCTTGGGTTTTTACCTCCTGAAAACAACAGAAAACCTACCCATTTCTCACAGTAAAGAGGCAAGAGAAAAGCCTTACATTTATGGCAGAAGGAAGGATAAAGTAACCACTTTGAAATATGCCCAGAGCATTCTCCATAAGACAAGTCTACTTGGCAAGAGAAAAGACTTTACTAAAGCCATATCCACTGTGCAGTAAGGGAAATGTCTCCATTCTCCACCCTCTACCCTTCATGTCTTACCTAATATGGGAAAAAACACTGAGATACACTTAGGATGGTCACAGATCAGAGACAGAAGCCCACTAAAAGACTGAGGCTTAATCATAGCATTATAGAAAGTGTATACCTTACCACCCTGTCATCAAAGCTTTCATATAATAACAGTGAATTACAGTTAAAAGAACTGCAAGGCACAGACTATTAAAAAGGAGTTTTTAGGAAAACTCAAACACAAAAAAGGAAAAAAAAATCAAGGACACCAGAGGAAATTGAAATCTTTAATACGCATAGATAAAGAAAACATTAAACAGAGCCAATGCCTAGCTCAGTTTCCATAGCAATGTACACAAAAGCCCTTTTACCTTAGTTCCTATTACTCAATAAGTCATGTTTAATTTTCAACAAAAGTATACATGGCATGCTAAAAGGCAAAAAAAAAATTGAAGAGACAAGCATCAGAATCAGAATCAAATATAACATAGATTTTGTAATTATCAGGCAGATAATTTTAAATAATTAATATGTTAAATGCTTTAAGGGAAAAAGTAGACAACATGTAAGAACAGATGGGTAATGTGAGCAAGTACAGAGTTGGAAATTCTAAGAAAGATCAAACAGGAAACAAAAGCACTATAACAGAAGTGAAGAATAGACTCATCAGTAGATTAGACAAAATCAAGTAAAAAAAATCAGAAGAGCTTAAATTCATGTCAATAGAAACTTCTCAAAATGAAACGAAAAAAGAATGAAAAATAAATAAAAGTACAAAATAGCCAAGAACAGTGGGGCATTCCAAAAGGTGTGACATATGTGTTATTGGTGTGCCAGAATAAAAGGGATAATGAAACAGAATAACTATTTGAATAATGGCTAAGAAATTCCCCAAATTATTGACAGGTACAAAACCTCAGATATAGAAAGCACAGAGTACCAAGCAAGAACAATGCCAAAAATCTACACTCAAATATATCAAATTCAAACTGCAGAAAACCAAACACAAGGAGAAAATCTTGAGCACTTCCAGAGGAAAAGAAACATGTTACCTCAAGGAATAAGGATGAAAATTACAGCAGATTTCTTATCAGAAACTATGCAAGCAAGAAGAAAATACAATGAAATATTAAAAGTGCCAAATAAAAAGTAAGAGAACAACCAAGAATTCTATATCAAGTGAAATTTATTTTCAAATGTTAGGGTGAAGTTCTTCAACAAGTTAAACATAGGTTTTCCACATTATTCAAAAGTTCCACTCATAGGTATATATCAAAAAAATTAAAAACATACTCAAACAAACACATGTACACTGTACACACATATTAAGATCAGCACTATTTGCAATAGTCAAAAGGTGGGAGTAACCCAAACGCCCATAAATGAATAAATGGGCAAATTATAATATGTACATACAATAAAATATTATTTAACCAGGAAAAGAAATGAAGCACTGATACATGCTACAATATGGGTGTGCCTTAACAATATTATGTCTACCAAAGGAAGCACAGGCAAAAAAGATTATATATTGTATAATTCCATTTATATAAAATATGTGATGTAGTAAATCCATAGAGACAGACCCCAATTGGTAGTTTTTAGGGCTTAGAAAGATAGAGAAATGAGATGCAACAGCTGAATAAGCACAGCATTTTCTTTTAGGGTGAAATTTTTGAACTGAATAGAGGTGATAGTTGTACAACATTGTGAGTGTACTAAATGCCATTGAACAGTTCATTTTAAAATGGTTAATTTTATGTTATATAAATTTTACCTGATTTAAAATAAAAAATGAAGAAGAAATAAAGACTTTCTTAAACATACAAAAACAGGAAATTTAGTCACAGACCTTCTGTGCAAGAAATATTAAAAGCAGTTCTTGAAAGAGAAGAAAAATGATAGGTCAGAATTTTGGATTTACCTTAGAAAAGAAAAGCATCCAGGAAGAAGGAATGAAGACAAAATTAAATCTTTCATTTTTTATATTCTTAATTGATCCAGTAGTTAACAATTTGTTAAGAAGAAAAATAGTAATATGTATTGAATAATTATAGCATATAGACAAATGAAATGAATGACAACCATTTTATAAGGAACTGGAGGGAAGAACTGACAATACTCTGTTTAAGATACCTGCATTATCCTTGAAGTGGTTTAGTGTCATTTGAAAATAAACTTAGAATAGTTGTTTACAATTACACTGTTTTCAAATGAAGTCATATTTTGAGGAGGTTAAAACTTCAACATACCTTCTTTGTTGAACACAATTCATCCCATAGCTTGAAGTATATGAGCTTTCTGTATTATCTTCTCAAATTTTCTGTAAGTATAAAAAGTGTTCTAAAACAATAAAGTCCATTTTTAAAAAATTCTGTAATGATTATATTAATATCAGACTAAATTTCAGAGCAAGAAATTTTACCAAGGATAGAAAAAAATTGTTTTATAATGATAAAGATGTAAATTCATAAGAGACATAACAATCCCAAACATTTACATGCTATATTAGTCTGTTTTTACGCAGCTGGCAAAGACGTACCTGAGACTGGGAAGAAAAAGAGGTTTAATTGGACTTATGGTTCCACATGGCTGTGGAGGCCTCAGAATCATGTAGGAGGTGAAAGGCACTTCTTACATGGTAATAGCAAGAGAAAATGAGGAAGAAGCAAAAGCAGAAACTCCTGATAAACCCATTAGATCTCGTGAGAATTATTCACTATCATGAGAATACCATGGGAAAGACCAGCCCCCATGATTCAATTACCTCCTCCTGGGTCCCTCCCACAACAGGTGGGAATTCTGGGAGATACAATTGAAGTTGAGATTTGGGTGGGGACACAGCCAAATCATATCACATGCCCAAAAACAAAGCTTCAAACACAAAAATCAGAAACTGACTAAATAGGCTGGATGCAGTGGCTCACACCTGTAATCCCAGAACTTTGGGAGGCTGAGGTGGGTGGATCACTTGAGGTCAGGAGTTCGAAACCAGCCTGGCCAACATGGTGAAACCCTGTCTCTACTAAAATTACAAAATTAGCTGGGCATGGTGGATTAAGTCTGTAATCCCAGCTACTCCAGAGGCTGAGGCAAGAGAATCACTTGAACCAGGGAGGCTGATGTTGCAGTGAGGCCAGGTTGCATCACTGCACTCCAGCCTGGGTGATAGAGTGAGACTTTATCTCTGGAAAAAAAGAAAAAAAATAAAAAAGAACTGACTAAATAACAAGAAGAAATAGACAAATCAGCAATTACAGGTGGAAACCTAGAGATTTCAATACCTCTTTCTCAATAACTGATAAAGAGGTTGACAGAAAATCAGTAAATGCAAAGAAAAGTGAATAATACACAATAAACTACTTGACTAAATTGATGTTTAGAGAACATTCCACCTAACAATACAATACAAATGCTTTTCAAGTGAACACAGAATATTTACCAAGATAAACCATATTCTGGCCCATGAAACAAGTCTTCAAATTATTAAATTAACACATTTTCAATTTTTTTTTTTTTGAGATGAAGTCTCCCTCTGTTGCCCAGGCTGGAGTACAATGGCACGATCTCAGCTCACTGCAACCTCCGCCTCCCAGGTTCAAGCAATTCTCCTGCCTCAGCCTCCTGCCTCACACAATCCTGAGTAGCTAGGATTACAGGTACACGCCACCACGCCCGGCTAATTTTTATATTTTTAGTACAGACAGGGTTTCATCATGTTGATCTGGCTGGTCTTGAACACCTGACCTCATGATCCACCCACTTCAGCCTCCCAAAGTGTTGGGATTACAGGCGTGAGCCACGGTGCCCGGGCTAAAATTTTAAAGTTGTAAAAAATATGTTCTTTGACCATGGTAAAATCAAATTAAAATGAAAAACAGAAATATCTGAACACAAATAACATACCTCTAGATAAGTTCTGGGTCAAAGGTGAAATCAAAATAAAGTACTTTGAACTAAATGAAAAGGAAAACAATACATTAAAATTTGCATTTGTGAGATACTACTAAAGCAGTACGTAGAGGAAAATTTATAGCAATAAGTGACCCTTCTTTGCTGCAGTACATATTTCCCAAAGGAGTATGTGTCCTTTCTGTCTATGGTCTCTGTCTATGGTTCTTTTTTGGTACAACAACTGTCCATTTTAGTGATGGTGGTCCACTCATGGCAGAGCACATCCATTCTGTCCCTTCCCACAATGTCCACCATGGCCCCACTCACTCTATCCTGACACCTAGATGTGCATTTCTCATTGTCAGTTTAATTACTGGTATATACAGGACGGAAGAGACAGAGAGGATGCAATAATGAAAATCACAGATGCAGATGGCCCTGGAGCCCTTCTGCATTTGCTCCACCCTGAGGAATTCGGGGTCACTAAGGTACAACAGGACCCTGTTTTCTTCCTGCTATTAGGAATATGGCATCCTGCACTTTGCTCTGGTTTCTTTGATTTTCTTGTGTCCCTCAGAAACTAGCTTCTCCTTTCCTTTGAAAGAAAAAAAAATGTATTTTTCAGAAAGATAGGTTTCCTGAGGCTGGCATATAGCTGCACCCATGGAAGGCCTAATAAAGCTTTGAGAAGCAGACTAAGATGAGAAATCTGTGGACACAGAGCCTAGCTCATCAAAAGTACTCAATAAATGCTTGTTCTATAGATGAATAAATAAATGAACTGATTTGTGCCTACAAGTGTTGGAAAATTTGTCTGTCTCTCCTTAATCTGGATTTATGTGTAGTTATATGCGCACACACCCTGTACCCAAGGTTGATGAAACGGGTCTCAGGCCTGAATGCATGACCTTCCTGGTCCGTCCTTGTCCTTGAATCCCCCTATCCCACACTCAGTCGGAGCCCTCTGCGCCCAATTCAGAATTTTCCCCACGCTGATTCTAATCTTCCTCGGCAAAGTGCTGTGGTTTTCCTCTTCCCAGAGAAACACCTACCAGCAGGGAGGGAAATGTATGCATAGTATCCTGGGCATTCAGGAGTAAAATGCCAAGCTTCTGTTAAGTATATACGTTGTGAGGAGAGCTGGGAGATAATGCAGATAAGCTTTTTTTTTTTTCCTTTTGAGAGAGGATCTCGCTGTGTCACCCATGCTGAAGTTCAGTGGCATGATCTCAGCTCACTGCAGCCTCGACATCCCTGAGCTCAGGCGATCCTGCCATCTCAGCCTCCCAAGTAGCTGGGACTACAGTCATGAGCCACCAAGCCCAGATAATTTTTTTGTATTTTTTTTTTTTTTGTAGAGATGGGGTTTTGCCATGTTGCCCAGGCTGGTCTCAAACTCCTGGGCTCAAACAATTCACCCATTTCAGTTTCTCAAAGTGTTAGGATTGCAGGCGTGAGCCACCGTGCCCAGCTGCAGATAAGCTCTTTTATCCAGCATTTGAACCACTGCACGATTTACTTGCTATTTTAGATCCATCAGGAATCACTGACATCTTACTCTTTAGGCTCTGAAACATTTAATCTTGAACTAATGCTGACTAAGAGCACTGTACATTAGCTATGTAAACCATATCTTGAAGCACACAGAGGTGAACACCATCTCTTTGCAGCCTGTAAGAGAAACCGTAGGTTTTTTCTTGCTCTAGAGCTAGAGCTCTGCAAAACAGAGGCCTTAAAATGGAAACATCAGAGGAGCAAATTGTCTTCAAAGTTACAAGACTGCTTTAAATTCTGGTTCTTCCACTTTATTTGGGCAAGTGATAAATCTCTCTGGAACCCAGTCTTTTTGTCTGGATAACAGTAATAATACTACTACTTCCCACAAAGGAACATTAGGATAATTAAATTAGGTAATCTGTATAAGCATCTAGCACACTGCCTGGCACATAATCAATGCATTCTTCAAACAAGGAAATTCACTGTTTAACCACCTAGTGGAGGAGTAAAAAGTCAAAATAATTTCTCATAAGGGTATTAAGTAAAATCTGAGCATCCTGACCACTTCCTTGGGATATGACTAAGATAAACATACAAGGAATGGATTTCTCTAGAAGGAAAGATGCTTAAATCAGAGCTCAAATTGTAGACTCTTTTAGTACACACAGAACTGTCTACATCGGAAAGCAAATACTGACATATTTGATGTAGTTCAGATATTTGCCCCCTCCAAATCTCATGAGGAAACTTGATGTCCTATGTTAGAAGTGGGGCCGAGCAGGAGGTGTTTGGGTCATAGGGGTGGATTCTTCATGAATGGCTTGACGAAGTTCTCATGGTAATGAGTGAGTTTTTATTCCATTAGTTCCTGAAAGATCTGATTGCTAAAAAGAGCATGACACCTTCCTCTTCTTTCTCTTTCTTGCTCTCTCTCTCTCTCACATTGTGACATGTTGGCTCCCCATTCCCTTCTGCCATGATTGGAACCTTCCTAAGGCCCTCACAGGAAGCAGATGGAGGTGTTGGGCTTCTTACAGTCTGCAGACCTGTGAACCAAATAAACCTCTTTTCTTTGTAGATCACCCAGAAATATGTCTCTATAGCAGCACAAAACCAATCAGCACATTAAAAGTCATGCATAGACTATGTTCAGTGAAGTATACTAGATTAAATCCTTGAACAAAAAAGAACAATCATGGAAAAATTGGTGAAACCCAAATAAAGTCTGGAGGTTAGTTAGTAATTTACCAGTGTTGATTTTATAGTTCTGGCAAATATACCATAATATATAATATGTTCACATCAGGAAAAGCTAGAAGAAATATACCAGGAATTCTGGACTAGCTTTGAGACCTTTATACAAATCTAAAGTTATTCCAAAAAGTTTTTTAATTTATTTAAATGAATCAAATAGATCTCTTCGACCTTTAGAGAACCTTCCACAGTGGACTCATTCAGACTCACAGTCCTGTATTTAATGTTAACTTTCGGGCTGATACCTGGAGGGGCTGGAGAGCTTAAGTTCCACTCCTTCCCTGGGTGAAGCTGGCATGAGTGTCACGTGGGCTGCATTATTTTGACTGTTTTTCTCATTTCCCTAAAGCTGACTGTGGCAGAGGGGCCTATTCCAGGCTAGGAACTGCTCACCAGGTTAGCTTAACCTTAGAGAAAGATGAGGTGTTAGAATGGAAAAGTGGCCAAGATTTTGGTTTTCCTGAGCTCATTTTTCTCAGAAAAGCCAATGAGTGCCTAATGACTCTGCACCCACTGCCCCTGCACATACACAGTCTTTGAACAATGTCCCTGACTGTAGCCAAGAAAATTCCTAGTAGCTTCTTTAAAACCCAGATAAAGGCCCCTAGATCTGCCTCACTGATAGGTTAATAAAACAGGAATATAGAGTGCAAGATATCATTTTATTGAACAGTTACACTGATTTAAGATTAGTTTTGAATATTTCGTGTAGTTATGAAAGTCTTATCCCATGACAAGAGAAGACTGAGGCTCAGAGAGAATAGGGCCTGGTCAAGGCCACATCAGTAGGTAGGAGGAGCCATGCAGAGCTGGAGCCACATAGAAACTCCAGTTTCTCCCCTCTTCCTTCAGATACATATAGACACAGTTCTTGCCGAGATCAAGGTATCTCTGACTTCACAAAATCTATGCTGGGCAAACATGCCAAGTGCTTGACACGCATTTAATCCTAGTAACACCTACCCGTTATTATCCCCATTTTACAGAAGAGGTAAATAAGGCTTAGGAAGCTTTAGTAACTTACTCAAGATTTACATAGTTTAAACAATGTCAGGGCTGTACTGCATATTCAGCCAATCTGATTCTAGAGCCTGAATTTTTAATCACTTTATGACTCAGTGAATATTTGTTAAATGAATGACAAACAATTTTGGGGGATGCATTGCATCACAGTCTCAATAATAACATACCTTTCACCCCATATCTGCAGTGAGATATGTTCAAACTCTGCTAGACAGTGAGATAAAGGCTGTGAATCTTTCTAGTCTTGGCAGGGATTTGAATGGATACTGAGAAACAGGAAAGCACAAGTAGAGGGGGAAGAAAAGAAAGTACTTGTCACTACCATTAAAATTTGAAATGAGATGAGCAGTGATGACAGCTAAAACCTGAGCAAGTCTAGCTTTTCAGAACAGAAGTGGTGGGAAGAGTAACAGAAGGAGCTGGAAGTCTTCATCTTTCTACTTACCACTTCTAACGTGATTTTCACCAAGCAAGGTCTGGAAAGGACAAAATATTGTCTGTAAGAAAGGCTCCAGAGGATCTTAAGAGGCATTGTGGATATGAATGGAGCAAAAAGACGAGAGTTTAAGCCTCTGCCTTGCAAGGTGGGTGGCAGGAATGTACCTTAGAAGGCACCTGAGCTGCATCATCTCCTGTAGGACTCCCTTTCGTTTCTACTGGAGTGGACAGTCCCAGCAAGGCCAGAGAACATTCTACTCCCCTGGTTACCTTTGCATTTTCCTCTTCTCTCTCTTCTTGTGCAAACTTGCTTAATGTGCTTAATTTTAATGGTGCTTAATATGTGGTAAGGAGAAAAATACCGCCGCAAATATTTTCACTGAGAGAGAAAAAGATCACAAAATGTAAAGAAAATCTTGGCTTTGCCTCTCACTAGCTGTGGGTGCATGACTTTGGGTAAAGATTTGCAGCCCCCTGGGCCTCTTTCTTTAAGAAATGGGATAACGGTCCCTAACCACCATGGTTCTGAGAAATAGACATCATCTCTCCAGAGTCTCTAGCACAGCAGAGTAGATGCCCTGTACAACTTGTTTTTATATTACTATCTTTATTGTCATCATTGTCTATTATATAAAACTTGTTTACTTTAGCAGAGTCTCATAGCCACATGCCATCCAAACACAAGAGCTGAGGTCACATGTCCCCCGAATTCTGATGCCACCCAGGCAGATGAAAGCACGAGCCTAAACAGGGCTTATCATCAGAGCGGAGAAATGAGG
Organism: Homo sapiens; assembly: GCF_000001405.40. Classification (NCBI taxonomy): domain Eukaryota; kingdom Metazoa; phylum Chordata; class Mammalia; order Primates; family Hominidae; genus Homo; species Homo sapiens. The sequence continues at coordinate 39,759,025 of NC_000020.11, read as the reverse complement.
AAGTTCATCTGGGCTGGAAAAAGAAAAAATGTGTCCAAGTTGGCGGAAGGAAGCCTTTCCAGAACTGCTTCATCCATTGCCTGATTCTGTAAGCTAGAAGGGGAAATGCCACCTCAATATTGAGTGCTCAAAAAGATGGTCTTTGTTATCAATAGGCAGATTGGCAATAAAATTCCACCTGAGCTCTAACTTGGAAAAATTGACTAGCAAGAACACCCATAACTAACAAACACAAAATAAAATTAAGCCTTAACTTTGGGAAATACTACTGTTGATTTTTTCTCTTCTTTTTCTTGGTTTCTAATGAATTTGGTTTAAAAATAGGACAAAACACTGTGTTAAAACCCAACAGTTCGTTGTAAGATTCCAGATGGGGTGGAAAAGGCTGAAGAGAGGCTAATATCTGTTAAAAAAAAAAACAAAAAAAAAACCCAGGGTAAATAAAACTGCACAACAGGCCAGGTGCAGTGACTCCCGTCTGTAATCCCAGCACTTTGGGAGGCCGAGGTAGGCAGGCCACCTGAGGTCAGGAGATCGAGAACAGCCTGGCCAACATTGTGAAACCCCATCTCTACTAAAAATACAAAAATTAGCCAGGTATGGTGGCATGTGCTAGCGTGTGCCTGTAATCCCAGCTACCCAGGAGACTGAGGAAAGAGAAGCCCTGGAACCCTGGAGGCGGAGGCTACAGTGAGCCGAGATTGTGCCACTGCACTCCAGCCTGAGTGACAGAGGAAAACCCCATCTCAAAAAACAAAACAAAACAAAACTGCACAACAAAATAATAGTGGTATCAAAAATAATAATAGTATCAACAACAACAACAACAATAGCAAAATAACGAATATCTGTATAGAGCTTTAACATCAGATTGAGAGGAGAAGGATGGCAGGGAAAAATGAAGGAAGTAAAGGGGAAGAAAAGAAAGAAAGAGATGGAGAGAGGGAAATTATTTTTTTAAGTCTTAATTTTATACGAGATAACAATGCAATACTTTTAATCTTTCTTTTAGTCTTCACAACAACCTCATGAATTGTCTGTCATTTTTCATATAAAAAAAACTGAGACAAAGATATCGGACAACTTCTTCAGTCTTATAGCTAGTAAGTATCAAAGATGGAACTGTTGACCTGGCTTCCTGATCCATCTTTCTTGGCTGGTCTTGGGAGTGAGGGTAGCATGGGGCGTCAGGCTGTACTTAGGTGATATCCCCATAAAGTCATCATCCCACTCCTTGAAGTAATGGCCTGATTTTTCTGTCAATTCACACCAGTGAAAAGATGTTCTAGGTCGTCTTCCTTACTCCTCACTCTACTTCTGTGATTTTTTTTTTCAGTGCCAGTGAGTGCTCAGATATATAAGTTTAGATCACCCCGTAGCTGGTAAAAGGAAGACAGAGGCCCAGGTATCCTGGACTTTTGCTCTCTGGACTTTTTTTTTTTTTTTTTTTTTGGACTATCCCCTTTCTTTTTTTCTTTCTTTCTTTTTAATTTTCTTATGGTGATTCTAATCTGACTTGTTTTTATGTCCTCTCATCTTTCTTACCAAGTTGGAGTGTTTTTTTCTTCTTTCAAGGCAGTTGTTTCCAATAAATCCTCACTTGTTTTCTTGGAGTTGCTTAGTTATTTTAAGATTCTTCTTCCACAGGCCTCTGTCTGCATTTCTGCTTTCCATCTGGGCCACTCAGTCCTCTCCTTTGCTGGAATGAAGACAAAAGAAGCCATTAGATGGAAACTTACAGAGCTTGACCTTCTCCTGGGAGCAGAAAGACATGGTGAAGGAATGGATCAAGTCTGCTGATCTTTCCAGCACTTTTATTATATCTCAGATTGACTAGAAACACAGTTAGAGACACCTTGACTGGCCAATAGGCAATGTTACCAGCCCCCTGAAAAGGCAGTCTAGTTCAACATTGAATGAGACCTTTGATCTGAGTGCTTCTGTGTACATCTATAAATCAGGGTCATGGTAGAAAGCAGATAGCACAATCAAACTTGGCAACTTCAAAAGTGTTTAGTAAAGCAACTATTTACAAAGGCATAAGCAGGTTGCAGAGTAACCATAAGGGCACACCACAGTGTAGTGTTCTGGGGATAGCAATACCAGAACTCTGTGACTGCCCTAGACCTGAAGGGATGAGGACAGAGAGCAGTCCCCTGGAGAAAAACAGTCATATGGCAGAAGCTGTAATCTTGGTCAACACATGAAGCCACGCATGATACCTCATAGGAAGGGAGATGACAGAACACATTAATTCCCTTCACTCTTCTTTCTCTCTGAATTTTTCTGCTGACCCCAACCAGAAGCCAAAAGTTGAGAGGACTCATTGAGGTTGGCCACACTTGTCAGACTTCTGGATCGCAGAACAGAGTAAAAGTGGATGTAGAATTGATCTGGAAGTGTAGATGGAAGTTATGCAACTGAGTCTGCATGCATGTGCACATACCTCTGTACTCACATACATATGCACATGTGCACATGAGTATGTGTTAGGCTGATGAAAATAAATATATTTAGTGTTAATGCAGGAACCATTCAGGGGCTGCCCCCTTGCTCTCTTTGGCCTGTATAAGTTTTCCTCTGGTTTTAATTATTGAATATATAAAAAGCAAAGAAAAGTACTGGGAGGTAAAAAGCCTCCCTGGGTTTAGGTATGTGTTGAAAACTGTCTTCAGATATCAAGATGGCAAAAGATTCCATCTAAGGTTGAGATACATCAAAAATAAAGACCTGTACATATTTCTAAAGAACTAATTCCAGAAGAAGTGAAAGTCATGTCAAGGATGAATGTTTCTTTTTGAAGAGGTATACTCCAGCAGCTCTCCTGAGCAGGTAAAATTAGAGACTTATCCAACTGGTGGGTCATTCAGGAAAAAATGACATTTTTTTTCCAGGAGCTACAGGTGAGATTGAATTCAAGAGTTGAGTTAAGACTTTGGTGAATATCCAAAGTAGAATTCAGAGAAGAGACTCTTAGAGGGATGACATGCTGGTAAGTCATGCAGAGTCAATATTCAATAATTGGCACATCAGACAATCCTCTTAACAGAGCACATTATTCATATTCTCATTATACCACTTGTTATTTTGTGGTGTGTTGTTGCCATGTGTTTCTCTACCATTATGTCACAAAGTTCCCAAGAGGATTTGTCTGAGCTTGTTGGCTGCCATATCCCTAATATGACTTGGCATATAGGAGATCCATGGAGGTAATCTGTTGAAAGAATGAATATTGATATTTATCCCTTTCAAGGAATCTACATAGGACTAGGATTTACTTTTGAATTCCACTATATTGGGCCAAGAAAGATCTATCCATGTCATGCAGGCTTCACGTTAACCAAATGTTTCATAAGGTCCAAACCCAGGGGGGAAGCCTCCCATGTGTTTTCAGGTGGACAAGACTCATCACAGTTGACCTGTGCTCCTGTCTTCTTGGTCTAGCCTTTTCCAAGTTCAGGCTCATTAAACTCTAATTTACTCCCTTGTCTTTGCTCCAGTTACATCCTCTTTGGGAATTCAGGCTTCAGATAGACAACTCGATGTACATTGGCATTTTTTTAGTCACATCGGTTTCCTTTTTTTTTTTTCCTTCAACAAACTTTTTTTTTTTAAATTCCATTTCCTAAGGAATTGTAGATACCTCAGACAAAAAAAGAAGCTTAAAATATCCATTTGGTATATAATTTTTGTCCTTTTGTTTCCACAGACACTCTATTACAGTCCTCATCTTACAGAAGAGTAAGGTGATTATCACAAAAATGATATGACTTGCCCAAGGTCTCATGGTATGTCAGAAGCAGTTCTGGTATTAGAACTATGATCAATCTGAAACAAAGCCTTTGTTCTTTCCATTTTATCAATAATATTGGAGTTCCACTTCACCCCAAGTCCTTTTGTAACTATGTCACTTTGAGAGAACTGAGAGTGAAGAAAGGGCACAACTGTCTCTTTGGCAAATCCCATTTCCATTAGAATTTAATTTAGATTCAATAAAATGCTTAATGACTCTTAATTAAACCCAAATTGAAATTAAAAAATGGTTTAACAAGGTTTAATAATGATGTGAGAGATCACACAATTCCACTTCAATAAATATTTTCCTAATAACAAATAACCATTTCATTAGTGAGGAAAAATGTTGCCATTAAGCCTAAATTAAATTAAATTATCCATAATTTACTGGCATAGTTAACAGTATACGTTAATGAAAAATATGGGAAGTACTCCCCACCACCCGCTTGTTAAAAATTACTCCATTTTAGAAAATTTAAAAAGACATTGTATGTAATGTAATGGGCAGAAGGTCTGAAGCCAATGGAGCCATCTCTGAGATTCTGTTGTACCTAATAACAGAGAAGATGAGGCAGGGGGAAGGGGAGACACAGGGCTTTCCACTAAGGCCATGTGAATTTCTACCACCGTCACAGCCATAAAATGGGGTATTGATAGGGGTGGATGATGACATTGTGAATCTAGGGAATTTCTGGCTCAAAAAAAAAGGGTGGGTAGAAATTTCAGGCTCCTGTATTTTGAGCAATATCTGATCTAATACAAAGACATTGAAGATGCAGGATACGAGAGAGAAGATAACACATGCTTTCTTGTTATTAGTGTGTGTTTGTATTCTTTATTTTTAAAAAATTTCTTCATGGCTGAGCTTGAAGAGGAAAGAGATAGTTGTAGCCAGTTCCAGAAAAAGATACAGGTTTCCGGAATGGGATCAGGTTCCAGAGAGAGAGACACATTTCCAGCAAAGGGGCTCAGATTTTAGGAAAGGAAAACAGGTTTCAGAATAGGGCCCTAGTTTGGTTCCCCTCCAGAACACTGGAGTGGGAGGACAGAGAAAGACATGTGAGCTGAACCATGTAACTTTTGCAGCAATTAAGGGTTATCAGAGATTCACATTCTCAACCAACGTTTCTCCAATCCAGAAAGTATCCTGGATTCCAAAGACTCCTTATTCTAAACTTTGAAGAATAGAAAATAGAAAATATCCTCCATTCCTCCATTGTCCAAAGGATATTAACAAGACTTAAACTGACTAAAACTGCAATTTTGAGCCACATGGGACTATTGAGTCCATGAAATGTGGCTACTCCTAACTTAGATGTGCTATGAGAGTAAAATATATACTGAATTTCAAAGGCTTTTAAAAATGCAAATATCTCATTGGTATTTATTTTATATTCATTATTCTGAAATAATGACGCTTTGGACATATTGATTATATAAAAATATTTTTAAAATTAATTTATTCTATTTCTTTTTATTTTCCTCAATGTGGTTACTAGAAAATTTAAAATTACTTATGTGACTTGCATTATATGTCTATTAAATAGAGCTGATCTAGATGGGCCCACCTTAAATAAAGAAATGAACAGATTTCATTCCTTTTTGTGTTAGCATTAACACTCATTCTTTCATGCATCCATTCATTCATTCAATAACTATGTTTGAGTATCCATTAGCACAGACCCTATGTGAGATACTAGAGATATAGTGGTGAAAATAGTCTTGTGTATGAAAATGGTCTTGTCTATCCTAAGCACATTCACACACACACATATTCACACATGCACACATCACACACATGCCTACACAGTGGCACCTGTTCCTGTACATGCAAGTGTGCATATATGGACACAGAAGGACCTACAACACATGAACATGTATACATATGCAAAAATGTGCCAGTGCAGAAAGACATGAATTGAAAGCCAAAATCAGGGTCTAGGATCCAAACACTCCTGAATGTAGTAGACTTCAATTCTTCAGTTAGGTTTAACAATTATAGTTGCCAGCCAGTGACAGTCGCAACTCTTTATTTCCAGGAAGACAATCAGATAATAAAAATGTGGTCATGGTCTCTTTCCATGATTTTGTCAAGGTAGTAGATACAAGATTCCAAGTGAGAAGAATAAATGTGACAAATTCAGATCAATGTATTCATGACTAAACAAACCAGGAAAAGCCAGCAGGGGTAGGCTGGTGGTAGGTCTGTTCCATGGAGGCTCGTCTTCTTAGGCCTTAACTTCCTAGCGACTGAGAAGAGCTCACTCTGAGAGCTGAGAACAGAGACAGCTCAGTTTAGCCCAGAAACAGTGACTGAGATAATGCTGGAATCCTTTATATGATCTCATTCAAATCACTTTCTGCTTTACCACTCAGATTGTTGGCCTAGGGAGTGGGGAGAATGAATGGAGTATATTGGACAGGTATAATCAGGAGTCAGAAAGAACTGCATGTATTCTTTTAACAGAAAATTTAATATAAAGAGCTGTGTTGAGGAACTGAAATGACAAAGATAACACCCTGTGGTATCCAAAAGTAGCACCTGTAGTAAATAGCTACCACCCCACAGCTGTGTGAACAAACGAAAGAGATTTTAATTATGAATACTTAGACCCTTACAGAAGGGACACCTTGGAGCTGAGGCTCAAACAACTGAGGAGGGGTCTAAACTGGCCCATGCTGATTGGGGGACGGGGGTTATGGCACTAGTTCTGTAAGTGTCATTTTAAAAAACCCAGCTGGATTCAGCTGCTGAGACAGGAAAGAACTACTACTGTTAGGGTGAGTACTGTTAGCCGTTGCTTAGGACATCGTTAAAAGAACAAGAGGCAGAAAGAAACAGGAAGCAGAAAGCCTTCTTCTAGTCTTCCTCAACTAGCAGAACCTAGGTGGAGCCAGGTAGTAGAGTAGAAATATGGTTTTAGAGCTCTAGTCCCAGAAACACAAAGCACAAACAAGACCAGTGTGGATATGAACACTTGAGAGGTAGCTGCTGTAGAACCAGCCTAGGACAGCATATGTCAAAATGAGGGATGATGAAGAAATGAACTGAACACCATCTCCAAAATTTTATTGTCCACAATTTTATTCCCAGGAAAAACATCTCACCAGAATCAGAATTCTTGGTCAAATGCGTTTAAAAACTTTCATGATATCCTGCTTTTAGAGTTTCATAATACTGCATTGGAAAAGCAAAAGCTTTGACGAGTCCTGCAGTAAAGAGGCATGTTGTGTTTCATTTAACCCAGAATTCCCCAAATGTCTTTGATCACAGACGTGCTTTCTGTTTCTTTGTTTTCAGAACACCTCTGAATTTCCAAAGCCACACATATTCTACAAACTCTGAGAAGCATTGTACTGGAGATGCTGTAGACACTTAGATAACAAGTAACAAGACATATGATCAACTGTGAACTATTAATAGTGCAACTCATATTAGAATGGGTTGTACTTCTTCTCAATTGCTTTAGTCCAGTAATGACTGAAACTAAGTGCGTGGGCAGGGGTGACCACCCTAATGTCATTGGGGTTGCCTATAAAACAGAAGTCATGTGAAAGCAGGGGACTTATTTGGCTTTCTTCATTATTACATGTCCAGCACAATCACAATAGACAGGACCTGGAAAACACTCAGTAATATTTTAAATATTGCCAGGAGAAGGGAGGAGAGTAAATTATTAGCAAATATAGTTGAGAATGATACCTCATGTGTTAATGAAGAGTGGCAAGGGAGAAGTGCAGTGCTGGCCTATGGAAATGTAATGAGAGCCTCTTTGCAATTTAAGATGTCCTGGTAACTACATTTTGAAAAGGAAAAAGAAACAGGTGAAATTAATTTTAATAATGTATTTTACATAACACAATATATCCAACATATTATTATTTTAACATATAATCAATATAAAGGTATTAACATAATATTTTGCTTTTTTTTTTTTGAGATGCAATCTCGCTCTATCACCCAGGCTGGAGTGCAGTGGTGCGATCTTGGCTCACGGCAACCTCTGCCTCTTAGATTCAAGCGATTCTCCTGCCTCAGCCTCCTGAGTAGCTGGGATTACAGGTGTACACCACCACGCCAGGCTACTTTTTGTATTTTTAGTAGAGACGGGGTTCACCATATTGGCCAGGCTGGTCTCGAACTCCTGACCTCATGATCCACCCTCCTCGGCCTCCCAAAGTGCTGGGATTACAGGCGTGAGCCACTGCGACTGGCCTTTGCATTCTTTTTAATATAAAATTCTTGAAATCTGGTACACATTTTATACTTGCAGTACCTTTCAGTTTGGACTGGCCACATTTCAAGTGCTCAATAGCCACATGTAATAGTAGTTATCATAGTGAATAATGAATGTCTACTGACTTAGAAAGTAGAACACAAAAATTTCAGAATGGGCTGGGTGCAGTGGCTCACGCCTGTAATCCCAGCACTTTGGGAGGCTGAGGCAGTGGATCATGAGGTCAGGAGATCGACACCATCCTGGCTGATATGGTGAAACCCCATTTCTACTAAAAACACAAAAATTAGCCAGGCATGGTGGCGCACACCTGTAGTCCCAACTACTCGGGAGGCTGAGGCAGGAGAATCGTTTGAACCCAAGAGGCAGAGGTTGTAGCAAGCCAAGATTACGCCACTGCACTCCAGCCTGGGTGATAGAGTGAGACTCTATCTCAAAAAAAAAAAAAAAAATTCAGAACATAGAGAAAACAATCAAATTTGTAAACTGATATTGAGCCAGGATTATTTCTAGTTGCCATCATTGAATATTCTGAGAATATCTAATTTATCTGTCACTGTTCACACATAAGACAGTGCTTTCTACTAGAACAACTAGGATAATTTAATACTTGAAAAATGAGGAAACAAAAAGTTTTAGAAAAAATAAAGATTGAAAAGTAAAATCAAAATTAGAAGGTCCTGATGAAGTAATATCAGTAAAATGGTGAAGTAGGAGTTTTCTGACATTTCTCCTTCCATGGAAACCCAACTAGCATCTATCCAGAGGCAAGATTACCACCCTGAATATTTAAGAACTCAGGAGCAAAGCTGTAATATTGACTTTGAGCACAGAGCAGAGAAAAACCATAATTAGACAGTAAAAGTAACTGTCCTTTTTGACCGCTATGTCCCTCTCCCAAGCCTGTACAGTACGACATGAAGAAACTTCCTCTGAATTTATGGTTTTTACAATGGAAAAGGTGTATTAGAGGTGGAATTTTGGCATCCTCTCCATTCTGGAACCCTTTATAGGAGGCTTGCTTTGGTCTCATTTTATGAGAACCATTGTGAGTGTTAGCAGGCTTAGTCTATTAGGGGTCAATTAGAAACAAAGAAGAGGGGTGGAGCTCACAGCAACCAAAACACAAACCTTGGTGCCAGCCACAGCAAACCTTGGTGCCAGCCACAGCAAACCAAGTGCTTCTAGCACTGCAACAAGTGCAGCAGTCATTGGTTTAGAAAAGACCAAAAGAGACAGTTTTCTCCGAATTTCTAGATAGGCCTACTGCAGAACAGTCACATAAAAAATCAAACTGAAAAGACTGAAATAAATACCTGCATATTCAATGCATAGACACTGATATATAACCATAAGGATTAAGAACAAGTAGAGAAAAATGACACTGCCTAATGGATAAAATAAGATGTTAGTGACTGACCCTAAAGAAATGAAGATGATGACCTCTCTGACAAAAAATTTAAAAATGCTATTTGAAGGAAGCTTAGAGAACTTCAAGAAAATAAGAGAAAAATTTAGAAATTCATCAGAGAAATTTAACATAGAGATTGAGATTTTTTTTTAAATAAAGCAGGAATCCTGGATGTAAAAAACAGAATGAATAAAATGAAAAATGTAATAGAAAGCACCAACAGCAGAATTATCAAGCAGTGGAAAGAATCAGTGAGCTTGAAGACAAGCTATCTGAAAATGTACAGTTAGAGGAGAAATAAATTGAAAAGACCAAAGTAAGCTTATAGGATTTAAGGGGTGACATCAAAATAGCAAATGCTCAGGTCAATGGAGTTCAAGAGAAAATAGAAAGATGAAGGAATAGAAAAATTTCCAAACTTAGTGAAAGATATACATATCTAGGTACAGGAAAGTTAAAGTCAGCAATTAGATTCAATTCAAGTAAGACTATAACCCAAGACATATTGTTATCAAACTGTCAGAAGTCAAACACAAAGAAAGAATCCTGAAAGCAGCAAGAAAAATGACACAAATTACATATAAAAGAGTTTCAATATACCTAGCAGCAGACTTCTCAGCAGAAATCTTAAAGGCCACAAGGGAGGGGGAAAATATATTCAAAATGCTAAAGGAAAAAATAACTGCTGACTAAGAATGCTATACCCAATAAAACTATCCTTTAGAAGAACAAAAGCTGTGAATGTTCATCACCACTATTCCTGTTTTACAAGAAACTCTAAAGGGATTTCTTCAAACTGAAAAACTGAATGCTAATGAATAACACAAAACATTTGAAGTAAAAGTAAATATATAATCAAATCTATAATACTCTCATATTCTAATCATGGTTTGTAAACTATTTGTATCCCTAGTATGAAGGTTAAAAGTCAAAACTATTAAAAAATAATAACTACAATAATTGATTAAGAAATATGCAATATAAAATGTTGTAAATTGTGACTCAAAAATTCACAATGAGGCAGGGAGGGTAGTAGAGTTAAAATGTACAGTCTTTTTTTTATTAATAAAGTTAAGTTGTCACACATTTAAAATAACCTGTTACAACTATAAAATGCTTTTGTAAGCCTCATAACAACCACATGGCAAAAACCTATAGTAGAGACACTAAAAATAAAGAGCAAAGAATCAAAACGTGCTACTAAAGGAAATCACTTAATGACAAAGGAAGACACTAAGGAAAAAAGGAAGAAAATATATACAAAACAGCTAGAAAACAATTAGAAAAACGGCAATAGTAAATACCTATCAATAATTACCTTGAATGTAAATAGATTAAATTATTCAATTAAAAGGGATAGAGTGGCTGAATGGATAAAAAGAAAACCCAACTATATGCTGCCAATAAGAGACTCATTTCAACGTGTAAGTACACACATGAAGTAAAAGTGAAGGGATAGAAAAAGGTATTCCATGCAAATGGAAACCAGAAGACAGAAGGAGTAGCTATACCTACATTAGATAAAACAGACTTTAAGTCAAAAATTGTAAAAAGAGACAAAGGAGGTTACTATATAATAATAAAGGGGTCAATTCAGCAAGAGGGCATAACAATTGTAAATATACATACACCCAACATTGCAGCTTCCAAATATATGAAGCAAATATTTAAAAGTCTAAGGAAAGGGATAGACTGCAATACAACAGTAGCAGGAAACTTCAACACCCCACTTTCAGCAATGGACAGATCATCTAAACAGAAAGTCAACATAGAAACATCAGATTTAAACTGCACTGTAGACCAAATGAACCTAACAGACATTTACAAAACATTTCATCCAACAGTTGCAGAATACACATTTTTCTCAACCACACATGGAACATTCTCCAGGATAGATCATATGTTGGGCCACAAAACAAATCTTAACAAATTTAAGATGATCAAAATAATATCAAGCATTTTTTTTCTGACCACAATAGTGTAAAACTATAAATCAGTAACAGGAGGAACCTCAGAAACCTTTTAAATACATAGAAACTAAACAACATAGCCCTGAAAAACAAATGGGTCAATGAATACATTAAAAGAGGAATTAGAAGGTTTTTTCTCTTCTTCCAAAGCCAATTGTTGCCATTGGCATTAGAACCCTAGAGTAGAACCCTTTGGTTTTTCAGGGTTTACAAGCAGTATGAGGCTGGGTGCCACAGCTGCCCCATCCATGATAAATCCCTAATGGTTAGGAAAATACCTGTATACTTTAGTGCAGCAGTCCCCAGCCGTTTTGGCACCAGGGACCTGTTTCATGGAAGATAATTTTTCCATAGACCAGGGGTGTGGGTGGGGGAATGGTTTCAGGATGAAACTCTTCTACGTCAGATCATCACTATTAGGCTCTCATGAGGAGTGTGTCACCCAGATCACTTGCATGTACAGTTCACAATAGGGCTCACACTCCTGTGAGAGAATCTAATGTTGCCACTTATCTGACAGTAGGCAGTAATTACTGAGCATTACTGTAATGCTTGTTTGCCTGTTGCTCACCTCCTGCTGTGTGGCCTGGTTCTTAACAGGCCATGGACAAGTACCAGTCCATGGCCTAAGGTATGGGGACCCCTGCCTTAGTGGATCCTCAAAAAAATTTCTGGAATAAATAAAATGAAATAGGGGAGAGCAGACAATAATTATCATGCTATTTTCATGAGAGCTGAAGACAGTAATGCAGAAGTCAGAAAGGAAAATCCATGTGAGGGGAAAGGTCGATGCCACTTCTCTCCAGCCTTGCCTTTTCCTCACTTTCATTCCAAGGGATTTAGATAATTAGAAGATTGACAGCTTTCTTTCCCAAAGATGTGTTATTATCTTCTCTAGGGTTGAAATAAAGGGTGATACAAAGCCTGGGTTATGTTCTCAACCTTCCAAACTCTAGTTTTGTTGACCTTCTGATCTCTAGATTTACTGTCTCTGGTACATTTTCCAAACTGAACACAGATTATGACTCTTGAAAATGTGTGACTTACTCCAGTACAACTTTTGTTCATATCTGTACACTTATACCCAGTGTCTCACACAGTGCCTCTTACCTAGCAAGCCCTACAAATATTGTGATTGTGTATATGTGAAGGAATGAATGAATGAAGAGAGAAATTAATAAAACGTCATGCCAGCATTTGCAGGGTGACTTTGCACCTTAAATATATATTATCTTGATAAAACATAAATTTTGTGTTTTTAACATTATTTTTAACTATACATTTGGATCTTAATTATTTATCTGCCAGTCAGGGGAAATGCATTTGCTCTGGTTCACATAAGCAAACCCAATGTGTCTGTAAAGAGCTTTTCATTCATCATGCCAAAGTTCTTAGGTCCACACATCTCTAAAACGTTTTTGAATATAATAATTGTTTTGTTTATTCTACCTCCCAGGTAGAATAAAGACAACTTGACATTTGCATTACAAGGCACCTTCTTTTTAAGGCTGAAAGACCGTTAATGGTTCTATGTTCTTGGACACGTAAGATCTTTTGTATGACTATCACCTCTATATTAGAAGAGTTGGACTACAAACTTATAAAAATCCTCTAGCCCTAGACAAACAATATTGTGGCTGAGCCATTCTGAAAGGGAAAACAAAGTAATCTAAAAAGGTATTATGGTAAAATACCAATTTGTAAAAGTACTAGGTGTTTTATTTATAAACAAAGCCTGTCAATTAATGGGAGAAAAAAGGCTGAAGGCCCTCCCTGTCTGTGCTTTGTTATCTATTATTAGTTTTTCTGTTGGAAAGAAGTGAGGATATGGAGTTTAACATAAAAAAAACTAATAAGTATTTCAGCTGTCTGGGTATTTTGAGCTGAAGACATCTGTATTTTTAATTAGTCCTTTCATAAGTGTGATTATGGAATGTCATGTGATCACCCTTGAAATGAACACCTGGAACCTTACAACGATCACAGCAATTCAGTGTTCCAGGGTTTGGGCAGCATACACAGGGAAGTCCTGGCAATTGCATTAACAGTGTTATCAAGACAACTCCAGGCTCCAATGATTTTCCTGTCTGTAAATTAAATAATAATATGAAAACAAAATCCACTAGGTCCAACAGGAAAGCACAAATATAACAGTGAGAATTTCCTGTCATGGGGCATTTGAAATCTGGGTCATCAAAAAGCCTATTGAATGGAGCCTGATGAGGTCCTCAGCCTCAGAGAATGGATCAAGTGGCCCTGTAGAGTTTCTTCCAGTTTTTACAGGGCGAGGAATGCAAGGTCCTATGGAAGCCAAAACTAAGCCTGAGGAGGGGGCAGAAGGCATCAATCTTATTGTTAGGGAAGACCCTTTGGAATCTCTGACTTCTAAATTCTCATGAAGAAAGAATCATTGCTGGTAGTTGATATAATTAAATACTTCTTGGTTTTACCCTAGGGATTCATCATGAGAAATTATACATTTTCATTTTCAGTATATGAAGGGCAGTGACTATAAAAATGCAAGTCCTCCATTTGGCTGGGGTCTGCATTGCCTCTCACCCTCTTCTCCATGGTCAGAGCTGCAGCAACTTGCCAGGACAGCAGGAATCACTGTCCTAAGTGCATAGGCTAGAGATGCACGTTCAGGTTCCTGCGGATTATGCCAGCCTGGTGGGAAGAGAGGAGCATGACCTAGATACAGCCTTTAATGATCTCAAATCCCTAAGGTTCCTGGTGAACCTTTGGTGGCAAAGGCCCAGAATGCTGATTGTCTTCAGTGTATTCGTTTCCTTACATGAAGGATTCTCTATTCTCCAACAGCTGTCCCTTGACATTTCTTATTAATGGTGATTAATAAAGTCTATGCAAACTGACATTAGATAAAGTCTCCATTTCTGGCCACCTTCCCACTTCAGGGTGTGTAGCTTGATATCAATGTGATTTGGGTCTCCATGACAGCGTTGGGAAATGTTGCTAATGCTGATCAAACCTAATCAAGGACTATGTAGATAACTTATTCACTTCCCCACATAACTTTTGGGATATGTTTAAAATTCAAGTAGGAAAAGCACAGTAGAGGCTGGGTGCAGTGGCTCAAGCCTGTAATCCCAGCACTTTGGGAGGCCACGGCGGGTGGATCACTTGAGATCAGGAGTTTGAGACCAGCCTGGCCAACATGGTGAAACCCTGTCTCTACTAAAAAAATACAAAGATTAGTTGGGCTGTTGGTGGGTGCGTGTAATCCCAGATGCTCAGGAGGGTGAGGAAGGAGTATCACTTGAACCCAGGAGGCAAAGCTTGCAGTGAATTGACACCATGCCACTGCACTCCAGCCTGGGCGACAGAGCAAGACACTGTCTCAACAACAACAACAACAACAGCAGCACAATAGAAGATTTTTTTTTAGACAACTGATGTGTTTGTTCTCAACAAACTTAAATTTAAAAAGCTCTTTGTATATATGGTGACTCTATATATACTCTTGTATACATGGCACATTTATAAAAACCTAGACAATGATGTAGCCCAGAATGTACATAATAAGCTCCGGTTATTTTCTACCAAATACATCACATTTTGGCAAAATTAAAGGAGAGCTTTGGAGGTTTTCAAACCATTCCTACTCAAAAACCTGGCAGCATATTTCAGGAAATAAGTGCAAGAAAATTCTGAGAACCCCATATATGTCTCCAAATTTAGAGGGATGTTACTGGAGATATGGGAATAGGGTTAGAAAGTCAAAAGAACATCCCTTAGAGGACTTTGTTCCAGTCTGTGATTTTCATGGATTCATGGCTTCACTTCACCCATAGGAGATGGGTTCTTCTTACCTGAGTTAGGACAAGAGAGTGGTATCTGAGGGATAACACCCACTTGCTGGAGCTTGACCCTGACAGAAGTGAGAGGTTCTGGAAAGATTCTTCTTTATTAGTATCCAGACACACATACAATTACCACCTTTCTCTTCCAGACACACAAAATGCAAGATTCCCTTGGAGAATCTGGGTTGATGAATATAGCTTGTACTGTATTCTTTCTTCATTTTTGCTAAAAGTCACCTTAGTCAATCAGCTCCCAAGAGGCACCCCTGGCATTATCATTATGTGGGTTCACTGAAGGATGAAAAGACCTGGGAACTAGAGAAGGATGGAAGATCCCTGTACCTGCCATGACTCTGCTTATTACCAGGAGCCAGAATGCAGGGGGGAAAGGGCTTCTGAGGGTCCTGACCTATAACTAATAGTCATCTTCCCCATTCATAAAGCATGGTCTCATAAATCAAATTATTGTCTCCTCAATACTTATGGCAGAGCTGGTGACAGGGGTATAGCCAGAGGTAGAGAAACAGGAAGAGAAATGTTCTCTGTCTCTTATCCTCGTAGGTAATAATGTCAGGAGAGAAGGCTAAAAATCCCTCACCCCTTCTCTAAACATTGCAAAAATATTTGTTAAAGGAAATACTTCATGCCCTTTCCTATGAAGGGATAGAACTTTTTCTTAGAGTTGTAAAAAGGTACTTTATAGGATGAAGCTACCTTGTGACACAGTATTTGCATATTTTAATTTTATTAATGATTGTTTTAGCAAGAAAATGTTTAACTCTTTAATACATAATAAAACCAGCCAATTTATTTTCTTTTGTTTTCTGTCTTTTGTGACATATTTAGGGAGATTAATTATGCATAGACTCTAGAAATGCTTTTCTAGAACATTTTTACAGAGTTTAAGGAGTCTGAAGGTCAGACTCTCAAGGTCACACATTAGTAGTAAGTATCAGAGTTGAAATTGTGATGCAAGCCTGTATTAGCACAGTCTTAGATTCTGTGTGTTAAACCATGCTGCCTCTCATTTACAATTAAGAGGATCATTTATTCATTCATTCATCTTTCCATTTGGAAAGACGATTTTTCCTCCAGAGGACCCACCCTCCCTATAAGGCAATGGGTGCTATGTTCACACCAGGTTATCCTGATCTGAAATAACCTTAACTATAAATCAAACTTGTGTCTTCTAGGGGGCGGTACGTACATTTTATAAAATAAAAAGTTCATGCTTTCAGTTAAAGTTTCTACCCAATAGTCACTCAAAATTCAGCCTCTGATGAGAATACCAGCATTTTTCATTTTAAGTAACTGAAGAAATATAATGTGAAATACAGAAACTCCTTAAAAGTGAAAACCAACTGATAAAACTTTCAGCCTGACAATCATGTGATCACATTAGAAGTCACAGGTCAATGGGGTTTTCTAGATATACAATCATGTCATCTGCAAACAGGGACAATTTGACTTCCTCTTTTCCTAATTGAATACCGTTTATTTCCTTCTCCTGCCTAATTGCCCCGGCCAGAACTTCCAACGCTATGTTGAATAGGAGTGGTGAGAGAAACCCCATTGTCTCAGCCCAAAATCTCCTTAAGCTGATAAGCAACTTCAGCAAAGTCTCAGGATACAAAATCAATGTACCAAAATCACAAGCATTCTTATACACCAACAACAGACAAACAGAGAGCCAAATCATGAGTGAACTCCCATTCACAATTGCTTCAAAGAGAATAAAATACCTAGGAATCCAACTTACAAGGGATGTGAAGGACCTCTTCAAGGAGAACTACAAACCACTGCTCAAGGAAATAAAAGAGGATACAAACAAATGGAAGAACATTCCATGCTCATGGGTAGGAAGACTCAATATCGTGAAAATGGCCATACTGCCCAAGGTAATTTACAGATTCAATGCCATCCCCATCAAGCTACCAATGACTTTCTTCACAGAATTGGAAAAAACTACTTTAAAGTTCATATGGAACCAAAAAAGAGCCCGCATCGCCAAGTCCATCCTAAGCCAAAAGAACAAAGCTGGAGGCATCACACTACCTGACTTCAAACTATACTACAAGGCTACAGTAATCAAAACAGCATGGTACTGGTACCAAAACAGAGATATAGATCAATGGAACAGAACAGAGCCCTCAGAAATAACGCCGCATATCTACAACTATCTGATCTTTGACAAACCTGAGAAAAACAAGCAATGGGGAAAAGAGTCCCTATTTAATAAATGGTGCTGGGAAAACTGGCTAGCCATATGTAGAAAGCTGAAACTGGATCCTTTCCTTACACCTTATACAAAAATCAATTCAAGATGGATTAAAGACTTAAACATTAGACCTAAAACCATAAAAACCCTAGAAGAAAATCTAGGCATTACCATTCAGGACATAGGCATGGGCAAGGACTTCATGTCTAAAACACCAAAAGCAATGGCAACAAAAGACAAAATTGACAAATGGGATCTAATTTAACTAAAGAGCTTCTGCACAGCAAAAGAAACTACCATCAGAGTAAACAGGCAACCTACAAAATGGGAGAAAATTTTTGCAACCTACTCATCTGACAAAGGGCTAATATCCAGAATCTACAATGAACTCAAACAAATTTACAAGAAAAAAACAAACAACCCCATCAAAAAGTGGGCGAAGGACATGAACAGACACTTCTCAAAAGAAGACATTTATGCAGCCAAAAAACACATGAAAAAATGCTCACCATCACTGGCCATCAGAGAAATGCAAATCAAAACCACAATGAGATACCATCTCACACCAGTTAGAATGGCAATCATTAAAAAGTCAGGAAACAACAGGTGCTGGAGAGGATGTGGAGAAATAGGAACACTTTTACACTGTTGGTGGGACTGTAAACTAGTTCAACCATTGTGGAAGTCAGTGTGGCGATTCCTCAGGGATCTAGAACTAGAAATACCGTTTGACCCAGCCATCCCACTACTGGGTATATACCCAAAGGACTATAAATCATGCTGCTATAAAGACACATGCACACGTATGTTTATTGCGGCATTATTCACAATAGCAAAGACTTGGAACCAACCCAAATGTCCAACAATGATAGACTGGATTAAGAAAATGTGGCACATATACACCATGGAATACTATGCAGCCATAAAAAATGATGAGTTCATGTCCTTTGTAGGGACATGGATGAAATTGGAAATCATCATTCTCAGTAAACTATCGCAAGAACAAAAAACCAAACACCGCATATTCTCACTCATAGGTGGGAATTGAACAATGAGATCACATGGACACAGGAAGGGGAATATCACACTCTGGGGACTGTGGTGGGGTGGGGGGAGGGGGGAGGGATAGCATTGGGAGATATACCTAATGCTAGATGACGAGTTAGTGGGTGCAGTGCACCAGCATGGCACATGTATACATATGTAACTAACCGGCACAATGTGCACATGTACCCTAAAACTTATAGTATAATAAAAAAAATCATAAAAAAAAATAAGTCACAGGTCAATTTCATTTAAAATGCATGTTCTTGCAAGATAACATCATAAAAGAATTATTTATTTGTGTATACTTAACAAATATTTTTACAATAACAAAAAAATAAATTCACAGTTAAACATTCAATAGAGATACCCAGCTATTCTGTATTCAGTTTCAGAATAATATAACAGAAGAATTGATGCTTGGTATCATCTACTGACTGCTTCTTTTCACTTTGCATTTATGTGTCTGCACATGTATAACATCTTCTCTGAAGAAGCAATAAATGATAGAGATTATTTGTACAAGGTATATGGCCAACAAGCCCCCAAAGTGACAAGAACGTAGGTAGTGCCACAATTATAAATTTTTATTAGGAATAAATTCATGAAAGTCCAGGGAGAAAGAGAATGTGAGAGCTGCTCAAGACAGAAAGGAAAAGGAGACCAAAATTGAATAGATCCAAAACAAGTGCAGCATTGGCTGAAGTTTGCTTTAGAAAAAACAATTCAGTTTTTTCATAATAATATTTTTGTCTTGCATAAATAACCTTCTTTCTGAAATGTATCCATGACTTTCCTCTTTGAAATGAATTGAGGGAGTTTTTTGAAAGATTAGTTTAATATATGGGAAGCTCCTGGCATAAAACTGCAGGAGGCTGACCACTAATTCAGGATCTGGGGTGTCTGGGCTGGAAAGGACCTGCGTGAGCATAGAATTCAAGCATTTTAGGTTTTAACTCTTATCAGAACATTGCCCTCATTTATGGGTGGCCTGGGACTGTATTTTGGCTTTATCAGAAAGAAAACTGCTTTTGATTAGTAATGTCTGCTATAGGCATAGAAATCACAAGTGACAGTATATGTGATACATATTTGATGTCCCTGATTTAGCCCCAGCCTGTCATTATACAGATGAAGAAACTGAGGCTCAAAGCTTTCGGACTCATCCCAGCTTTCACAGAGGCAAAATCATGACAAAAGCCCAGTTTCCTAGTTATGCAGTGACAGTTTTAGAACTGAATCCCAGGCATCCTCATTCCCAGTCCTACATGCTCTCATTCCTCTCCACTCACTTTTCCATATCAAATATTCAATTAAAATTATGATATTCTTTTTCTAATGAAAACACATTACCAATTTTATAATGTAAGTCAATGGAAAACAAAATACAGTCACACTTTACTGTACAGCAAGGAGCATCTCCAGGTGCTAGCCTTAAAATAGAGATAGTGAAAATTATATCTTGTTCTAAACATCTCCCACTTTGAAAATGGGGTGTGGGGGCAGATAAAGGACAAAAGTCATCTCTATAGTCTGCAACAGAAGGTATTGATTTGGCAGGGCCAAGAGCATGTCAATGTTATATATGGCAGTGAACCGGATTGGTGCACAGCAGATAGTATTGTTCAATAGTAATAAATAATAATTATGTATAGGGATTGTCTCACTGATGCTCTATTCTACTGCCTCCACTAATAACCAGAATCTGATTCTTCCAGAGACCTCCCCTCACTCTTATTCTAACAAGGCAGTAATTCATTCTAGGCCCATGGAAGGTACATACATCTCTCCTAAATGTGCCTTTCATACAGGCACATAAGATGATCGTAAGTTTAATTAAAGGTCATGACAGCATCTTGGTTTCTGGTGCCTCTTAACTCTGTATTGTTGCTACTGACCTACGCTGACACCAAGTGTTCAGGTATAAGAACCCATGGGTTTCCACATCTGTGTTCTGGTCCCATATCTCACTAGGAGGAAAGTGTTTTTGTTTTTGGGTTTGTTGTTGTTTTCTTTTGTTTTTGATTGTTTTTTTGTTTGTTTTTGAGACTGAGTTTTGCTCTTGTTGTCCAGGCTGGAGTGCAATGGCACAGTCTTGGCTCACTGCAACCTCTGCCTCCCGGGTTCAAGCAATTCTCCTGCCTCAGCCTCCCAAGTAGCTGGGATTACAGGCGCCTACCATCATGCCGGGCTAATTTTTGTACTTTTAGTAGAAATGGGGTTTCACCATGTTGGCAAGGCTGGTCTCGAACTCCTGACCTCAGGTAATCCCTCCCAAAGTGCTGGGATTACCAGCGTAAGCCACCACACCTAGCCAAGAAAGATTCTTAGTAAGTTTTATTCATGAACTTTGGGTAGAGGCTTAAATTACTTTCCAGGTTTCATGTTTTTATTGAGGAACACCAGCTCCAAATTCTCTCAAAATGTTTTAAACAACTGTAAAAGCCACACGAGAGCTAAATGGGGACATCTCAGTTAAAAATTCTCCTGAGCATGTATGACTATGCTCATAGTATGACGATCATGGGCCAGCTCTCAGGTAATTTAACACCTGGGTCACTCCCTCTTTAACAATGAAGACTGCTAGAGTTTCATGGGTAATATCGAACATAACACACCTGTAATAGAGCACAGCTTTTTAATCAGATGTGTGCCTAACATTTTAAGCAGCATCAAAAATACAGACTTTCATATAAATACAAAGAAGTTTTTATGTCCAATGGGCTTAGCTTTGAGTCCTGTCTATGGTATTTGTTAGATTTACGACTTTCAAGTCATTTATTTTTCTACACCTGTAAATAAGGATTATGACAGTTATCTTACAGGGTTGTTATAAATAAAATAAGAATACATAACTTTATGGAGCTTATAACTAAGTCTTAAGCAAAAATGCTAAATGATTTAAAAATTTCTTTAATTACATGTAAATTGTATTAAGATGAATATGACTGGTAATTGTTTAAAATGCGGCATTATCATGACATTGTAAAATGTACTATAGTTTGCCAAGGTGCAAACTTTGAAACTGAACTTTCATAGCATCTATATTTCCTACATCTTACAAAAAGTCAAAACAACCAAAGAACTACATCCAGAAAAGGTGTGGTTGGTAAATGGAGGTATATCCTTTGCTAGTCTGAAAATGCTTGCCCTAAGGGAATATCTGCTTTCTCATGAGGCAAGTGCAGTTGTCTAATCTAACTTCAAAATCATCCTTCACCCCTGAAAAAACAGCCTTGCATGGATGAGGCCAGCAACAGAGCATTTAGGAGCTTGAGGATGGGGTGCAGGGGGTGGGGAAGGGAGGAGGAAAGGGAGAGCAGGCAGGAGACAGGGAGTCAGCAGATCAATAAAACCACTTTAGGATAATGGCTGCAGCTGAAGAGGAGGAGCGGGCTGGACTGCAGGCGATCTCCATCACTGCCAGGAAAGGCCCATTTGCAGGAACAAAGGGCCTCATCTGTCCTGTCAGGACCAAGAACTCACTCATCAACTGCAACTGCAGGACGCCCCCCTCTGCCCCACCAACCCCCGCCCCCAGGGTCAGGCTCCCCTCTGGCTTTGCCTTACTCCAGCCTCACCTCTCTTCCCTAGAGCTGTGGGAACTCTAGGCAAAAACTGAGTCATTGACACAGGGGAGAGACCACTGGAGGTGGGGGGGGCCGATGTCCCTGGACTAGCAAGGCCAGCGTGGTGTAATGGACAGGAGAATGAATGGAAAGCTACAGACAGGAAAGAGAACCCCCTCTTTAGCCAATGGCTGCAAACTCCTCCTCCACTCAACCTTCTGACAGAGCTACTTTTAAAAAGTGGAAAATAGGCTGATTTGTTCTTCAGTCTTTGTTCCTTTCCCAAGTTCCTCTGTGGAGTGTGTGCCAGAAAGGAAAACCAGCTCCATCTGCCCAGGGAAAAAGAGAAAAGGCAGGGCCAGGGGTCTGGCCACTCCATGCACTGGAGACAATGACATCCAGGCAACAATGTGCCAAGATTTTAAGATAAAATGACTAAATAAATAGCTAGTAGCTCTGAATCACCTATGATGAGCCAGGCATAGGGGTTGGATACCATCATTATCAGCACAATTTTATAAAGAAACTGAGCACAGGGGGTTACAGGATTTGTCTGAGGTCATGTAATTCACAAGAGGCAGAGGTAGGGGTCAAGACTAACCACATCTCCCCAACGTTATAGCTCATGCTCCAAACCATCACCCTCATCAGTTATAGTGGGTTTGTGTGCTTGGCAAATAATGTGTTTGCTGGCTCTTAAAATGTGGCCAATGGGTATGTCTTCCCAGGAGCTCTGTTGGCATGAACTTCATGGCTGTAATGCAGATTTCTGGAAAAGATGTCATTGATCTGGAAGTCAATGATTTCCTTGTGGAATTCATGCCCTGGCCCCAGACATGTTGGGGAGACATCATAGGTGATAAGCATAAGAATGCTAATATTATAAATTGTTAATTAAGCATCTATTAAAAGCTGGGTACTTTACACCAGGAAACAGATTAGAAGAAAGGCATTCTTGGAAGAACGAAATCTCTAATGGTTGTTGAAATGCAGACATTTCTGGCTTCTTCTTAGGTTATGAAAAGAGGATTGCTCCCAGTTTACAAACCAAAAAAAAAAATTGGATACTTTACATAATTATGATTTTTTCCTGAATATATCAAAGATCTGGGGTCACAGAGCAATCAACTAGTTTGAAATTTCAGGTGCCTCCAAGGAGAGATAAAACATGTCATTTTTTTTTTCTGGGACAGAGCATGTGAGGAAAACAGGGCTGCCATACAAGCGGGGTAAGAAGCTAATTTTTTTCAACAAATTGCTAAAATTTTTAACAAGTAACTGCTCAAAACTGAGAACTAGTATGAGAGTACAGAAAACTGGTATATATGAGCAGTATACATGAAGGCAGTTTGCACTGACTCATGGGGTATTTTGCAAAGGCCTTACTGCATGTTAACAGGAAAGAATGAGGCAGGCAGGATACTCCAGAAACCATCCTTTGTAGCACAGGCCTTGCCAGTAAAGGAAGGATCCACTGTTGTCAGAAAGAAAATAAATTCCACCCAGATCTTCCACCTTGCATTCCTGTGCTAAAGCTGCTTTTACAAAGGACCACAGACTGGGTGACTTAACAGAATGTTTTTCCTCACAGTTCTGGAAGCTAAAAGATCAAGCTGACAGCAGGGTTGTTTCCCTCTGAGAGATGTAAGGGAAATGCCTGCTACAGGCTTCTCTCCTTGACTTGTAGATTATCTTCTTCTCCCTGTGTCTTCAGATTGTCTTCTTTTTTGTCTATGTCTGTGTTAAAATTTCTTCTTCTTATAAGGTACTGGTCATTTCAGATTAGGACCCACACTAATGACCTCATTTTAACTTGATTGCCTCTGTAAAAACCCTATCTTCAAATCAATTCACATTTTGAAGTACTGGGGGTTCGGATTTCAATGTATGGATTTTTAAGCATTCAAGCCCTTCACTTTCCAGAGGGTGGAGTATCTATGTGAATTATTTGGGATTCTTCTACATGAGAGATTTGTCTATTCTCCTGCATTTATTTACTCAATAATTTACTCAACCACGTATTCATATCAGTATAGACTCAGATACTTATTTTATACTTTGGGTTAGAATCTAATACAACTTCTTTTTTTCTCAATTTGCTTTAGCATTGACCATTGGTAGCTCTTTCAGTTAGCTTCTGTGTTTTGTCTTGTTGTTTATTTGTTTTTTGTGTTTGTTTGTTTGTTTGTTGCATACTCCCATCAATGTGGGGTTTGTTTGCTTGTTCGTTGAGTACTTCCAGTTTCTGGCATTACAAGTTGCTCCAGGCTCATCTTGTATATTCCCTGTCTCAGTTCTAGAATCAGCCATTTTTCCAAAGAATTTTGGTGTTTTTTTTTTAGGGCAGAGAGCAGGGAATGGTATTAGAAATCAAGATTTAGGTGCTTGGGAGCTCATTGCCACTGAGGTGTTACTTTTCTTAGGCTCTATCAGCTGACAGAGAAAAAGGTGTAGGGGTGTGTGTGTGTGTGTAAATGGTGTATATACACGTATCTATGAATAATTTATATATATAAAATCATCTATTCTATATTACTGTTGTTTCTAATGCTAATCCATTATCACATAGATTATTCTAGCCTCCTTCCCTTTCTAATCTGTAAATTTCCACTCCAACAGTCAGAAACCTGGCTCCATCATCTTCCACTTATTACTTACTAGTTCCACTATTAAGTATAGCAGTATTAAGATGTATGGCAGTACTAGAATTGCTAAGACATACCCGTGTGGGAAAGACCTCTATGAACTAGAGTACAATGCTTATGTGCAGCTACATTTGCCGTTAGTCTTACCAACTCCACTCATTTCTAAAGTTACAAAAATGAATAATTTATCAGCCTCCTGCTTTTGTAGTACAGTTAGATTCTCTAGCCATAGTCTGCATTTCTTTGTGGAATCCTCCAACTTACTAAATAATTTTTAAATTGCATATATTAAGGTTCTTTCTTTGTGCTGTAAAATTCTATCAATTTTGAAAACAGGCCTTATTGCAGGATTATAAATAATAATTTCTTTGCCCTAAAATTTTCCTATGCTTCACATATTTATTTCTCCCTTTTCCTTGATCCCTTTACAGCCTCTATAATCTTATATTTTCCAGAATGTTGTATAATTAGCATTATATACTATGTAGGCTTTTCAGACTGGCTACTTTTATCTAGCTGGGGGCCAAAAGAGTGGAGCTGGTGCCAACAGTCTCTGGAAGCCCAGAGCCTAGAGGATGGAGTTGCTTCCCCGGCTGCTAAGAAAAGAGCTCTACCTGCCCTCAGCCTATAGGACACAGAATAAAGTCAAAGAAAATGATTCTCCAACTTTACAGTCTAATAGATTTTTTTCTAATAGGCTTTGGACTTCCTTGAAACTTGTGACCCCTTTATTTCTTCCAATGTCTTCCTTTGAAATGGGAATGTCTATCATGTGTCTCTCTCACTACTGTATTTGAAATGAAATGGCTTGTTTTCCAGTTTCACAGGCCCACAGATAAAAAAGAATAGTGCCCCAGGATGGATCATACTCAGATCATACCAAATGTGGATGATTTTCATGGTGAGATTTGGAACATTTTTAGTTGAGAATATTTTATGAGATTTTGGACTTTGAATTGATGTTGAAATGGGTTAGGACTTTGGGAGATGTTGGGACAGGGTGAGTGTATTTTGCACATGAGAAGGACATGAATTTGGGGAGTCCTACTGTGAATTTCTTCAAAAAGATATGTTCAAGTCCTAGCCCTGGTACCTGTGGATGTCACCTTATTTGAAAATAGGTATTTTCAGATGTAATTAGTTAAGTTACGATGTGTTCACACTGGATTAGGATGAGCTGTACATCCAATTACTGGTACCTGTTATAAGAAAGCCAGGTGAAGAAACAGTCACACCAGAGAAGAGCATCATGTGAAGACTGGAGGCAAAAAATGGAGAGATGCATCTATAAATCAAGGAGTGTCAAGAATTGTTTGTAACCACAAGAAGCTAGGAAGAGTCAAAGAAGGAATCTTCTTTGAAGTGTTTGGAGAGAACACAGCACTGCCAACACCTTGATTTCAGGCTCCTAGCCTTCACAATAATAGGAAAACAAATTTCTGTTTTTTTTAGCCATGCAGTTTGTGGTAATTTGTTAAAGAAGCCCTAGAAACTAATATGCCTTATATCCTAAAACCTCACTATAATCATTTATCTGTTCCAGGAGTTTATTTGTCAAATCCTTTGGATTTTCTGTACAGACAACCATGTCATCTTCAAACCATTTTATGTTTTCATTTCCAATCTGCGGATACTTATTTCCTTTTCTTATCTTATTGCACTAGCTAGAATTTTGAGTATCACATTGAATAGGAATGGTGAGAAAGGATATCCTTGCCTACTTCTTGACTTCTTGAGAAATTGGAGGAAGCACCCAATTTTTCACCATTAAGTATAATATTGGCTTTAGCATTTTTGTAGATGCATTATGTCAAGGAAGTTCCCCTCAGTTATAGTGTGCTTGGAGTTTTTAATGTAAATCAGTGTTGAAAAAAGCAAAAGAATATAAATCAGTGGAAATAAAATTTTATTAAATTTTTACTGACTATATAAGAGCAGAAACTAATGCAATTGCAAACCAAAAACAATAAAGAAAATTAATTAAACCAAAAGCTGACTGTGCGAAAGTCAATAAAATCGATAAATTTCTGGCCAGAAGTTAAATAAAAACAAAAAAAGAGAAGATGCAAAAGACAAATATAAGGAATATAAAAGGGATATCAGTATAAATTCTACATATAAAATAATGTGGGAATATTAAAAACAACTTATGTCTATAAATAAATGAAATGGTAAAATTCGTTAAAAGATACAAACTACTAAAGTTCATTCCAGGAGAAATAGATAAACTGAATAGTCCTAAATCAATTGAAATAATTAATTAATAACTATAAATCTTCCAAGAAAGAAAACTTTAGGACCAGATGATTTCACTGGAAAATTCTATCAAACACTTAAAGAATAAATAATGCCAATTCCACAAATCTCTTTTAGAAAATAGAAGTGGAGATAACACTCCCCAATTCATTTTATGAGGCCAGCATTACCCTAATACTACCAAAGCCATACAAAAGCATTCTAAGAAAGGAAAATCACAGAAAAACATTTCTTGTGAACATACATTTAAAAATCCTCAAAAAAATTACACGTAGAATCTGGCAATATAAAAAGGAGATAATACAAAACAACCGAGTAAGGCTCATCACAGAAATGATGAAATTTATTATATGAACAGATTAAATAAGGAAAACAATATGAGTTTCTTAATATAAGCAGGAAAAAGTTTTCCACATATTCAAAATCTATAATTGATTTTTTTTAACTCAGCAAACTAAAACCAAATGGAAACCTTCTCAACATAATTTAGAGAGGCTACAAATACCTATAGTTTTTCCACTAAAATTAGGCAAAAGACAAGGATGCATGCTTTCTCCACTCCTATTCAAATTCACACTAGAGCACAAGAAAAAATAGAAACTATAAATTTTGGTAAGAAACAGATAAAACTGTCATATTTTCAGACAGTATGTTTGTCTACTCAGAAAATCCCAAATATGCTACATAAAACATACCAAAACTAATAAATGAGTTTAGCAAGTTTTCATGGTCAAATTAAATGTACAAAAATCAATTATGTTTCTGTATTGCAGCGATGAACATTTGGGAATTAAAATTAGAAATTAAAGTTGAAAAAAGAAAAAATGTCCCTAAAACATAAAAAATTGAGGTTAAAGCTGACAAAATATATACAAGATCTGTACACTGGAAACTACAAAATACTGACCAAAGAAGTCAAAGAATACCTATATAAATGAGACCTATTATGTTAATAGACTGGATGACTCAGTGGTATTAAGATGTCAATTGCCCATCTCACAATCTTTATATTCAGTACAATCTCAATCAAAATCACAGCAAGGTATTTTGTAAAAATTGACAAGATGATTCTAAAATTTACATGGTAATGCAAAGAGAATATAATAACCAAAATAATTTTAGAAAAAAGGTCAAAATTGCAGTACTCATACAGGCTAATTTTAAGACTTACTATAAAGCTACAATAACCAGGACATTGTATTATCAATGAAATAATATACTCATAAATTAATGGATCACAAGTAAGTCAGACCAAGACCCATACATATATTGACAATTGATGTTTTTAAACAAAGGTACAAAACTAACAAAATGAAAAAGGTAACGCACCCATGGAAAAATTGCATCATATCCAAAAATATATAAATTGTAATCCATACTTTGCACCACCGGCAAAAAATTAATTGAGAATATATTATAGATGTAAACCTAAAACCTCTACTCATAGAACTTCTAGGAAAAAAATAGGAGATAATCTTTGTGATATTGAGTTAGGCAAAGACATTTTAGATACAACACTAAAAGCACAGCCATTAAAAGGAAAAAATGATAAATAGGACTTTAATTAAAAATAAGAACTTCTGCTCTTCATAAGACCCTGTTACAATAATGAAAAACAAGCCACAAAATAGGAGAAGATACTTTCAAACACATTAATCTAATAAGGTACTTGTATCCAGAATATATAAAGAACTCTTTAAAAAGATAACAAATTTTTAAGTGAGCAAAAGATTTAGGCTGATATTTAACCAACGATGATATGCAAATGGCAAGTAAGTGTGCAATGATGCTCTATATTATTAATCATTAGGATAATGCAAATTAAAACCATAATGAGATACCACTACATACCTCTGAGAATATGGAGGCAGGAGAAGAAAGACAATACTAAATCTTGGCAAAGATACAGTTACTAGAACTTACGTTTTGATTACTGGGATGAGAAATTATATGCCTGCTTTGGAAAATATTTGGATATTTTCCTGTAAATTAAACTACATGCTTACCTTACAACCAATTAACTACACAAATGAAGTGAAAACATAAAAGTGTTAGGCCATTTTTGCATTACTACAATATAAAGAAATACGAGAGACTGAGTAATTTATTTAAAAAAAGAGGTTTAATTGGCTCACAGTTTTGTAGGCTTTACAGGAAGCATAGCGCTGGCATCTGCTCAATTTCTTGGAAGGCCTCAGGAAACTTACAGTTGTGGCAAAAGATGATGAGGGAGCACGCAAGTCACATGAAAAAAGCAGGAGCAAGTGGGGGGTGGGGGAGAGAGAGAGAGAGACAGGGGAGGGGCCACACATTTGAAATTATTCGATCTCATGAGAACTCACTATCACAAAGACAGCACCAAACCATGAGGGACCTTCCCCCATTATCCAAACATCTCCCACCAGGCCCCACCATCACTAGGATTATAATTCCATAATGAGATTTGGGTGGTAACAAATATTCACATTATATTATTCCATCCCTGGCCCCTCCCAAATCTCATGTCCTTCTTACATTGCAAAGTATAATTATGCCTTCTCAACAGTCCTCCAAAGTCTTAACTCATTCCAGCATTAACTCAAAAGTCCAAAGTCTCATTTGAGATGAGGCAAGTCCTTTCCATCTATGAACCTCTAAAATCAAAAACAAGTTATTTGACTCCTAGGATATTTTATCATGCAAGTATAATCACTAGGTAAATATTCCCATTCCAAAAGGGAGACATAGGTCAAAAAGAAAGGGGCTACAGGCCCCACACAAGTTCAAAATCCAACAGGGCAATCATTAAATCTTAAAGTTCCAAAATAAGCTCTTTGACTACATTTCCCACATGCACAGCACAGAGGTACAAGGGGTGCATTCCCAAAGCCCTGGACAGCTCCACTCCGGTTGACTGCTCTCACGGGTTGCTTAGTGCCTGCAGCTTTTTCATGTGTAGGGTGCAAGCTACCAGTGTATCTACCATTCTGGGGTCTGGAGGTCAGTGACTCCCTTCCCACAGCTCCACCAGGCAGTGCCCCAGTGGGGACTTTGTGTGGGGGTTCTAACCCTACATTTCCCCCTCCACACTGCCCTGGTAGAGGTTTTTTGCGAGGTTTTCTGTAGTAGGCTTTTGCCTGGGCACTCAGGCTTTCCCATACATCCTCTGAAATCTAGGCAGAAGTTCCCAAGCCTCACTCATTCTTGCACTCTGTGCACTCATAGGCTTAACGACACATGGGAGCTTCCAGGCTTTTGGCTTGTGCCTTCTGAAACAGTGGCCAGAGCAGTACCAGGGGTCCTCTGAGACAAGGCTGGAGCTAGAACAGCCTGGATGTGGGGAACAATGTCCCAAGGCTGCACAGGGCAGCAGGGCCCTGGACCAAACCCATGAAACCCTTCTTCCTTCCAAGAGGCCTCTCTGCCTGTGTTGGGAATGGCTTCACTGAAGGTCTCTGAAATGCCTTCAGTGTCTTTTTCCCTTGTCTTGGCTATCCATACTTGGCTCCCTGTTAGTTATGGAAATTTATCTACCAAGTGGTTGCTCCACAGCCTGCTTGAATTCCTCTCCTGAAAAATCTTTTTCTTTCTCTGCCACATGTCCAGGCTTCAAATCTTCCAAACTTTTGTGCTCTGCTTCCCTTTTAAGTTCCAACTTTAGATCATTCATTCACTCCCACATATGAGCATAAGTTGTTAGAAGCAGCCAGGTCAAGTCTTGAACACTTTGCTACTTAGAAATTTCTTCTGCCAGATAACCTAACTCACCAATATAAAGTTCAAACTTACAAAGATTCCTAGAGCAAGGGCACTTTATAGCCAAGTTATTTGCTATGGCATAACACGTGACATTTGCTCTAGTCCCCAGTAAGTTCCTCATTTCCATCTGAGACCTCATCAGCCTGGACTCCACTGTCCATATCACTTTCAGCATTTTGGTCACAATCATTTAACGAGTCTCTAAGAAGTTCCAAACTTTCTCTCATCTTCATGTCTTCTGAGCTCTCCAAACTCTTCCAACCTCTGCCTGTTATCCAGTTCCAAAGTTGTTTTCACCTTTTCAAGTATCCTTATAGCAATGATATCCCTGGGTAAGCCCTGGAGATGCTGAGCAGGTGGCAGCCATATGTAGGTGATGCCAGTAGCAATTCCCTCCCTTATCTTCCCAAAGATGAATTCTCAGTCTCTGCAACTAAGTACTGCTTATGGCTAAAGAGGCTTTCAAATGATGTTGGCAAATATCCATCACTTAGGATCTGATCCTTTTCTCTAAGAAACTGGAATATCAGTGGTTTTTATCCTAGGGACTGTGGCTTGAAGGATGATGTAAAACTCCAAAATGACCAGCATTTTTCTCATATGTCTTGCTGTTTGTATATTTTGGGGGGATGGGTAGTGGGTGGATATAGGGTCTTTCTTTCCTTTCTCAATGAGGTCTACGGCAAAGGCTGCTAAGCATTCCTGAAATCTAGCTCCCTTTCTTCTTAGGCACACGGGTAGATTACATCCCTCACCTTCCTTAGCAATTAGGTGCTTCCAGTTCTCGTTAATAAAATTTAGGCCATTAATGCAGATCTCTTTCAGCTTAGCCTATAAAACTCCTATGAGGTTATCTATCCTTCTCTTTCTTCATCTGGTGGGTGAATATTCACACACAGAGCACCCTTGGAATCCACATCCTAAAAATCATAAAATCCCATGGCAGCCTGGGATGCTTAGTAACTAGATGCAGACCTCTTCACCAATTTAACTTGATGTGGATGGGACATATACATATACCATGATAGAACACAGATAATGTATCTGTTAACACTAGCCAGCATTACCATAAATATAGGTTCAAAGACCCAAAAGAGGTAAGAATAAGTGCTAGGTTTTTACACCCCTTCAAAGCTCATGGTCATGCCATACCCAGCCATGACCAGGTTCCCTAAATGTCGAAACCAGCTTGGTTAGGGATACCCTAACTCAGCGGCACTAGAGGAATTAAAGACACACACACAGAAATACAGAGGTGTGAACTGGGAGATCAGGGGTCTCACAGCCTTCAGAGCTGAGAGCCCCGAACAGAGATTTACCCACATATTTATTAACAGCAAGCCAGTCATTAGCATTGTTTCTATAGATATTAAATTAACTAAAAGTATCCTTTATGGGAAATGAAGGGATGGGCCGAATTAAAGGAACAGGTTGGGCTAGTTAACTGCAGCAGGAGCATGTCCTTAAGGCACAGATCACTCATGCTATTGTTTGTGGCTTAAGAATGCCTTTAAGCAGTTTTCTGCCCTGGGCGGGCCAGGTGTTCCTTGCCCTCATTGTGAGGTAAACCCACAACCTTCCAGCATAAGCTTTATGGCCATCATGAACATGTCACAGTGCTGCAGAGATTTTGTTTATGGCCAGTTTTGGGGCCAGTTTATGGCCAGATTTTGGGGGGCTTGCTCCCAACATGTCCCCCTTATTTGATTTGCAAATCAATAAAAGCAAGGGCAGCTTTGTCATGGTGAGCTACTTCTTGCAGGAGTCAGGATCCACATCTGCAGACTACATAAAGACAAACAACATAGATTAAAAGCACAATCATCATTGAAATCACAGAGCTTCCAAGTGTTTTTATTGGGTTACTGGCTGCTAATCTGTCTGCAGCTCCTTTAAGGACTCCAGTTCCTGGCATTAAGGTCAGGTGTGCCTGGGATACTTTAAATATTTGTTCTTTAATTTTGCAATATCCAAAGACAAGTTTGTAGAGTGTCCTTCTAGATGCTTTTTTATTCTTTTCCAAATTTTGATCTCATTAAGTGCATTTAATAGTTTCCACAAATCCTTATGTTAAGCTCCTAGAGTGGGCCATATCATTTGAGGTTGAGGTGCCACTATACCGACATGGTTCCAGATAATAGGAACTCTTGCCATACTTCTATTATTTCTACCATCTGACCGTTTTGTTCAGATTATCTGAACATAGCATGACCGTGGGACGCGGACTGAGAGGAGCAATTCAAGCTAAACATCCCCTTAGGGGACCAGTTAATAATGATTCCATAGGAATTGTTGTGCAGCACCTCTGCCTGTTCTGCAATGCAATCTTCCTAAACAAGTACGTTCATTTTTTCTAACTGGGTCCAATCCTGTTTACAAATAGGTTTTTGAGGGCGGTATGCCTCAATTATAGGAGCAGATTTATTATGGTAAATACTGAGATCAGAAAGCATGTGTAACTGTGACATAGAGTGATTGCATCCAGGCATTGTTGCCAGCCAAGATTGATAAATATACCCAATAAGTATAATCGTTCTCTGTGTCAGTCCTTATTGAAGGAATACTCACAGCAGCGGTGATAACTGCTATCATAGCTACCATTAAATTACTTGTTGTGACTGGTTGTCCCACTTTCCTCAGGTTTTCTTCCGCCATCTGTGGCAGCTTCTTGATCTGTCCCCAGATGAGTGGCTGTGTTTGACATGTGTTGTTTGTGACAGTTGGGGTCCTCCTCAGCATCAGTCTTGACATGGCTGCAACCGGGGAGTACTCGGGATCCTCCCGGAATCTCTTCCTTGGCATCTGGCTCATAATAAGGTTTCAGGTGTCTTGGTGGTATCCAAATCAGCTGTTGATTTTTGCCTGGAGAAATACAAGCATAACCTCTACCCCAAGTTATTATTTTACCTATTTCCTAAGTTTTTGTAATCAGATCTCTCCACCAAATCAGTTGTTCTGCTTCTGTCTTTGCAGCTGGTTTCTGTAGATGCTGTTCAGCTGCTGATAACATCTATCCTTTGGGCAGGCTCAAAAAATTTAAAGTTAATAATGCTAGGTTCAGTTGTATCTGTGGGGTCCCATACTCTCTGTCTCCCCTTTTCTGCTGTTGCAACTGCTGTTTTAGGGAGAGATTCATTCTTTCTACTATGGCTGGTCCTTGAGAATTGTATGGGATACCAGTAATGTGTTTAATATTCTACATAGAGAAAAATGTAGCTAGGGCTTGGCTAGCATAACCTGGGGCATCATCTGTTTTAATAGAAGCTGGAATGCCCTTCACCGCAAAACACTGCAAAAGGTGATGTTTAACACTGGCAGAAGACTCTCCTGTTTGGCATGTAGCCCAGACAAAGTGAGAAAAGGTGTCCACACATACATGTACATAAGCTAGTCTCCCAAATGAAGGAACATGTGTGACATCCATTTGCCAAAGACAGTTAGGTTCCAATCCTTGAGGATTAACTCCTCCTGTAAAAGATGAGGAATGTACCATTTGGCAAGTTGGGCATCACTGGATAATAGCTTTAGCTTCTTTCCAGGTAATGTTGTATCTGCGTTTGAGACCAGAGGCATTAACATGGGTTAAATTGTGAAAGTGTCTAGCATTAGATATTGCATTAGCAACTAGGCGATCGGCCATTTGATTCCCTTCAGTCAAAGGTCCTGGAAGAGGTGTATGAGCCCTAATGTGAGTGATGTAAAAAGGATGCATTGTACTCCTAAATGCTGTTTGCAATTGGGTAAATAAAGTCATCAGTTGTTCATCTGTATGAAATCGTAACTGAGCATTTTCAATTAACTGTGTGGAATAAACCATGTATGAAGAATCAGAAATCACATTAATAGGCATATCAAAAGCAGTCAATACCTCAATTACCGCTACAAGCTCTGCTTTTTGAGCTGAAGTATAGGATGTCTGGAAAACTTTACTTTTTGAGCCAAAATAAGAAGCTTTACCATTACTAGACCCATCTGTAAAACAATGAAAACGCTTAGCAGGCTGCAGGTTGTTTACTGCAGGAATTGTAAATGCAAACCATTTACAATTTTGCTCAGCTAAAGGGGTAGTAAAGAAACAGTCTTTTAAATCTATGACTATTAAAGGCCAATTTTTTGGAATTATAGCAGGAGAAGGCAATCCTGGCTGTAATACTCCCATAGGTTGTATAACTGAACTGATGGCTCTTAGGTCAGTTAACATTCTCCATTTACCTGATTTTTTTCTTAATTACAAAAACTGGAGAATTCCAAGGGGAAAATGTTGGAGCTATGTGCCCATTTTCTGATTGTTCAGTAACTAATACCTAAAGCCTCCAGTTTCTCTTTACTTAGCGGCCATTGCTCTATCCAAATTAGCTTATCTGCTAACCATTTTAAAGGTATAGGTTCTGGAGGCTTAACAATGGCTGCCATCAAAAATGATATCCTAATCTTTGGCAGGAACTTTTTAAACCTTGCAAATTTTTTCTAGTCCCATAACAGGGACATACCCCATTTCATGCATTGTATGTTGACTTTGAGGGCTATATAATTGTTCTGGAATTAGAACTTGTGCTCCCCATTGTTGTAATAAATCTCTTCCCCATAAATTTGTAGGTACAGAAGTTATAATTGGTTGAATAGTCCCAGATTGCCCATCGGGCCCTTCGCAATGCAAAATATAACTACTTTGATCCCACTTCAGGGGCTTTACCAATTCCAACTATGTTAAATTGAGCAGGTTGAATTGGCCACGCGGATGGCCAGTGCTGTAGAGAAATGATTGAAATGTCCACTCCTGTATCTACCAAACCTTTAAATTTCTTTCCCTGCATAGTTATGTCACAGGTAAGACGTTTATCAGTAATTTGATTTACCCAATAAGCTGCTTTGCCTTGTTTATTTGTGCTTCCAAATCCTCTTGTTCATTTAATTTCACTTTTTCCTATTCCCACACATTGCACAGTCAGGAGCTGTGCTATGCGCTCTCCTGGCTCTGCTTTCCAGGGAACAGAAGTAGATATAACAATTTGAATTTCCCCATTATAATCTGAATCAATGACTCCTGTATGTATTTGTATGCCTTTTAAACTTAAAGTAGACTTTCCTAAAAGTAATCCTATTGTCCCTGCTGGCAAGGATCCACAGACTCCTGTTGGGATCTTTTGCGGGGGTTCCCCAGGCAGAAGGCTCACAGCTTTTGTGCAGCATAAATCTACTGCGGCACTACTGGCTGTGGTGGGGGACAGACATTGTACAGGGGTGAGGGAATGGCCTGAGCTGGAAATGCCCCAGTTTAGAATGGGGCCCGGGACAGGCCCCTCGTGGCATTTCCCGAAATCGGGTTCCCATCTTTATCAAACTTAGAGTGACACTGACTAGCCCAGTGTTTTCCTTTTTTACATTTTGGACATATTTCAGGCTCAACAGTTTTCTTTTTTTTCCCCTATCTGGTGGCCTGACTCGCAGAATTTTTCTACATTCTTTTTTAGTATGACCATGCTTCCCACAGTTAAAACAAGCTCCAGGAAATGGAGTATTTCCCTTATCCACTCTCAGTCCTGCCATGGCCTGTACTAGCAGAGTAGCTTTATGCAGATTACCTCCAATATCATCACAGGCCTTGATACAATCAACTAAATGTGCTTTCCCTCTGATAGGTCGCAGAGCAGCCTGGCAATCGGGATTAGCATTGTCGAAAGCTAATAACTGCAACACTATATCCTGAGCAGCCGAATCTGCAATCATCTTTTTAAGAGACTCCTGTAACCGAGCTATAAAATCAATGTATGGTTCTTTTGGTCCCTGTTTTATAGCACTAAAGGAAGGGTATTGTTCTCCACCTGAAGTGATTTTTTCCCAAGCTCTAATGCACACTCCTCTAAGCTGTTCTATGGCATCATCCTGTATGACCAGTTGTGCATCTAAACCAGCCCATCCACCAACCCCAAAAAGTTGGTCTGCAGTTACATTAATTTGAGGTTGGGCCTGGGCATTGCAAGCAGCCTGAATGGAAGCTTCATCTCCCCACCAAGTTTTTTTGTTTTTGTTTTTGTTTTTTGTTTGTTTGTTTGTTTTTATACTTTAATTGTAAGAATGGAGCAGGAGTTAGACAAGCTCAAGTAAGAGCGTCCCAGTCAGTAGGAATCATCCGACTGGAAACAGCAACATTCTTTAACAGTCCCATTACAAAAGGAGAACCTGGTCCATACTGATTTATAGCTTGTTTAAATTCTTTGAGTAATTTAAAAGGAAAAGGCTCAAATGTAGCTATAATATTTCCCTTTTGATCTGGGGGGTGTATTCTAACAGGGAACTGCCAAGCCTGTAAATAACCCTCTCATCTAGCTTGCTGAATTCCTGCCTGAATAGAGCTAAGAGCAGTCACTCGAGGCGCTGCTTAAACAGTCACTGGGACAACTACTTTTTGCCCAGTGTCCTCTGGAAAAGAAAGATCTGGAGGGTCTTTTTCTTCAAAATAATAATGAGGGGGTGCAGAAGGGTAGGGATGCACCTCTCCCTCCTTTGCCACTTTAGCTTTAGCTGGCAAATAAACATGCTCTGTAACCTCTTCTATTACTTCACTGTACTCTCGTTCCTCCTCATCATCAGTGTGAAAAAGATCCAAGGTGAAATGAACCAGACCCCACACCTGTCCCATTGTTACCCTGATGCTTCTGAGCTCCCCTTCCTACTCACCACGGGGATTGCTTTAAGAGTACTCGGGTGTCCTCCAGCTAGTTTTCTGTTCCCACTATTGCTCTGACAACCCTTTGACCTGGATTTGAGTCCCCATGAATGGAGCCACTTGCTGAGACCAGCTCGGTAGGGGAGACCCTAACCCAGCAGCGCTAGAGGAATTAAAGACACACACACACACACAGAAATATAGATGTGTGAAGTGGGAAATCAGGGGTCTCACAGCCTTCAGAGCTGAGAGCCCCAAACAGAGATTTACCCACGTATTTATTAACAGCAAGCCAGTCATTAGCATTGTTTCTATAGATATTAGATTAACTAAAAGTATCCCTTATGGGAAATGAAGGGATGGGCCGAATTAAAGGAACAGGTTGGGCTAGTTAACTGCAGCAGGAGCATGTCCTTAAGGCAAAGATCACTCACGCTATTGTTTATGGCTTAAGAATGCCTTTAAGCAGTTTTCTGCCCTGGGCGGGCCAGGTGTTCCTTGCCCTCATTGTGGGGTAAACCCACAACCTTCCAGCATAAGCTTTATGGCCATCATGAACATGTCACAGTGCTGCAGAGATTTTGTTTATGGCCAGTTTTGGGGCCAGTTTATGGCCAGATTTTGGGGGGCTTGCTCCCAACACCTAAGTAACTCACTCTCTCATTCTTAGCATTTACGCCATAGAGAAAAGACTACATTTGGTCAGTGTCACCCTTGCATGGAATCTAGATTTCTCCCAGTGTCTCTGTTTCATAACCGTAGGGCTTGACCTTCTGTTTTTTTGGACACTGGACATCAGAACAGGCTGCCACTGAGCAATGAGGTGGGATATCCCAGTATAGTGTTTGAAAAGGATCCACAAGTTTCAGGGGCAGACATTTTAGTAGGGCAATCATAGGACTGTGATGGGGCTAAGAGAAGCTTACAATATCTCATGTGAGAGATGGCACAACACAGCGGAAATAGCCAAGGATGGAAACCATTAGTACAGGACTTGAAACAAGGATCTTTATTTAACCAGTGATGTCCCCTCTGAAATTTCATTCTATATTTGAACAATGAAAACAATGTAATAATAATAATGATAATGAGGTTTGATTTCGTGAGGGCAAACTATGTGCCTACCTCTGTTCTGAACATATTACATGCATGGTATAATTTAATCTTCCTAACAATAATATGTTAAATATTGATAGTATTTCCCTAATAGCTGGGTGTTATTTTTATTCTCCTTATAGTGTTTTTTCCCACAGATCTGTTGTGAGAATCAATTTAGAAATACATATTTTTTTTTGTTTTTGTTTTTTTCTTTTTTTTGAGATGGGAGTCTCTCTCTGTCGCCCAGGCTAGAGTGCAGTGGTGCAATCTCGGCTCACTGAAAACTCTGCCTCCCAGGTTCACGCCATTGCCCTGCCTCAGCCTCCCGAGTAGCGAGTAGCGAGTAGCTGGGACTACAGGCACCCACCACTATGCTCGGCTTATTTTTTATTTTTTTGTATTTTTAGTAGAGATGGTTTCACCGTGTTAGCCAGGATGGTCTCGATCTCCTGATCTTGTGATCTGCCCGCCTCAGCCTCCCAAAGTGCTGGGATTACAGGTGTGAGTCACCGTGCCCAGCCAGAAATACAAGTTTAAAGAAAAAAGAATTGTGTAGCAAACATTATTCTAATAAAAATAAATCATATTTTGTTGCCTCCTATGCTTATGTCTCTCTATCAATCATCTGTAAACATATCTAGCTATCATTTGTCTATCTATTGATACCTTCTGCCCTGATTTTCCACTGCCCCATTATGTCTACTGTCTTCCCAAAATACATCTGGAACAATATCATAACACCTAAGAGCATTTTGTTAATTGTTGCAAATATGCCTTTCCCAAAGTTGTGAGTTCTGCCAGTTTATTGAGAAATCAAAATTTATAGATCTTTACACCTCCATATGCTGAACCACCTTAAGTGTTATATAAGTGTTTGAAAATGTCTTGTGGTTTGTCATATCTTACTGTATGTCAGGCACTATGCTAAGAACTTTGCATATATTGTTTGATAGAATCCTTTCTACAATATCGTAAGTTTTCACACTTAAGCATGCATCAGAATCATCCGGAGAGCTGGTTTAAACAGACTTCTGAGCCCCACCCCAAGGATTTCTGAGTCAGGAAATCTAGGGTGGGAACCTATGAATTTGCATTTCTAACATGTTTCTGGATAATGCTGATGCTGCTTGTCCAAGGACCACACTTTGAGAATCACTGCTAAAGTCATTGCATTTGAGGAATAAGAAAATTGAATTTCTAGAAAGTTGGGTAACTAGCCATATTGGCTTGCTAGGACTGCTGTAACAAAGAACCACATACTAAGTGGTGACTTAAACAACAGAAATTTATTTTCTCACAGTCCTGGAGGCTAGAAGTCCAAGATCAAGGTCAGAGGGCTTGGCACCATGTGAGGGTAGTAAGGGGAAGATCTGTTCTGGGCCTCTTTCCTAGCTTCCAGTGATTTTTGGACAATCTTTGGCATTCCTTGGCTTGTAAAAGCATTGCCCCAATCTCTGAGTTCGCGTTATTATGGTGTTCTTCCTATATGTACCTGTCTCCAATGTCACCCCTTCCTAAGGACACCAATCTTAGGTGTTCTTAGGAACAACTGTAAAGGGCACAACTGTAAAGACCCTATCTCCAAATAAAGTCACATTCTAAGTACTGGGGATTAGAAGTTCAACATGTGAACTTTCTATCCTAATATGAAGGCCACACAGCCAATAAGTGTTAGAGGTAGTATTGAAACCCAAGTCTGTCTGATTCCAGAGCCACCATTTGTAACCATTTCACTCATTTGACTCTCCTGGTGAATGAAATAAGTGAATACACATACAAGTGGATCAGAGAAGTTGCCAGAAAAGATACTTCAAGCACTGTGTTTATGTCAAAAGGGACAACAGGAAACCCTTCTCCATGTGCCTGCAAAGCAAAGGAGAGATATTCTTTAGCTCTGGCATTCTAATGGGCCTGATCAATGATAAGAGAGTACATGTGTAGACATGACTGTCCCTGGCCTACAGCTGCCATTAAAAGTACCCCAGCCAATAAGTAAAACTTTTCTGTCTTGCTCAGAAAGAACAATGAATGTTCAGGACCTCAAATTAGAAAGTTTCTACTTTGTCAACAACTTTCTGGGACTTTCCCTCATTGAATCAGAAGGGATGCCTGGCCATTTTATCTGGCCCTGAGGTAATGCTAAAGGTAATGTCTCATGCCATGTTCTTTGCCCTGGGACAGCTATGCAGACTACTCAGGGTTGGGGGTAGAGTGATGGTGGGAGTGGGAGAGGGGCAAGGTGGGGAAAGAGTTAGCTCGGTCAAACAGCATGGTTGCATTTTCTCCCTGACTCTTGAAGGCTGAGATTTGTGGATACCATAAAAGGTTACAGCCTCTCTTTGGAAGCCACAAATAACCCTGCTTGGACTATGACAGCTCAGCAGCCCTTGGCATGCCATTACACATTTCTGCCTGGAATTCCAGCAGTGCATTTGAGCAGCTGGCCCCAAAGTATGGTCTCCACAGACCGTGTCGTAGGGGTTCTGGGTCGCTGGGGAGCCGTTCCCTCTATTAGTCAATGCCCAGAGACAGAGCTTGATCTAATGAAATTACATACTTTCTGGAGTGATTAATAAACATGGTCTATTTCTCCATATGGGATGAATATTCTTAAATGAAAGGAATGTGATTATGTGGGGGCGCAGTCATGTATAGCTCCACCTCTGCCTAGCAATGGCTAAAACTCCATGACCTTGGCATAGAGATTGTAAGGAAAGACAGTCCTTAAAAATAGAGGTAAACCACACACACACGCATACATGTACGCACAAGAGTACACGTAAGTCCTGGTAAAATCTGGACAAATTCTGTAATCAAGTTAACAGTATGATACTATGTTAATTTCCTCATTTTGACACTGTACTGTGGTTATGTGTGATATTATTAATGGAGGAAGGTGAGTAAAGGGTACACAGGAATTTTGCACTATTTTTGCAACTTATTATGAGTCTTAAACAACTTTAAAAAGCATTGCCATAGTAATAAAAAGTATTAGTGAAATTACAACACTGACAAAAGCATAGGTAGAATTTTTAGTACTCTACTAACTGAACATCATAATCATTCATACGAGTCATGATGTTCAACGTTTATGAAACATTAGAACAATTTCCAAATCACATGTTAATTTTTAAAAATTTCCGGAGTGGTCTTTTTTCGGATATGGGTCTCTAACTAAATGACGTCCTTATGTGAGCCATGGTTTGACATAGAAATGGTGTAAAGCAGGTCCACTGACTCCCATGAAGTCAAGAATCATTAGGTTATTGATGTCCAGGCTTTATTGCATCCAGAGGGCAGCTGAGTACTGACCTCGTGGTACACCCAGGCCCACCCCTGGATGTCAGCACTTTCCATATGACTCAACACTTTCCACATGACTCAGGATCTGGAGTGCCTGCCCCTTGATGCCTCCTTGCAATTTCACAGCCAACTCTGGGTCACTCTAAAGCAGTGGTCTGGGTCACACATCCTCACACCAATGTCACATTATCTAGTCAGCTGTTGTATGGGGTTCTCAGAACCTGTGTCCACACTGCTGTCAGGAACTGATACTGTTGTGGCCACTACTGTCATGACATCATTAGATACATTTAGGATCACTAAATAGACAAGTTCTATTTATCAAAATTAGGCTATTCATGGTGTAGAAGCCTCTTGCAGCTTCTGCTGAACTAATAATTACTTTCAAAGTTTTCTAACCCTTCTAACATGGTCTGAGATACTCTTTTATTCAATAATATCCATACTCAGTCAAATTACTCAATGTCAGAAAATCTATTTAATTATTGTCATTGTGACGCCTATTTGACAATTAACTTGAACTAAGGAGTGCATATTAGAAATTATATTAGAAATTAATTATATAGTTTCTCACAGTTACTAGTTTACTATTTATTTACCTGAAAGCATTTCACTATATTACCAACTAGTTCATTTTTTTTAGGTGCACATTAACTGAATATCAGCTCTGCTTGAAACCAGAACATCATACTGTTCAGGTTAGTGAGCTCTCAGTCACAGGAAATATGTGCAAGGAATATACCCAGACACTTTTGTAGTGTTACTGTAGAAGGAATTTTAGGAAACATGTCCGCTTGCATGAGTATTCAATAAATGTCTATTAAATCCATGAATCAATAAATCAATCAATAAATGAATGCTTAAAATAATTTTGTTTTTTTTTTGAGATGGAGTCTCACTCTGTCATCCAGGCTGAAGTGCGGTGGCACGATCTCGGCTCACTGCAACCTCTGCCTCCCAGGTTCAAGCAATTCTTCCTCAGTCACCAAAGTAGCTGGGATTACAGGCACGCACCACCATGCCCAGATAAGTTTTTTGTATTTTTGATAGAGACGGGGTTTCACCATGATGGCCAAGCTGGTTTCAAACTCCTGACCTCAAGTGATCCGCCCATCTCGGCCTCCCAAAGTGCTAGGATTACAGGCATTAGCCACCACTCCCAGCCAAGATAAATATTTTAAATTTCTTCTGACCTTGCCATTCAAAGATGGTAGGTCTTCTGTTCAAGATGCTAGGAATTAATCTGTAAACATGACAGATAAGACCTCTACATGGATTTTCATTCTAGTAAATGAATAAGAGACAAGGAGAGATAAGATAATATAATACCAGATATTCATAAGAGCTATGAAGGAAAATTGGG
Source organism: Homo sapiens (assembly GCF_000001405.40). Lineage (NCBI taxonomy): Eukaryota > Metazoa > Chordata > Mammalia > Primates > Hominidae > Homo > Homo sapiens. Next base: position 39,715,889 of record NC_000020.11, on the reverse strand, counting down.
CTAACAGAATAAGAAAATGAGAGATTGTTTTAGATAAAAATTTGCAGATTATTTGTATCTTTGTTTGTTTGTTGTAAATAAACAGATCAGAGCATGCAACTCCAAAATTATGTGGTCTTCTTTCCAACACATGAGATGGACAAATCTTGCTTTCAGTACTGTTTCTATTATGAAACTACACTGTGGACTTTTATTTTAGCATATCTGGCATATTCTCCTTGCTCTCTTCAATGCCAAGGAAATGTTGTTCTTTGAGTTGAGTGAGTCTTATAAATAAGAGAATTCAGTAGTCTAGAGTCTTGGACCAGGCTCCCTGGAAAACAACTAACATGAAGTTTATGTGCTAATGTTTGGGAGGTGCAATCACAAGACAGTAAGCACAAAGGAATAAGGGAAGGGCAAGGAATAAAGGCAAATACATGGTATTTATACTTTAATAAACTGGCCACCACTTTATAAGAAAACATCTCTGATTGCTGATAAATACAGGGTTTTCCTGGACATGCCATAAAGAATGGCCACACCTTGGAATAGTCCAACAGAGAAAGAAGGGATCTGGAATTATCTGTTACTCCCTCCTGTCTCCTGTGTCTTTTTAGTTAAGTTTTTCCCACGAGGCAGTAACACTCCCATACCCCAGAGTTGTGTCACCTAGTTCCTCTGGATGTAGAGAAAGCAAACTCCTATGCTCAATGGTGGAGACTGCATCTTGGCCTGGAAGTGGAGAGAGAAGACATAGTCTCTATCTTATTGGTTCTCTTGGCCTGAGGCTCTCACTGTGGAAGGCTCAGTTGAAATCTTATAAGAGCCCCACCCTTATTCCTGCGGAGGCGGAGGCTGATAGCACTGCCACTGATGGTGGCAGCTGGAGCTTCCTACCAAGCAAGCATCTGGGAGCTTGGCAGGCAGATATGGCCATGTGAATCTAAGAAAGCACACATGGTAGGCCCCATATGCCTCCTGAGCCCAATTTATAACCAACCAAATAGCTCCAGAGGCAGTTCCTAGAAAGGAGTTCCAGGTGTCTATTGAACAATGGCAGTCTTATATAATTAGTTTCTCAGGAAGACTGTTTTGAGAATAATGTTCTCATATGTAGACCTTTTCTGATCTGTTTATTACAAAACGTTCTATCATTATTTTATGTTATCTTCATTTATCTCTAAGTTTTCCCTATACAAACCAAATTATATTAAAATATATGTTCAGTTGGCCCTATCTTCTATAATTAAAAATTATAATAAAAATTATAATACTTACTATATTTATAATAATATAATTAAATATTATAGAAGATAGGGCCAACTGAACATATATGCATGCCATTGACCTTAAACTATATAAGAGAGTGTAGCAAAATGTTTAATCTGCTTCAATGTTCAGAGGCCAATCTGGTGTCATGGGGGTATGTTTTTATTGAGTTCAGTTGGCAGAGATGCCTTTGGTTTCTACAAAAACATTCAGGCAAACAACAATAACAACAGCAACAACAATTTTAAAAAAAAAACCAAAAAACTAAGACACAGAACAAGAAGACAAAAATCTAGATACCACTATTGGAAACTGGATGCTTCTGAACACTGGCGTTATTAGCACCTGGCACTGAGTATAAATGAGGAAAGGAGAGATGAAAGCTCTGTCTATTTAAAATCTCCATCAGCTGCCATCTCATTTCAACATAGCAGACTGAGTTCAAGTATATGTTAAGCTCTTTTAATTTCTACTACATTACTACAATATTTTGAGAAGTGAACAAGAAGACCAATTGAAATGTGAATACAAGAACAGAGAAAGGGCTGTTCAGTCACAGACATGTATAATGGTGTCTGGCTTAATCTGAACTCATGTCACCTTCAACCTGCTGTCACGTGAACCCAACATATGGACAACTCAAAGAAGAGTGAATGCATCATGGAACGTATTATTTGTTTTCATCATCTACCAAGTGATTTATGGAAGTGTTTCTCGCATGGGCTGAAATTGTGATCGATTTTATCTCTGCCCCAGTGCCTTTGGGAACCTGTGAGCCATTGGCACTCACACTCTAACCTGACCTCCTAGAATTGTTGTAAAGCTCATACCACTATTCATACAAATAACAAAAGATGATAGCAGCCCCTCCCTTGAGTGCCCAGCTAGATTGAATTCTGCCTAAGGCTATGAAGAATCCTGCCTGACAGCACATAAGCCTCGCACATCCTCCTATCCTGTCTCCCAGTTTCTTGCTGGCTCCATCCCTATCACCCATCTGCTTCCCAGCCTTAACTCCACTAACCTTCTGTTCCACCAGTTTTGTTCCTCACGCCCAAACATGTCAGTTGCACCGTAGCACAAACTTCCTATTTACAGTAATGGTTCTCAACCACCAATGTTCCTTTAAGCTACCAATGACTTTTTTTAAAATGCTATTTTCCAGGCCCCACCAACATTATTGGATCAAATCTCTAGGAGTAAAACCAAGACACTTATTTTCATTTTTCAAAATTGTCATAGATGATTCTAAAGAACAGATATGGTGGCAAACCACTATGTTAGAGCATGAGATTTGTCTCCTTCATCATCTCTGCTGTTGCTCTTCCATCTTCCCTTAGTCCTGCCTCTTTCTGCCTTGCCATCTGTCTGCCTTCTGGGAACAACCTTCTTCCTTGATAATTGCCCCTGAGCCATCTTTTCTGTCCAAGTCACTCGATGCCTTTATCTTAGAGTTGGCTGCTTCAAACAGCCTAGAATCTCAGAATTAGATAGAAACCAAGAGTTCCTATTTTTATCATCCTCTCTAATAAATGTTTTTAAAGACTGTGCACAAGAGTCTTTGGGTTTGTAAATTTCAGTGAAAAAATGTCCAACTTCATTTTTACTGACTCCTATCTGAAATTTAGCATTTCGTTCTATTATGAATAACAGAGTGGTGGTAGCAATAGCCTTCGCTTGGTCACCAATAGATACCACAGAGAGTTTCATATCAATGCAGTTATGTCAACTGTATTGAAATTCTATGAATGCTCCTTAAAGCTTCAAAAATATAAAATTAATAGGTCTCATGCTACATCTTGTCATTTGATATTGATAGAAAAGCATACACAATTCTGTATTTCAAGTATTTAAAATACTTGGATATTTTTCAAGATAGCTGCTTTTTCTTTATAAATCTGTGTATTTTAATGCATACATTTAAGAATAGTATTCTCCACAACGAAATACCACCACACACTTGCCAAAACAGCAAAAGTCAAAAAGATTGACAGAACTAAATATTACTAAGTATGTGGAGCAATCATACATTGGTGGTGAGAGCATAAAGTGGTACCTTAAAAAGCTTCTGCACAGCAAATGATACAATCAACAAAGTGAAGAGACAACCCACAGAATGGAAGAAAATATCTGCAAGCTATACATCTGACAAGGGATATATAAGGAGCTCAAACAACTCTATAGGAAAAAATCTGGGCAAAAGATTTGAATATACATTTCTCAAAAGAAGACATACAAATGGCAAACAGGCATATGGGAAGTTGCTCAACATCATTGATCATCAGAGAAATGCTAATCAAAATTCCAATGAGATATTATATCACCCCAGTTAAAATGGCTTATATTGGAAAGAGAGGCAATAACAAATGCTGGTGAGGATGTGGAGAAAAGGAAACCTTTGTACACTGGTGGTGGGAATGTAAATTGGTACAACCATTATGGAGAATAGTTTGGAGGTTCCTCAAAAAACTGAAAATATAACTACCATATAGTCCAGGAATCCCTGTGCTGGGTATATATCCAAAAGAAAGGAAATAAGCATATCAAAGAGATATCTGCCCTCTTATGTGTGCGCAGCACTGTTTACAATAGTTAACATTTGGAAGCAACCTAAGTGCCTATCAGCAGATGAATGGATTAAAAAAAGGTGGTACATATACACAATGGAGTACTATTCAGCAATAAAAAATAATGAGATCCAGTCATTTGCAACAACATGGATGGTACTGGAGAGCATTACATTAACTGAAATAAGCCAGGCATGGAAAGATAAATATTTCATGTTCTCACTTATTTGTGAGATCTAAAAATCAAAACAATTAAACTCACGAACATAGAGAGTATAAGGATAGTTACTAGAGGCTGGGAAGGGCACAGGGGGCTTAGGGGTAAATGGAGATAATTAATGGGTATAAAATATAGAAAAAATGAGTAAGACCTACTATTTGATAGTACAATTGGGTGACTATAGTCAATAATAACTTATTTGTACATTTTAAAATAACAGTGTAATTGGATTGTTTGTAACTCAAAGGATAAGTGATTGAGAGAACGGATGCTCAACAAAAACTAAATAAAAAATAAAGTAAAGTAAAATGGTACACCATTTGAGGAAGGACTAGTGGTTTCCTACAGGATTAAATACGACTTGTCCTGTGCTCGAAGGTCTCTTAGATATTTACTTAAGGTAAATGAAAACATATGTCCACAAAAAGACTTATACAATAAAGTTCATTGCAGTTTTATTCATAATAGCAAAACACTCGAAATAGCCTAGATGTCCATCAATAGAAGAATTAATAAACTATCTCTGGATTATTTATGTGATACAGTACCACTCAGGAATACAAAAATAATAAACTACTCAAACATGTAGTCATAGAGTATTAGCACGGATAAATCTCAAAAACATCACGCTGAGTGAAGGACACAGAACAGTTATTGCCTCTGGTGGTGTCAAGGTAGAGACTGACCAGGAAAGAACATAGGCAGAGCTTCTTTCACTAAGCATAGTTTTCAAGATTGATCCTTGTTGGTGCACATAGCAATAGTTCTAGTCTTTTACTGCTGAGTAGCTTTCCTTGTAGGGACATCCCATAGACTGTTTATCAGGTTTATGCCGATGGACACCTTGCCTATCATGTTTTGGGCTTTCACAAATAGGCTATTATGAAAATTCTTGTACAAGTCCTTTTTTTAGTCCTAGAGGTTCTCACCTTTTTAAAGATGGCTTGACACTTTCATTTCACATTGGGAGGTCTGTTGGAGCATCCTTATGCACTGTCTCAGCAGCACGACCCTCTTTCAGGTTCTCAGCAACATGCCCCTCTTGTAGGTTCTCAATCTTGGCATCTTTGCATTGTGTCTTTAGCAATGGATAAAATGTATACCTGATAAAGTTATTAAATAAGTTAATGAGTCAGGTAGAAACCACAACCTATCCTCAGGCCACACTACTTCTGACTAAAGCTGTCTGAATGAGGAGCTGGTACCTGATAATCTCTCTTAGGTCATTTTTTACATGTACTCTATTTAAACATTGGCTATCCTCAAGCCTGCCAAACTTAAGACTCCTCTTTCATAAAATTTCAACTACCTAAATGCGAGTCCATTCTTCAGAAGTGTACATCATTTTTAACCGTTACTCCTTAACACTTGAACCCAGAGCCCATTGTCTGGCCATCCTCTTATGAAACTTGCTTTTTACTTAGTGTTGCAATACCAAACTGATATCTTCCAGGATATCAGACCCTCCTGGTCCATCTGACCTTCATAAGAGCCTAAATATAATGAATGACATCTGAATGACTCTGTCATCCATTAAGTTTCTCTCTAGTTTTTCATGCCTTGCCCTATAACCAGGCCACCTCTATTATCTATTGCCCAAGATAGGCTAGTCTTAAAAATGGACTGATTCTAACCCTTATAAAATCTTTCCATGTGACCTTGATGGTACCCCAAGTGACTCATCAAGAAAGGGGCAATATGAATTGTTTTACATCTTCTCTAAACTTGTCAAGACTATTCTTCAGTTCTCACTTGAAAAATATATTTCACAAAATAAAAGGATTATCCTCCTGAAATTTCCCTTTCAAATGCCCTCTCTCCTCCCTTAAAATGCTTTTTTTTTTTTAATCATTCTAAGCTTTCTCCAGTTTCATATTAGGCATTTTCCCATTAGGTGAGATGGTGAGCAGAGGAGGAAGTATGTGTATTGGACGCCCGTGTGAAGGTCCTCATGCTCTGCATAAGTAGAACATATTAGTTGGGAGTTTGCTCACTGCTAGACACAAAGACTGAAGGTAAAATGACATATATGAGACTGAAGATCATTTCTCTCTCAGGTAAAAGAGTTTCATAGGTGAGAAATACAGGCCTGTTGTAACTATACCACAAACCCATCAGGAACCCTACACTTCTATGTTTAGTCTCTACTATCCTTAGCATGTGGCCTCTCATCTCAAGAATGACTGCCAGGGCTTCAGTTCTGACCATCTTCATTCCAGAGAGCAGGAAAGAAGCAGAATAGAGGCCCTTCCCAGCTCTGTCAGCTCTTTAAGAATCCTCCGTATCACCTTTTTGCTTACATCTCTTCAGGCAATAATTAGTCACATGACCACACCAAAATGCAAAGGAATTTGGAAAATGTTGACTTCTAGTGGTCAGTGTTATTCTAAATAAAATTGAGATTTTTTTTTTCTTAAGGAAGAAAAGGAAAACAGACAATTCAGTGGAACACAGAAGTCTCTGCCAAAGGGCAGACTCCAGAAACCAGGATTAGGCCTGTTTAACACTAACTTCATGCCCTTTCTGTATCCCTAGAGCTCTCGTGTATGTTTTCTACTTATATTCTTGGAGAACTGCTAAATAGTCTTCAAGGTGTTAATTACTACTTCTTCTTTACCCATCTTAGCTTTGCATCTCTTTCTAGCATTGCAAATATCTGGGATAATTTATTTCTCCCTCACTTAAAGTCCACCAAGGTCAAGGGCCTGTTCGAGTCATATTTTTTTTTTTTTTTTTTTTTTTTTTTTTTTTTTTTTTTTTTTTTGAGACGGAGTCTCGCTCTGTCGCCCAGGCTGGAGTGCAGTGGCGGGATCTCGGCTCACTGCAAGCTCCGCCTTCCCGGGTTCTCGAGTCATATTTTTATTCTTCCAACATAATATAGAGCCAACCCTATGATTTTGATAGGTGTTTGATAATTGATAAATGATTGTAGATCTAAAATGCATTTGTACTTCTTTGGCGAGTACAATCCCTCAGTGGAAACTTACAAGGAAGAAATGGCTTTCATCTCTGCTATCCCCAAATCCATATGTTCTATTATCATTTAGGGTAGAAATAAAATGATTCCAACAGAAATGCATGTGTGATGACTTGGTAGCTCCCCAATTGGGATGGGAATTTTGCCAAACTTCATATACTCAGTTGCTGTCAGAGTGGCAGTACCACCTCAATACAGCGCTGTCTACCTCTTACACCTCATTCTTAAGAGATATTTTTCTCCTCTACTGCTGAATGGTATAAAAATTTTGTGTTTGTTACACTTAGGAAAGAAGAGTGAAACCCAGAGCTGCCTTACTAATGCCATTACAGTAGATTACAAGGTGAGAGTGTTTATGTAGCTTTTTGTAACACACAACTCACTCATAACACTATGTGAAGATTGCAAAAGGAAAACATTAATGGCAGGAAATGCTGGAGTAAAAATATTCTCTATGCTTTGGGTCACATTATGGAAAGACATATTTTATAAGGACAGTATTACACTGGGTGTTTGCTGTTGCTTGCAAAGTAGTGTGAGTTTGTTTAGAAGTTAACTCTTACTATGCCCCAGAAAAAAAGGTGGTGGAAATGAAGTAGACCCTACTACTACTACTACTACTACTAATAATAATAATAATAATCAGCTGGAGCACAGAGGTCAGTCACCCTTCTGACCTCTGTGACTAAGTGTTACTGAAGGGTAAAGATCCAGACTACATAGCCTTTGCTTTTCTGTAGCCCCCGACTTCCAAGTTGGCAAAGATACCACTCTCCCAGCTAAAGAGCCTTCACAGGAGGGTGCTCAGGATGGAGAGGTGTGACTGGGACAATGGTAAGCAATGAATGAGCCAGGGACTGGAGATACTGATTCTGGAGAAGAGGGGCCTAAGATGGCATGGTAGCGAAGGGAGGAAAAAGATTTGTTTTTAATTAACTTAAGGGGTAGGACCAAAATGATGAAGGAAAGAAACCTATAGAAGACAAACTCTGTCTCAGTAAAACGAATAGGAAAAGTAAAAGGAACAGTAATAGGAACAGTAAAAGTAAAAGGAATAACTAAAGATCTGAGCATACCCAAAGAAGTACAGTAGGGAGCAAGTTTCCTGTGACCAGAGAAATTCAGCCAGAAAATCGATGTCTATTTGGAGAAAATCATCAAAGAGGAGGCACTGGCAAAAACATCTAATTCTGGCGAAATCCCCCATTATTTTGCCACACTATTGCAATAGATGCCTAACAAATCTCCCCACTTGCCTCTCTACAATAAATTTTCTATAGGAGCCTGAATGATCCCTCTAGAAGTAAATTAGATCATAAGATTGCTCTTCTTAAAATCTAAAACTCTTCTATGGATTCTCACTGCACTGCATGTGACAAGCAAAGTCCACATAATGTTCTAAAGAATCTATAAAGTACGTCCTTTTGCCACTGTTCTAAACTCGTCTCTCCTTCCTCTGTCCTTGTATCATTCTACTCCAGCCACATTGGACATCTTGTTCTAACTCAAATAGATCGGGCATGCTCCCACGGCCAGGCCTCTGCCCTTACTCTTCCCTCTACCTGGAAAGTTCTCCCACAGATATCCCCTACTAGGTTGGGTCTGTCACCAACTACTTTTCTCTTCTCAGCTATCACCTTCTCAGGAAATTTTCACAGACTCCCCCAACCCTTGTACCTGCATCCTCTCTCCTTGCTTTATTGCTTTTCATAACACTTATCACTATCCAACATACTGTATTTTTTAATTGTTAATTTATTTTCTCCCTTTGCCTCCAGAATACAAGCTTCAGGAGTGTGAGGTTTTACTGTATTTTGATTACAAGGACTATCCACAGTACCTAGAAGAATGGCAATACCTGGCATAAGATAAGTACTCAGGAAGTAAGTGTTGAATGAATAAATTATGCTTCTCAACGACAAAATTCCAGACTTTAGGAAATTAGGCTGTAGGCTAAGAAGAGCCACTGAATGGGTTTAAATGGGGTCATGCTATTATGTCTAAGATGACTTCTCCAACAGAATCAGGAAGACAGGATTAGAATTCTAAGCCATGCAGTTAAAAAGAAACCACAGCAACAATTAACAACAGTCTAGGCAGAAGGCAAAGAGGGCAAGAGGGATGTGCACTGAAGAGATGTTTTGGGATGTCTAACTGGCCACAGAAATTTCATTTGGTATGCTTAGTCTTATCTGCATGAAGCTATTCAGTTGCCTGAGAGCCCTGTCTCAGCTGGGCCCCAAACTTCATCACTGCATGGCCACATGGTCAATGCTTTCCTTTCCAACATGGTGAGAGGGGGAGTAAGAATGTTTTCCTTGGCAGTCATAGCCCCAAATCAGGATCAATAGGATCAAATCCAGCCAGAGCCCTGCTCCATAACAGACCGGACATTTGGTGTGTGAACAGACAGCCCAGATACCCACCCCCAGTTTCCATTACAAAAATAATAAAAGTTTGGGGGAAATGAGATTGGAAAACCAAAGTAAGTAGAAGACTCAAGACATCCTCCTATTTGTTTTTCTTTTGTTTCTAGGCCCAGAGCCAGGAAGGCCCTCTTCCCAATGGTTGCCTGGTTACAGACTTAGATGTTCGCCAGGGTAACATCTGGAATAAAGGTGGGTGGGCACGGAGCCAGGGCCTGCTCAACTTGAGTGGGATCAGGGAAAGAAAGGAAAATAGAATTTTTTTCCCAATTACTGCCCAACCTTGAGGACAAAGGAAGGAAATATTTGAGATAAACAGAAAATATGTTAAAAGGTTTTCTTTTAAAGGGTTATTACGACTGATTAACATAGCAAAGGTATAGAAGGTATGGGAGAACTTTGGAAGTTATGGGCATTTTAATAAGCTGTTTAGTGGACTGGGCATTGTTATCCATGACTCTGAGTAACTCTAGAATTTGTGTAATTTAATATTATTCTGAACCACAGTACCCAGCTGGAGAAATGGGTACAGAAACAGAGAAATAAACTCACTGAATTAAGTACTATGCCAGAAACATTTCATACACATGGAGGAAAGGAGTAGCTTGAATTGTCAAGAAGACATCAAGACGTCATAGTTGAATGGAGTCTCACAGATGTGATTATCAAGCATCTGATAAAGGAAAGATCTTTGCAGGTAGAGAGAACAGCTTGCACAAAGTCAGAGAGATGAAGAACAATATACATAGTGCAGTTGGAGTCTGAATTGGCATGATGATAGGAGACAAGACTAGAATCACTTATTAATGGGCTCTCCTACATCCTGTAGATTGGATGGGTTCTCTAAGTAACAGAGAATCAAGAAAAGGGAGTAAATTTCAAAAACAGAGGTAATGTTATCAAGAATTAATGACAGGTTGACTGCAGATGGTAAAAAAACAAATAAAGGGCATTTTACTCCACATGTACAAAGGAGGAGCACAAGGTTGAGGAGGAAGGTAACAAGCTCAGGTTTTGGGTGTGCTCATTGCTGTGTGTCTCCAGCTGCCAAACAGGCAGTGGAGACAGTGGTTAGGAGCTCACTAGAATAGCATTAGCTGGAAAGAGGGTTTTGGAATTCATCCTGACAAAGACGGAGATGATGCACTTGCTCAGGGCTGGGGATAGGCCACAACGTGTAGAGCAATGATTCTTTCCCTTTGCTACATAACAGATGCCTTTGAGAATCTCATGTAATGTGAAGGACTCTGCCAAGAAAATGTCAAAAAGCTACATATGTACACATGGAGTCTGCATTCAATTTCAAAATATTCCAAGACTCGGCAGAGAACTATGGATCCTCAATTTAGAAACCCTGGAGTACTGGGAGGATAAAGATGAGCCAGGTTGCATTTCTGAATACAAAAAGGTTGGAGGTGAAGAGTCAGGAGAAAATGCAAATGGAAGAATTGACAACACCGTCCCAATCCCCACCCTCCAGGACACATGCTTCCCAGGAATCCAAGCGACATTGCTTCTGAGTTTAATGTTCAGATTTAGCAAAGCAGGCTTTTGGGGTCCCGTCAACTCTTTAAAATATTCAACAAGCCTCCCTTCTCAACTCCCTACCTGTATTTCTTTCTCCATGTAGTGCACTACCCACGATGTGCCTTTAAAGAAACTATGTCAATTCACAATGAACATGCTGACTGGGAATTCACTCTTTAAATGTGTTCACAACTGTGAATTATTAAACTTAGGCTATAGAGAAAAGCTTATCCTGGTGGTAAAAGATACTTGGGATTTTCTGTAAAGCTTCACAGAATGGCAAGAGTTACTTGAGGAGCAAAACAAAACATAGTAATGAAAGAAAACAGCTTCTGGGCTTTCTAATGTTCCTGTTCTTTCTACAGCCAGTGCCAAAAATCTCAGGAATGGGGCTTTGATCGTTGGAGAACTTTTGTCAACAAATAAGGCAGTCACAGGATAATAAAGCTGAATCCTTCCTGAATGTCTCTAAAATGTTCATGGTTCTTTCTAGCTTTATGGTTGGTCACTGCCTGAAGTCAATCTGCCATGACCATGTAGTCTTATTTTAAAAATGCAACAGCCCAGTTCACTGGGCTTCCTCACTCCACCTGCCTTCACCATCACCCTCTCTCCTCCTCCTGCCATTACCACCCTTATCTATCCATCACACACATAACCTCTCAAATTATCTTTCTAAAACGAAGATACTGATCCAAACCTTCCTTTCAGGAGGAGTTCATCTGCCTAGACCAGCATTCAGGGCCCTTCTGATCTAGCTCCTGTTCACTTCACCAACCTCATGTCCCTTCACCCCTCTTGTTTCCCCAAAGCCTGAGTTTCAGCCACACCACACACCTCAGTCCCTAAGACATGTTGTCCTCTCTATGACCTTAGCACACACTGCTGTCTTGTGACTGAATACCTGGCAAACTCCAATCTAGTCCTCAAGATGAACCTCAGCAATTATATCCTCTGGGGTGTCCTCTCCAGTCCCTTCCCCACTCTTGGCAAAGGTAAATTGTCTTTCGGTACCTACCTTTAATAGCATATAATATAGTAACTGTAATATGTTGTTTGGGGGAACAGTGTTTATAGATTTGTTTCCTTACCCTAGACCATGAGCTTCATGAGAGCAACTGTATATTATTTGAAACATGCTTACTCTATGAATGGATCAAGTGTTCTCCACAATTTGATTTTTTTTTTTAACATACAGGGTCTCACTCTATTACCCAGGCTAGACTACGGTGGCCCAATCATAGCTCACTGTAACCTCAAACTCCTGGGCTCAAATGATCCTCCCACTTCAGCCTCCCAAGTAACTAGGACTATAGGCTCACACCACCATGCCTGGCTAATTTTTATTTATTTATTTATTTATTTATTTATTTATTTATTTATTTATTTTGTAGAGATAGGGTCTCTACGAAATATTTCCCAGTCTGGTATTTAACTCCTGACCTCAAGCAATCTTCCCACCTCAGCCTCCAGAAGTGCTGGGATTATAGGCATGAGCCACAGTGCCTGGCCCAACTTGGATTTTTTAATAACGTGTCCTGAACTAGGGAGTAATTCACTTTTCTTCTATTTATGATCCATTTTCTAAAATATTGATCAAAGAACCATGGAAATATTTAACCTATTTTAAAAATACCTTTCCAAGGCAAGAAAGTAAAATGTAAATATGTGAGTAATTTCTCCTAAGGTGCACAATATTCACTTTATTACTAAAGTAGAAAGTTGTAACAATGGGTTTGTGTTACCATATGCAAACTAAGTAAAATTTTATGTCATACTTGTCACAAATTCAGACTGTTTTCTCCCCATGTGAATTTATATTATTTCATTCCCTCCCCATCCCCTCCTCCCCCCCTTCCCTGCCCTCTCCTCTCCTCCTCTCCCCTACCCTCCCTTCCCCTTCCTTTTTCTTCCCTTCCTTTCCTCTCTCTCCTGCCATCTCACACAATAAATGTTAGCTGCCTACTTCCTCCTTCACCACGCTTTGTTGGGTAATACAGACCCATGCTGCTGAAGGTTAATGTGCATGCAAATCACCATCACTGGTGATCTGATTAAACTGCAGAGTCTGATTCAGCAGAGGGATTCTGCAATTCCAACAAGCTCCCAGGTGAGGTGAACTACACTTTAAGTAACAAGAATATAAAGGATGGAGAATGAAGCAAGCAGAGACTCTGCTCTCAACAAGATGACCATATAGTTCAGACCTTACATTGCCTCCCTGACAAAAAAATTCCCTTCATGTCCCCCAGGACTGTCTCCTCTTGAACAAATTTCCCACTCTTAATTGAAGTAGATAAATATGTGAGAGGATGGGTGTGGGACTCAAAAGAGGAGGGCGGGCATCCTTAGCTCCTGGAAATGAAGATTTGAATAGAGAACCCAGGCCAGACCAATGATCTCATAATATTGATGCTACTTTTACCAACAAGCTGAACAAATTATTAATGTGCAGACTTTAATTTTAAGATGTCCAAGAAATAGTTAAGGAAGCCTCATTTGCATGGTTTGACAATAAATTGAGGGGAGAGAAAACTAAGAGATAGAGTGTCTTTCCAGGAATGCAGCCAGAGGCCAAGGGGCTGGAGACTCCTTCCTACAGTCATCAAACTGGGTGCCACAAGAAGTTAGCAGTTTCTTGAAGAGACTGTTCGGTAGAAAGGTGATACAGTCTTAATGGCTAACCATGATTGCTCTCTGGGAGTACCAGACAAGACAGGATGGATTTGGGGGAACTCTGCAATTTCCTTCAAATTCATTGCAGTGTTGCACCAGCATACAGCCAGGGAACAAAAAAGCTCAGGAAATGGACTTGCAGCCATCCAGCCTGCTCTCTCTGCTTCAGAAGCTGAGATTTGCATGAAAGAACAAATCAAATGAAAGAACAAATGCAGCAGGTGAGAACTTTCATTCTTTTCACCTACTGCACGGCAGGTGGATGATCTACCTGGGCCATTGTCCAAGAGGTTTTTTGTTTGTTAGTTTGTTTCCTAATTGCATCACCCAGATTATTAGCTAGTTGTTCCTTCCAAATTCATGTCATCCTTCGATCACTTTTTCCTGCATTCATTTTCACATCACATTATTCAGCAAGTATTTTTACTGATCATCTACTATGTACCAGAGACATTGTATATGTTTTCCCAGAAATTAGTCAAAATAAAGCAAATAATAAGACAGACCTTAGGATAGAGCTGCTCTCACTTTCAGCTGAGGTTGATTAGTTTATAACATTCCTTGACTGCTGTTAGCTAAAAGTCCTTCCAACTTCAATACTATCTAGAACGTATACCTCCATCTTGTCCACAAGAATATCATGATATCACATTTCAAGCCCCCAATTAATTTGAGGAACACCATTTATATTTCTTCTTTAGCTACCAACCTAAAGACCCTTTAAAAAAAACAACACTGGTAGTCTAACTTAATTCCTGATTTATTTCTGCAAGTGCATGCTGGTTCCTGATGAGTACAGCATTCACAGGTAAAGGCTCACCAATTATCTCTTTAACAATCCATTCTCAATGGTGCTTCAGAGCAAGTAAAATTATTACTGCAAAATGTGATAATCCCTCTTGATTCACCTGTAGAGAATATGACTATCTATGACTTCACCAGTAGAGAATATGACTATAAAATAGTGATTCCTCATTCACTATTCCTCAGAACCACTCATATACATTTAGCGTATTTTCCTCACCACTTATACATACCATTTAAAACTGAGTTTGTCAGTTTCCCAAGCAGCTATGTTAGACATTTGTAGCACCTTACTTTTTTCTTATTTATCACAGTATTATGTATTTATCTGGTTTTTAGCCTTAAAAATCGATATTACAAGAGTGATCATTTTCCTATGCCTACATGCACACAGAAGAATCCCTACCCAAAAAATATTAATGGTGGTTACCTCTGGGAAGCAAGATTCATAGTGTAGAGGTAGAGGGATTCTCTTCCTTTTTATTTCGTGATTTTTATTATTACTTAATATTTTTATTGTATACATCTAATCTTTATACAAAACAAACCTAATTTCTTTAAAAAATACATATTCTACTGAATATGACAGATGTGAACCAATAATGATAAACCCTGGTGAGAGGTATTCTTATCTGTCCCTTCAAGACTCATGTCACATCCACTTACAAAGGAAGTGACAGAACCACAGAAAAGACCCAGCGGCCACAAGAGTTGCCTGGAACTCACCCACTTCCTCACTGCCAGCCTTGTCCTCTCCCCTAGACTTTGTCTGATTGACTTTCCACACTGTCTTCATGGTTTTCCACCAGGGGCATCTCTGTTTTCTTGGGTCTCATTTTTCCCAGCTCACTGGTTTGTTCTAGTCTGGGTTTATCTCTTCCTCTCCAGCACAACGCGCCATGACCAACTTAAGGTGACTGACCAATTGCTCTTTAAATGAATTGTCACTAAAATTTTAGAAGTTCTCATGGAAGGGTTCAGGTATGTCTTATTAGGCCCAGTCTTTCCTTCCCAAGTCATCATTTACTGTCAGTAAGCTTTTATTATTCACCCTATCCCCATTCCATCACCAAAGCATTTGTGATCATACTAAAGTCCAGGGAAGACGTTTCCCCGTATCATTTATTACACTCCCAAGGTAAGGCTGTGTTGGCCAATCAAGCCAAAAATGTCATCAGATCCTCTGCTTTTGGTCAAAAAAGATTCTCAGAAAATAGCTTAGCCTCCAACGTCATGAACTAAAAACCACCAGATGAAGGTCCACATTGGCAAAGGAAGCCACCTTGCCCCCTTGGTCTTGATTCACCTCTTCAGGTCTAAGATCAACCACCTGAACTTTGGATCCCAGCGGCTGCCTTTTTGGCCATCCCATGACATCATTACCCAACCACTCCCTTTGTACTTTTAATTTCTCCCTTTCTCCTAGCTACTTATAGTTAGGCTACAAATAGGTCAAGTGATTTTCATCTTAAAAATAAAATAAAACAAAATATGCTCCCTCAAAGACCTAAATCTAGTTAAACCAGAATCTCCGGGATGAAGCCCAGGCATCAATATTTTTTAAATCCTCTCCAGGGGAGTCTAGTGTGCACACCAAGTTAGGAACTGGTGCTCCAGAGCAAGTACCTTGAAAAGGCAGTATCTCCTTTTTCTTCATTCTCATGCACTTTTTAATTTATTGCATTCTGAGTTTACCATCACAACCCTACTTAGTTAAGGTCACTAATTCTTAACTTAGTAGGGACTTTTTAAACTTTCTTCTTAGAGAGGTGTAATTTGAGGTATTGTTGCATCCTTGCTTCATGAAACACTCTCCTATGGGACAATTTCCTGCTTTTCTTCTAATACTTGGACTGCTTCTCTTTGTTTTCCACCATGGGCTCCTGTTTTTCCAGTTTGGGGGTGGAATGAGGACAGGAAGCAGCCTACATAGCAGGGTTCTCCCTAGGGCTTTATATGACTAAAATTCTTATATGGATAGTACTGTTCAGAAACCATCCAGAAAAAAAAATAAGAAAATTGAGCTAATTCCAAAAAATGCAGGCAAACACCAAGAAAACAGGGTATAGAAGATGCCAAACAGATGTCGCTCAATGCCAGCTTGTGAGAGTTTGGGATTAGACCCCGAACTTGGTTCAGATGGAACACAAAAGCCAGATTCATCCAGAACAAACCTCCTGGGAAACTCAGGCCAAGCTTTTATTCAGCCAGAGGGACTTCAGTGTTAGTGGGGAGCATATGGTGACTAGTTTCTGGTTCATCTACTGCAAACTTAAGAATTTGCTCTTAACTTGGTCTTTAAGCCATATTCAGGGAGGGCAATCTGACATCTTACCACCTTGACTTGACATTCCTTCCTGGGAAAAGTGCTAAGGATTAAGACCAGAAGGCAAGTCAGAGAAGGATCTGAGAGTGGGACAGCTGTAGCAACAGTGCTTCCCAGTCTTCAGGATCTGAGCCGTTATGGTTCTGTTTTAAAATAAACTGAGATTCAGATGAACAGAAAGTTTGTGTTTCACATTAACATTGTGGCTTTTTCTCAGCTGGGTGTTTTTATTTTCTCTGTCACTTTGCATTACAGGAATAACACAGCTTTCCAAGAGAACAGCTCCATCAGATAAGTAAACAGTGAAGAGTGTGGAGTGCAGACTGCAGAATTTGAGGCTCCCTGACTCAGGGAAGCCTTGGTTTTAGAGGTCAATGACTATTGGCCCAGAGCATTAGCCTTAGGTTCAGCTCTAAACTGTGCTGGCAAAGAGGCCACATCTCATCTTCCAGGTCATGCTGCCTTCCGTTGTTCTCATGGGCCAGAAAAGAAGCAGTTGGAAAAAACCCATCACTCAACTTCCCTAGCCCTGACCAGCACAGTGGCAGGCACTGACTACTGGCCACCAGCATCCACAACCCTACCCAATCCTAGGGCAATGGAGACCTAATTTAGGAGGGTGTCAGCACCTCCCTGCCTATGAGGAAAGAAAGCTTTGGAAATAGTTACTATTTTGTATATGATGGTCAACATGCATAGTGGTGAGAGAGAATGCATACTCAGGTGTCTATATGAGTCCTTTCTTCCCAAACGCCTATATATTGCCTAAGGCCTGATTGCCTGGCTGGCCTCCAGTACCAGTTCTTTCATTTATTACACTCCCAGGGTAAGGCCATGTTGGCAAATCATGCTCTTGAGGCTTTGAGTAATGTAGCCCGGGAAAGCATCATGACCCCAAGCCAGGCTCTCCCTCCACAGGCCCTGCATTTGTTTGAGCAGCCCTACCACATCTTGAATAAGACCCTTTGTTGAATGAGTCTGATACTGAGAGAATAAAGAGGACTCTGCTAAGATCCAAACCCCTTTGCCACTCTTTCCCATTCCTGCAATAACACTCCTCACACATCAACCTTGACCCAGATGGAATGTGACTTTGCTTTACTCCTTGGATTTGGTGATTAAAGTGACTGCTCTCTTTCTGAAGCAGGCCTAGTTCATCCCTCCCAGTGTCCAACTCATGCTGCTTCCATCTAACTTCTTCCTTCTGGGAAATCCCAACATATGCTCAATGAGAGCAAATTAGCACTGGAGTAGGAAGAATTACTATGGAAACTCTTAATATTATCACACCAATGGCACCTTGGCAAACATAAATTCTCTCCTGGAATCTTTTATACTGATGACATGATACAAAACTAAAATTCATTCCATGCCAAAAATTAATATATTTTAATACATCCAGGGGCAAATTCAAATCCATTTTCAAAATACAGGCTGCCATGACAACAAGTAACATGAAGCACAAGGAGAAATGCTTGTGATTATTTTTGCCTTGCCAATTTATGGCTAAGTAGGTAGTCCTAAAGAATCACTGTTGGCTGGGTGCAGTGGCTCATAACCTGTAATCCCAGCACTTTGGGAGGCCAAGGCGGGTGGATCACCTGAGGTCCGGAGTTTGATACTAGCCTGATCAACATGGTGAAACCCCGTCTCTACTAAAAATATGAAAATTAGCTGGGCATGGTGGCGGGTGCCTTTAATCCCAGCTACTTGGGAGGCTGAAGCAGGAGAATTGCTTGAACCCGGGAGGCAGAGGTTGCAGTGAGCCAAGATTGCCTCATTGCACTCCAGCCTGGGTGACGAGAGTGAAACTCTATCTCAAAAAAAAAAAAAAAAAAGAATTGCTCTTGAGTGGTAAAACAAGAATCTGGCTATAGGGATAAGAATATGGCTGAAAGATACATTTTCTCCTTTTACATCTTAATTTATTGACAACAAAACATTCAAAGCCTCTATGAACCCTTCTCAAGGAATGAATATGTTCGGCTAATTAGTAATTTTTAATTTTTTTAATTAGAAGGTTTGAATTTAGAATAATAAAAATGAACCCCAACATCCAGCATCAAGAATTATAGACTCATGGCCAATTTAGTTTTATCCGGAATTCTATCCATTGGCCTCTGTCCCAGATTGTTTGAAAGCATATCCAAAATATCTATTATTGTATATGTAGATATTTTAATATTTATCTCTATAAATCTAGGACTTCCTTTTTTAAACATAATCACAATCACATTATCATACCCACAAATGAACAATTATTAATTAATTTTATCAAATACACAATCAGTATTCAGATTTTTCCTGATCTTCTTATAATTTATGTTTAATCAAAATAAAAATTGAAATAGATATGTACATTGCAATTTATTTGCTTATATCACTTTATCGAGGTATGACTGACATGTTAACAACTGTGCATATTTAATGTATACAACTTGATTAGTTTGGAGATAAGTATACACCCATGAAACCATTACCACCATCAAGGCCAAAGATGTGTCCATTACCTTCCAAAGTTTTCTTCTGCCCTGTTTATTATTGTCATTTTTTATATGTGGTAAAAACATGTAACATAAGACCTACTCTCTTAGCAAATTTTAAGTATACGATACATTATTGTTAGCTATGGACCCTAGGCTGTAGAGTAGATCTCCAGAACTTATTTACTTTGCCTAACTGAAATGCTGTACTCTTTGACAACCTCTTTCTGTTTCTTCCTCTCAGCACCTGGCAACCACCATGTGATTCTCTGCTTCTATGAGTTTAGCTATTTTAGATCCCACATATAATGAAGGTCACACATGCACTTAATTATCTTTTAATCTACAGCCTTTCCCTCCCTCCTCCTCCCTCTCTCTCTTTCCCCTTCCTCTAACTGTCTCCCTTTCTTTTCCTTGAAATATGTTAGTTGAAATGAGGTTGTTTGGATTTTATTGTTTGTGTTAGCCAGTGGTGTTCTTTAATATGTTCTTCTTTTCCCTGTATGTTCTTAATGGTTAATCGTTGCACCCTTGAGTGTGATTTCTGAATCAACTTTCATGACTAAAGATCCAATAGAGCTTCCTGGTGTCCATTTGAAACCCGAGGATGCTGTCTCCTGAACAGTGGAAAGCTGAGGCTGTGTGATACACCGGAAAAAGTATAGGGTTTTAAGCTAACATTTACTACTATATTGACCTAGGGCAAGTAAGACTTACTTTCCTTGGTTATAAATATGGATACTAATATTGCCTTGAAGGATTATCTGAGAATTAAAAGCAATTATTATAAATATGAAGTGTGCTGAGTGACACACAGCATGGCTAGTCATGCACCTGAGAGGCAGTGTTACATAGTGAAAAGGTTACAGATCTTTGGAGCTAGACAAACTTGGATAAAGCCATCTGGAGGGTAGGGATAAAATCTTCACTTTTGCCTTAAGGATTGAAGAGAAAATGTTTGTAACACATATAACCTCATGCTTGGGGAATAATGTATGTGGTACTTTTAAATATTGGCAATGGTGTAACTTTGTCAAATAAAGCTAGAAGAGAAGATGGAGTTCAATATAGTTTTTTTTTTCAAGTTTCTCTTTGACACAGGATTTTTTTCCAATAATTTTTATTATGCCTTAAAAATCAAAGCCAAAAGTATGAATAAATAGAAAACACAATAGGAGGCCAGGCACGGTGGCTCACGCCTGTAATCCCAGCACTTTGGGAGGCCAAGGCAGGTGGATCACGAGGTCAAGAGATCAAGACCATCCTGGCCAACATGGTGAAACCCCGTCTCTACTAAAAATACAAAAATTACCCGGGTGTGGTGGCAGGCCCCTGTAGTCCCAGATACTCGGGAGGCTGAGGCAGGAGAATCACTTGAACCCAGGAGGTACAGGTTGCAGTGAGCAGAGATTGCACCACTGCACTCCAGCCTGGCCACAGAGCGAGACTCCATCTCAAAAACAAACAAACAAACAAAAAACAAAAACCCACAATAGGAGCACAGAAAAAGGAACAAATAACTTTTCCTGCAAATATCAAGAAATATTCCACAGGAGTCATGACAATTGAACTGGGTCCTGGAGGGTGACTAGATGTTTGATGAGTGAGTTGAGAAAAGGACTCATCAAGAGGAAGGACTGGCACTAGCAAAGGCATGACAGGGGTCACAAGCTCAAATGATTCCAAGAAACTGGTTGTGGTTCGTTGAGGTATGACTGGCATGTTAAAAGTTGTACATATTTAATGTATATACTGCCTTGTTGCCAGTGGAGAGTGATGATGTGGTTCAAGTAGACAACTCTTGCTGTGATGACCTTTGTCATAGTAATACGGTGGAGTTTTAGGGAACAGTGAAGGTGATTTGCAAGAAATGAAGGTAAATTAGGAGGCCATGATAATATACAAAGATGGTAAGAAACTAATGTGGTGGCAAATCATGTCAGTTCACCATAAGCTTCATCAAAGTATTGAATAAAATACCTCTGAAGGTTACAGCAGAAGGTAAATTTTTGCCTGCAGTGATCATTAAGTTGCTAATGTTTGAAATTGAACTAGTAAATAAAAGGTAGTGTAGAGTTTATGCTCAACAATAAAATGTGGACAATAGTTTAAAGAAGCAATCACAAAGTTTTAAGAGTTTCTCTCAGATTTTTCATGACAGGCTCATGAAAACTATAACTTCCCCCAAATACCCATCATTGTTTCAGGTTTCCTGAAAGTAAAACACAGCCCAAACACAAACATCTCCTCCACTCCATATCATTATTCTGCCGTATTTATGCTAGTGTTTCTCAAACTATGCTGTATAGAGCTTTATTCTCCAGATGTTTCATGCATAACAAAGAAGAAAGCAGAAAAGCAAACAAGAAAATAAAATAAAAAACTTTCCGAGCTAATTTAGGAAATTCTGGCTTAAATAGAATTAAAAAGGTTTCTTTCTGTTTGTTTGTTTGTTTGTTTATTCACAAAGACAAAAAACCAAGCACCGCATGTTCTCACTCATAGGTGGGAGTTAAACAATGGGAACACATGGACACAGGAAGGGGAAAAAGGTTTCTTTACTGCAGGACTTCTCAGAGCCTTTTTTTGTTAAAAAGTTTTTTGCAAATCTCCAACATGAATATAGTATTCAAGAATTTAACAGAGACTCCATTTCTCCTACAAGAAGTATCTCATTCAAGCATTTTACCTATAATTATATTTGGTGTATGCTAACAATAATAGTGGTTAACTGCTTCTTAGAGATAGCTCAAGAGCTGATTCTGAAAACAGAAACTGAGCTGATGAAAACATTTTTGCTGGAATTATTGCTGAGCTAATATAGAGGTTACTGGAATGTAAGTCCTTTATATCACTTAGTTCTTTTCTATTTAGTCCAGAGTAGTGTGCATAATTATGACCAAGCTAGGTAAACATTTCCAACATGGATTTAAAGAGAAAGTTGTTTTATTGCCCTAGCCAACTCATCTTTTTATCCCATAAGAAAGCTCAAAGTGGACTCAGGTTTAAAGGAGACCCTCACAGATAAAGAGAAGAGAAAGAGTTATTTGGATGCTAAAACCTCTCTAAGATTTCAATTCCAATTTGATGCACTCAGTAGAGTTCAAACTGGAATTCAGGATACGCAAGAAAATAAACTACTCAGTCAAGGATTAAAGCATGCTTAATTGCCTTTGCCTTTCCAACACACACACACATACACATACACACACACACACTCACTCACAGATTCTGCAAGTGAGCATAAAATGAGGTGAAGGTTTCTGTTTTCAACCCCTCCTGCCACAGCTCTGCCCTGTTAGGTCAGTGCTGGCTCAACCATACCAGTTCCTTACCCAGCTGGGACAAAGATGACTACATGGCATATTTCCCATGTCGACCTTCAAAATGCAGGCATAAAGTCTGTCTGAAGCTCCACCCACTGAGCAGCATTGCCCACCTAATATCCTCCAACTTGATCATCCTTGAGTCTCGGTGAAGGATCATCTAATCTACTCCCTGGTTTGGATCTTCCATATATTGCATTTCAAGACCCTAAATTATGAACCTCTGCCTAATTCCTGGAGCACCAATGTCCTGCTTTACTCCTACCATATCTCCCACTTTTGCAAATACCCTCTTCTACTGCCTGGGACTGTTTCAAGCTCTTATATTTTCTCTAGAATAATACTGACCAATAGAACATTCTGCAATGATGGAAATGTTCTATAAATGTGTGCTGTCCAATACAGTAGCTACCAGCCTGACCATCTTCCCAAAATGATCACATGCAAGCCACTTCAGCAGTATTTGACACATTCACTGAAATAGTCACTTTAGTGAGCCTCAAATCCATTACCTATATAGTGAGATAATTATGCACGCTTCATAGGGACATTGTTAAATGGTATTAAATGAGATAGTGTTCATGAAGCACCTCTCACAGAGCCTATCACACAGCAAGTACTCAATATACGTTTATTTCTTCTCTTTTCATCCAAAGACAAGTCCAGTGACCAGAAGGCTCAGAAGTTCACATTTCTCTGGGTAGTTCAAGGCTGCCTTGTTCATTTTCTAAAATGCTAATTCCCGTAAGAGATTGAAAGGAAAGCCTTGGATCAGTGATTGGAAATAGTTTTGGTTTTCCTATCCTGCAATGTGTCTCACATTGATCTCTTTATTCTAGTGCTGGTTTCTGAAATGTCTAGCTTCCATTTCCTTCCTTTGTCAATCAAGGAGCAGCTTCTTTCTGGGGGAGGTTGGAAGTGAGACCCATTGTTCATTTGCATTGTGCAACCTTTCCTCAATTAAAAAGTCCTTTAAAACGTGTAGGTTGGAGGCTTTGCTTCCTCTCTCCTAAAAGAGGCCCTAGGGACAATTGCTACAGCAGCTGCAGCCCAAGAGGAAGGGAGAATAGGGTGGAGAGGCATTCCAGGGTCCTGCTCCTACCAGAGGGAGAAGGTAGTTATGCTCTTATGTAATCCAGAGGTCAGCTGGAAGCTTCATAACCCTGGAGACATAGGCATGATTTTCTTGAATTCCCAGTTGTGTAGCTTGTGGCCTCCCCAAGATTTCTCCAAATTCCAGTGTACCTGTAATCATTAGAATCTTGTGGCCTCCTCTACCTCTGGGATTCCTGACCACCTAAGTGTGGGATGAATATCAATCTTCTCATCAATTAAAACACACATACATATTAGCAAGTAAAATATAGAACAGAAATAAGTCACATGCAGCATTTTTAATGTAGTAGACTTCAAATCAAGCTGTTGTTTCACAAAGAGATCACACAACAGGAATTTTTATAGTAATTAGCTTTCTTGTCTGCAAAGAAAAGCCACTCCACACCTGGGACTCCTTCCCACCCAGTGCCCACTGCCTCCTCTCCTCCCCCCACCCTCTTGCTTTTACTCCCTCTCTCTTCCTCACTCCATGCCTCCTCAATTCGGCAGACTTCAAATTACTCATCCCATACTGTGATGAACAGTTTTGCAACCTCTGACTCCTACTTCTATTGCTAAATGAATCAAGATGATCAGCTCGTGAAGCAGCCTTTAATTTAGCAGAAGTTTTCTTTCTCAGAAAACAATAGTAATGCCAAATGGCAATTTGTTTCCTGAGGCAAATAGAAAATATAGTGGGGAATTAACATAGCCCTCTATTAATACATCTAAGAATCTTTTTGCTGCTGCAATGTCTTGAGTGAGTATCAACAACAGTTCACAAATTCTGGCCACAATTGCATATATACACTTTATTTTTAAAAATATTATTAAAATAATATATTATGCAATATATAAATATAAAATATTGTAATTAATATTGTTAAATATTTAAATACTAGTATTCTTCAAAGGAAGAGTGAGGCCATAATTATCTGAATAAATTATCTTTTGGGGAATCCATTCCAGAACTAAATTCCCTAATTTCACAATTCCATAACAAAATCATTCAACACTTACAAACGTTCCATGGGAAAATAAATAAAAATAATATCCTGAAAGTCAAGGAATGGAAGCAAGTAGAGAAATTAAATTTGAATAGTTAGAACCTTGCAAACAAAGCAGAAAGAATTAAGAAGGAATAGGACTGGCTTCACTATTTCAGAAATAGGATACTGGTAGAAGAATATGCAGGAGGGAACAGCTTAGACATCAGAGGGTTACGACGTACCTGTAGCAGAGGCTGCCAAGGGTAGGGGTAGATTCAGCTTGACCCTCAAAATGTTCTCTGGAATCAGCATCACGCATTGTCCTCCCATTTCACATATGGATAAACTGAAGTTCAGAGAGGGGAAGTGGCTAAGCCACTAGGTAGGATTGAAACAAGGTCTTCAGGAAATTCTGTCCATGTCTATAAAACCCAAGCTTTGGCCGGGCACAGTGGCTCACGCCTGTAATCCCAGCACTATCTGACTATTTCACAGTGTTATGTATTTGTATTATTTTTAATATTTTATACTAATAAATAACATGAATTCCTTTATACTAAAATAAAGTTGTTGTTTTGAATTTTAGATTATGTCTGTTATGGCTTTAATTGTGCCTCCCAAAAAGATATTGAAATCCTAATCCCCTGTACCTGTGAATGAGAATTTATTTGGAAATAGGATCTTTGCAGATGATTAAGGCAAGATGAGGTCATATGGGTGGGCCCTATTCCAATGACTGGTATCTTTATAAAAAGCAGAAGTTTGGACACAGATAGATATACACACAGGGAGAACACCTCCTGCGAATGAAGGCAGAATTCTGAGTGATGCACTTACAAGCCAAGGAGTGCAGGAGATTGACAGAAAACCGCTAGCAGCTAGAGGAGAGGCATGGAACAGATTCTGTCTCACATCCTGCTGACACCTTGATATCAGACTTCAAACCTCCAGAACTGCAAGACAATTCTTTTCTGTTGTTGAAGTCTGCTGGTTAGTGGTACCTTGTATGGCATCCCTAAGAAACTAATGCTGTGCTCTTACAATAAATGTCAGAAAGTGCAAATATTTGGTCGAGGGTGTAAATATTTTTAAGGTTTCTGACATATTTTCCCAGGTTGTTTTCCCAATTGTATGCTGATTTCTACTCTAGTAATTATGGATGAAAGTATTTTGTCTCATCATAACCTCCCTAGAATGTTGTTGTTTTTATAAACTTTGCTAATTTATTTGACAAACTGTATCACATTGATTTTGTATTCAAATTTCTTTGGTTACCACTGAGATTAAACACTGTCTACCTTTATTAGCCATTTTTGTTTTCTATATTGTGAGCTCTATGCTGTCTATGCTTTTTGAAATTATGTCCATATTTAACTTTTAAAATTATGGATTTTTTTTTCCTTTTCTGTTTGCAGGAATTGTTTTTTGTAGCATAGAGGGTAATTCTCCTTCGACCATACTTAATACAAATATGTCTCCAATGCGTCATAGTTATTTTTGTTTTGCTACTAATTTGTTCTCCATTTTTATAATTTTGTCATTTAAATAATGTTATGTAAGTACAAGAGTACAGCATATGGTGTTTTGAGATTGGCTTTCTTCATTCAGCGTAATTCCCCAGAGGGCCATCCAGGTTGTTATGAATATCAATAGTTTGTTTCTTTTTATTGGTGAGTAGTATTCTTCGGTGTAAATGTAAACAGTTTGTTTAGTCAGTCACCCATAAAGGATACTTTGGTTGTTTTCAGTTTGACTTACTACATATAAAGCTGCCTTGAACAATCATGAACAGTCCCTGTGAATATAACTTTTTATTTTTCTGGGATAAGTGTCCAGGAGTGTAATTCTGAGTGGTATGGTTTTAAGAAACTGCCAAACTATTTTCCAGAGTGGCGGTACCATTTTACATTTTCACCAGCAGTGTTTAAAATATCTAGTTTCTGTACATCCTCATCAGCATTTGTTATTTTCACTTTTTTTTATTTCAGCTGTTCTAATAAGTGTGTTGTGATATTTCATTTTGTTTTAATTTGCATTTCCTTCATGGCTAATAACGTTAACCATCTTTCGTTATGAGATGCTTGTTATTCACTTTTCAGTGAAATAATTCTTCCTGTTGTTTGTACATTTTCTAATTAGATTGTTTTTTAATATTTAGTTATTAGAATTCTTCAAATATTTTTCACATGAGTTCTTTATTAAGTGGTTTGCAAATACTGTTCTCTCCCAGTCTATAGCTTGTCTTTTTATCCTCCTAAAAGGACCTTTCACAGACTAATTTTGGTCTGTTTCATTGGGCTAATTTTAATGAAGTTGCATTTATTACCTTTTTTAACCGGTTTTAAAAATTGTTTGTGCTTTCGGTGTCATGTCTAAAATGTCCTCACTAACCACTCAGTCTTGAAGATCTTCTCCTGTGTTTCCTTCTAAAAGTTTTATAGTTTTATATTTTACTTTTAAATATATGATTTGAGTTAAATTTTACATAAGGTATGAGGTTTAAGTTGAGATTTATCTTTTGCATATGATTATCTAATTGCTCCAGCACCATTTGTTGAAAAGACTGCCCTTCCTCCATTGAATTTCTTGTGCATTTTTGTCTAAAATCAGTTCACAAAACTTATATGGGACTTTTTTTGTTTTTTATTCTGTTCCATCGATGCCTACCCACTACCAATACCACATAGTCTTAATTACTTAGCTACATGATACATCTTGAAATTGGTTAGAGTGTTTTCTTTCACTTTATTTTTCTTTCAAGTGTTTTAGCTATACTGTTTTTTTTTTGCCTTTCCATATGAATTTTAGAATAATATTATCTGTATCTACAAAATGCCTGGCTGGGGTTTTGATAGAAATTACATTAAACCTGTCAATTTGTATAGAATTTTCATTTTTAATATGTTAAGTCATCCAATTCATGAATATGGTATGTCTCAACATTTCAAAAAATTTCCTTTTTAGGTTACTACATCAGTGTTTTAGTTTTCGGAATAAAAATCCCATACATATTTTGTTCAATATATATTTAAGTATTTCTTCATTTTTAACAATTGTTAAGCAGTATCATATTTTTAATTTGGATTTCTACATATTGGTTATTAGTATATAGAAATACAGTTGATTTTTGCACATTGATCTAATATTCTGAAAACTTTGGAACTCACTTATTCATTGTAAGTTTTTGTTAATTTCTTGGGATTAGACATTGTGTCATTTTCAAAGAGTGAAACTTTTATTTCTTCTTTTCTGATCTACATGTTTTTAATTTCCTTTCTTGTCTTATTGCAGTGCCTAGAACTTTCAGCACTATGTCAAAGGACAGTATTAACAGTTGTCATCCTCACCTTAGTGTTGATCTTAGGGAAGAAACTTTCAATATTTCACCATTATGTATAATAATAACAGTAGATTATTATAGATATATATATATGTAATTTAGCTGAGGGAGTTCTTATCTATTCATAGTTTTCTGTGATTTTACCTGAATAAATGTTAAATTTTGTCAAATGCTTTTACTGTATCATCAAAATAATTATGTGATTTTTTCATCTTTAGTCCATTAATATGGTGAATTACAATGACTGATTTTTGAATATTTAAACAGCCTTGTGTTTCTAAAATAAATTCCACTTAGTCACAATGTATTATTTTTATTACATATTATATAATATTATTATGTATTATATATTTTTTATATTTGCTAATATCTTGTTAAAAATATTTGTGTTCATTTCACGAAGAATATTTGCTCTATAGTTTTCTTTTATTTATACTGGTGTAATGAAATGAATCAGAAAATGTTCCTTCTGCCTCTACTTTCTGGAATAGATCATATAGTATTCGTTTTAATTCTTCTTCAAACTTTTGATAGAATTCTACAGAGAAACCATCTGGGCCTGGAGATTTCTTTGGGGGAAGTTTTTAAATTACAAATTCAATCTCCTTAATAATTTCAGGGCTATTCAAATATTTATTTCATATTGGATCAATTGTGGTAGTTGGTGCTTTTTGAGAAATTGGTCCATTTCATCTACGTTGTGAAATTTATGTGTAATGTATTATACATAGCATTTCTTATATGTCTTTTGATATCTACGGGGTCTGTTGTGATATATGCTTCATATGTGATGTCAATATTTTGTCTTCTCTCTTTTTCTTTTGTAAATATTGTTAGAAGTTTGTCACTTTTGTTGATATTTTCAAAGAACCAGTTTTTTGTTTCATCGATTTTTTAATTGTTTTAAATTTTTAATTGTTTTTGCTGTTATCTTTATTATTTCCTTTTTTATTTTGGAAACAGAGTCTCATTCTTTTGCCCTGAAGTACAGTGGCAAAATTATAACTTACTGTGTAGCTTCAGACTCCTGGACTCAAGCAATCCTTCCACTTCAGCATCCTGAGTAGCTGGGGCTCCAGGTGTGCACCACCACACCTGGCTTATATTTCCTTTCTTATGACTGTCTTGGATTTACTTTTCTCCCCTTTTTAAGGCTCTGGAAATGTGAGTTTTATTATTAATTTGAAACTTTTCTTCTTTCTAAAGTAAGCAATTAGTGCTATAAATTTCCCTCTTGCACTACTTTAACTGCATTCACATATTGTGATATGTTATATTTCATTGCCATTTATTTTACTGTATTTTTATTGCCCTTGAGGCTTCCTCTTTGACCATGCATTATTTAAAAGTGTTGTTTACTTTTCAAGATTCTGCAAATTTGTCTGTTATCTCCCTGTTAAAGAGTTCTAGTTTGATTCCATTATGGCCAGAGGGCACTCTCTGAATGATAAAAATTATATTAAATTTGTATAAGTTTTTAATAAAAATATTTCTCCTGTGGACACTTGAAAAGAATGTATATTCTGTTGTTGGAAGAAGTATTCCATAAATATCAAATCAGATTCTGTTGGTTGATGATGTTGTTGAATTCTTCTATATCTTTGGTGATTTTCTCTAGTTGTTCTACCAATTGTTGAAATAGAGGGAGTGTTAAAATCTTCAACTATAATATGGATTCATCTCTTTTTCCTTTCAGTTCTGTCAGCTTTTGCTTTACATGTTTTCTGCTCTGTTGTTTGGTATATACACATTTAGTATTACCATGACTTATCATTATGTACTACATCTCTCTGTAGCTAGTAATTTTCTTTGCTCTGAAGCCTGTTTTGTATATTAACATAGCCATCCTTGCATTATCTCTGAGTCACACTCATAGATATCAGAGATTCTCTCTCAGAATATCTTATTAATCTCTGAGTAATATTTGCTAAGTATATCTTTTTACATCCTTTTGCTTTCAACTTACTCATATCATTATACTTGGTCCCATTTTAGTGGAGCTCAGTCGTCACAACTGGGCCCTGCAATTGGAAACGGCAGTTAGAGGAGCAATTATATCTTCAACTGATATTCAGTGCCCAATTGTCAACCTGTAATTCAACTGTGACTTCAAGTTTACATGTTTCATTTCATTTTAGTTCTCCATTTGAGTGCCTACAGGTAAAAATGTTTTATCAGAGACTTCTTTTCCAGCTATTGTTGATCAAGAATTGGATTTAATCATCAAAAGCCCTAGAGATATAACTTGACAAAAGAAGTGAGGAAAGGAGATTTGGTGTTAATCTCTCTACCCTTTCTCTGTTCAATATTAAAGCCTCAGATCTTTCTCTTCACTCCGTTGTATTCTCTTACCTTTTCCATTCTCCCTCTGCCCTTTTCCCCCTAGTTTTCAGTAATGTCTGTCTTCTGCACTCATTTGTAAGTTTCATAAAAGCAGAAAGTCTTTCTTTTTTCCTGTTGCATGCTTAGTACCAAACATGATGCCTAGATTACAACAGGCTCCCCAAAATGAAATGATGAAATTAGTGAGTACCCCACGAGACTGTGAACTGCCCTCTTTGCCTTGAATGTTCTTCTCTTTCCCATTAACTAGTTAGTAGAGAATTGTCGTTAAAAACACTGCCTCTAGTCCTAAACTGCCTGGGTTCAAATCTGGGAGCACACTATTTGTCCTTCTTGGGCTTCAACCTCTTCCTCTGTGAACCATGAATAATAATATTGTCCACTTTATTGAGTTGTGTGAGGATAAAATGAGCTATGAGGACAAAGCTCGTACAAGGGTAATATACACCTAGTTACTACCCTCAGGACTTCATCTTAAAGGATACCTCCTTGGAGAGGCTTTTTTCTACCCTCCCTAGACTAGATTAGTTCACCCCATCATTCCTCTAATTCCATCCTTTATGTCATACAGTTATTGCGACAGTTATTTGTGAATTACCTTTTTGTGTCTAGCATTAAACTTTAAGATCTATGATAGAAGGATGGTGTCTGTCCCATTTATTGTTGCATCTCTTGATTCTTATCAGAATGCCTAGCATGCAGAGATCCTCACACAATGGAAAAATTAAATTAAATTAATGATTGAATAAATGAATGAATGAACATATTCTAGAGAAAGAAATAATCACCTTAAGGGAGTAAATTATGATCCTACATGTGCCTATTCCAGAAATTGACAAACTGTGGCCTGGCAGTTTTGGTTAAATAAAGTTTAATTGGTAAAATAAAGTTTAATTGGAACACAGCCATACACCATTCATTCATTTATTGTCTATGGCTGCTTTGCATTATACTAACATAGTTGAGTAGTTGTAGCAAAGATCACATTGGCTGCAAAGCCTAAAATATTTACTCTCTGGCCCTTTACAATAAAATTTACCAACCCCTTATCTATACCATTGATTCTCAGACATTAGCATGCATCAGAATCACAGATGGCTGGAGTCTACCCTCAGAGTTTCTGTAGGTCTGTGGGAGGCCACGAAACTTTGCATTGCTAGCAAAATCCCAAGTGGCTTTGTCTCTACTGGTCCGTGGACCTACTTTGAGAATCACTGGTCCTTAACATTCAAGTATACTCAGATACACCCATGTGGTTCCATGTATTGAATTGACACATATATAACTGAAACTTCAGGGCCTAACATTGATAATTCCTGGCATTGAGATGATCCAAGGTGCCTTATAGTTATAATCAAGTAGAATACCCTGCAAAGACAACCCAGAAGCTAATTTTGTGGTTTCAGTCATCTCCAGGATTTCAAGAGGAGCTGACCCTAGAGACTCTCTAGAAGTACACTTGTGACCCTAACAGGACCTCTGCCCACAAAGCCCAGGCTGGGACTTCTACTGTCTTTGTGCTAACACCAGGATTAGAAAAAAAAATGGGTAAATCCTTCCTTTTCTCTGATATACTACTAAGAGGACAAATAACAACAACTGCTAACTTTTATTGACTACTAATTATGTGAGGCATGCACAAAGAAAGAGCTTTGCAACACTATATAAATTGTATACTGTCCTTATTCCCATTTTACAGGGAAGAAAATGAAAGTTAAGAGAGGTCAAGTCATTGTTCCAAGGTCAGACAGCTGGAAGGTTGCTGAGCTAGGTTTTGAAGGTAGTTCATCTGTTTCCAGAGTCCACACTCAACAACAATGATATCCCAGTCTATATACTCATGCTTGCAGGAAGGGAAAGATTCCATAGCAGTCTGGATGATTGAAAGGAACTGCTTTGCTTCTTCTTAGCCAAATCTCTAACATAGCAAGGATTTATCCAATCAATTAATAGTTGGATCTTCAAACCTAGCATATAAACCTGCAACCAAGTATGCACAGACTTGGCATTCTCAGCCCTTGAGAAAGATCTCAGTGGATACTGTGATGTGTTCTCCAAAAAGCATTTCAATGAGCACCATTGAGCAACATCTTTCACCTGTCAGCCTCTTCAACAATTGCCTCAGCTTCCCAAGTGATCCATCTCACCCAAGGCCACACTCTTTCATGGAGTACCCTGGACTCAACTGATGGGTGCTACAGTTTAAAAACCCAGCCACTTTAGCCCAGCTGGGGTCAACTTTGAAGGCTATTCTACCAGATTTCCCAATGGGGTCAACTGGGGTTGTCTTTGGGCTACATTAAAGCTGTATTTTCCCCTCTGTCTTCTTCTGCTTTCCTCTCCTTCCATCCACAGGTGCAGATCCCAAGTGTATTCCTTATAAACCTGCCTGCAAAATCTCTCTCAGAGCCTGTTTCCAAAGTAATCCACCTGACAGCAGAGACACCTTCTTCCTGAATCCACTTTAGTCTCAGTCTTGCCTTCTATTGTTAGCAATCCATGTTCCACCTGCATGTTTCCTGTGATCCAATAGGCATATTCAGTAGCTCCATGAATCCATCAGAACTTTGCAGCCAAAAGGACCTCCTTCTCTCCTTTTCAAAATACTCACCCAATCGTCATCATTTATGGTCTCCTTGTTAGAGCAAGAAGCCCCGAGGAGGATTAGTTCAAATGGTGCCCATGCCACTGAATCTCAGTCATAGATCAAGGCAAAAACTGTCTTGAGTTTGCAGCCAAATATAGTAAAAAGTACTGAATATATCGCCTTCCCACACCAATATGGTACTGCTTTAGCAAGTCTATTTCTTTCCTCACTCCTTGATTTAGTGGCTTCCCCTGGTTTATGAAATATTTTTTTACCCATGGCCCACTGAAAACATCTTTATAAAATAGAGTTCATCTTTGAACGGGTCACTTTCCTATTGAATTTTAACATTTCAAGAAGGAAAAGGGGAGTATTTCTGACCAGATAGTCTTTGAGTAAGTATTAAAGTAGGTTTCTAAATGCCAGGATTTAAGCTCTGTTAACAGCCAATATAATCATCAGTTTGTAAAACAAAATCTTAAGTTTATGCCTGTACAAAGCACAGTGAAAAGAATTTGCTCCAATCACTCCAGTGATGTGGCATAAACAATTTTCATTTCTGTTCATGGCCATGGTGCCAGTCTTCACTTCACATGGTTAGTAGGTGGCAAAGCCAAGACTTGAACCAGACCAGCCTGAATTTCAAGTCCATGCTCTTTCAACCACATTGTGCAATTCAACAAATTTTTATTGGACATCTATTATGTGTGAATGAATATAATACTTCTGAATTATAATAATACTATAATAATAAATATAATACTTCTAAATAATAAATACAATGCTTCTTAATACACCTTATAGATAATCTAGTTTCTCTCTCTCTCACTCTATCTCAGTTTTGTCAACCATTGTAGTTCCTGGAAAAAGGATGTGGGATACTTCTTTGGAAAGAGGGAGGAATAAAGAGGAAGGGAAATGGGCTTATTCTTCCCTTAAGGATGAATACTGCCCCTTTGACCTTGGAGCATTGTGGAAGAAAGAAGGGTGCAGTCAGCGAGAGATGGGGTTCTACTCTTGCCTCTCTAGACCAAGGTCAAGTGAAGAATTTAGAAAGCTGAGGACGGCCGGGTGCAGTGGCTCACGCCTGTAATCCCAGCACTTTGGGAGGCCGAGGCAGGTGGATCATGAGGTCAAGAGATAGAGACCATCCTGGCCAACATGGTGAAAACCCATCTCTACTAAAAATACAAAAGTTAGCTGGGCATGGTGGTGCGCACCTGTAGTCTCAGCTACTTGGGAGACTGAGGCAGGAGAATTGCTTGAACCTGGGAGGTGGAGGTTGCAGTGAGCTGAGATCATGCCACCACACTCCAGCCTGACAATAGAGTGAGACTCTGTCTAAAAAAAAAAGAAAGGATAAAAAGAAATCTGAAGAGGAAGTTTGATCTTGTTTTGCACTTGGGACATTTGCAGAAGACCTCAAAGGCTATTCCCATAAGAGCATAAAAATGGCTGATTAAGAATCAATATAACAGAAAAGTGCAAGTGAACAAAGAGAGAGCTTCTCTTAGTGTTCCAGACCCCCTTGGTGCCCCTGTTCAACAGGAGGAATCCAAGAGCTCAGCAGAGTCCAAGAGGTGAAAAGTAGCTGAGAGTCCCGAGAGAGGTCTAGTCAGAGAGTCTATCATGTGCTCCTTCCTCCTGGCACAGCCCCATCCTCATCTCCCCTTGTGCTGCAGATCCCTTAAGATAAACTGTGGCTTCCAATCATTTCCCAGCCCAAGGAACCCACCTGGAACCCTCACCCCAGCCTACATAGGTCCCCTTTGTATACCACCCAACATGGCTATTGGCAAAATACTTATTGCTATACTGGATTTGTTCATAGTTTCTTTTAGGAACACTTATCATGTGGTAGTCTCTTACATGTTTTACATATATAAACTATTTAATCCTCAACAACCCTATTCAAAAAGAAATCCCAGAAAATAACAGAAACCCCAGGAAAAGGCAACAATATCTTGAGCACTTCTCACTCTCCTTGTACAGAGGAGTAAACTGAGGCTCAGAGAGGAGAGGAATGTGCTTGAATCTTGCAGCTGGGAGAAGGATAGATCTATCTAACAACATTTCTGCAGGAGTGTCACAGACCTGAGGACAAAATGCTGAGCTGCCCCCAGGACACAGCAGGACAAGTGACACTCTGCTGGGGGTAACCAAAGGCCATGGGAGGTGCAAAGGGTGGTACCTCTTACGTGCAGAGTCAAGGAGACAATTTCTAAGATGCTTCCTTGGGGAAAACTGAAGCAAAAAACAGAAGTTGTGGATCCTGAGCTGCAAGGCCATAAGGAGGAAGCTGGGTACGAGCAAGAGGGGATGGAAGTGTCCAGAAGTGGTTCAGGGGATGAGCCTGACCAACAGAGACTCCCTGGGCCAGTGAGGGCAGCTCTAGTGCTCCAACTTTCTACAGGGTCACCATGGCCACAGGTTTTGATTAGCAGAAAGCATCAAAGGTGCCAATTTTAAAGAGACAAAGAACTTCTAGAGTTAACAGGCAAAAGCTAGGGCAAAGACAAGACAAAGAGAAAGCGGATTGGCTGAGAGTGAGGAACAAAAGGAATATAATAAAACCCAGAGTGGCTGTGACTAACCCTGAAATGCCCAATTTGGATTTGACAGTTGTCTTTGGACATCTTTGTAGGATGTTGATATGGTTTGGCTGTGTCCCCATCCAAATCTCATCTTGAATTGTCATTCCCATAATCTCCACATGTCATGGGAGGGACTCCGTAGGAGATAATTGAATCATGGGGGTGGTAACTTCATGCTGGTGTTCTCATAATAGTGAGTGAGTTCTCACATGATCTGATGATTTTGTAAAAAGGGGCTTTTCTCCTTTTTGCTGGGCAATTCTTGCTTCTACCATGTGAAAAAGGACCTGTTTACTTCCCCTTCCACCATGACTGTTAGTTTCCTGAGGCTTCCCCAGCCATGCTACACTCTGAGTCAATTAAATTTATTTCCTTTATAAATTACCCAGTCTTGGGTATGTCTTTATTAGCAGTGTGAGAACTGACTAATACAGATGTATTAGTCGCAGTAGGAAGAATTGCACTGGGCAGGGTCTGGGCCAGAAGTGGGAGGAGCTGCCTCATCTGCAAGGTGGAAAGACAAGGCCCCTCTAGAAGCAAGAGTATGAAGCCCAGGATGTATTGTAGACCCAGGAATGGTTAGTGTGAGTCTAAGGGCTGGCAACACTGCCAGAATAGGGGGACAGGTCTGCACTTATCTCATGACTGGCAAGGGGAAGGGAAGGCAACAGCTCAGAAAAAGTGCCTAGGAAATGAGCAGGGGCATAGGGAGAGGCTGAGATGGAAGAACCAGTATGTGAGGTAGTAATTGGGGTTGCCGAAGGTCTGTAATTCCAAGGAAATCCAGGAACAAGGTAAGTGCCAAACTAGCACCATTCTCCATTTCAAGGTCGCCTAATTGTCCTCATCATCCTCGTGAACACCTATTGAGCACTCATTATTAACTGGTACTGTACGAACTACTTTAATGACATTATTTCACACTAAATTTTATAAACCAGTACAAGTGTGCTTCAAAATCTGTATCTGTTTGGAGAGCAAGTGAGGATAAAAAGGAGCACCCCTGTTTTGTTCCTGAGTTTTAGAGAGTGAGGAGCAAAAGTTCGGAGAGCAAGGAATTTGTTTAAATATATATCTGAATCTATTCAGCGCTTGTGTTTGGATAGCAAGCCTGCAGATAGTGCAAGTTCAAATAGTGAGGGAGACCCAGCCTATGTTTACCTCCAGTTTACAGATGAAGAAATTGGTGGTCACAGAAATGTAATTTGTCCAGGTCAGCCCATTAGAGAGGGTACTGAACTTCTGCCTGGTTCAGTCTGACTCCAGAGTCTACTTGGTTGTACCTCTTCCCCACCTAGCGGGAATGGGGATATTAGGGTTGTTTGGAAGCTAGCAGGGTACAGGGATGGAGTCTGGGAGGGGAGGATCAATGGAGCAATAGTAAGTAACTAGGAAAAGCAGCAGCTGAGAACATGGGTTGGGAGCTGAGAGCAGAGGATAGACCATTTTTAGCCTGATAATTTACTTTTCTGTGCAGCACCAAGTATTTCTCAAAGCATCTTTGATTCCACATACCCTGGGCATGCCAGTGTGTGCCATCTCAGCTCTTAAAACCGTTGTCCATCTCCAGCCAACCTCAGCAAATGAAAGAAGGGAAAAATACTCTTCTGACTGGCAGAATTCATCAAAATGAATTGGCAACACCTATCAGCCTGAAACAGCAGTTTGCAACTTGCTTGGTAACAAATCTTTCCAGGGACATTATCTCACAGGAAACAACACAGGATAAATTCTTAGCACAATATGATTCCTCCCTCCCTTCACCTCCTCCCCAATTCAAAAAGATTTAACATCTAATTCAGGTTTTGACGAGCTGCTGCATCTCGGTAGAAACACTGTTGATCTCTGTCGGACCCCAACGGCCTTGGGCAGAACAAACTGAAGGGAAAGGGGACATATGGTCAGTAGGCAGTGATAAATAAACACATTACTGCTGCCTCTGACGAAGCACCATGACCTCCAACACAACTGCCGAGTTGCAGCTCTTTAACAAAAGTCACCCTATTTTCCCTGCAACCTCAGGGTCTTAAAGTGTGAAAGCGAGAGAGATGCCCAAGGAGGAAACCCATTCTATCAGAATCTAGAAATAGCTGGGCTTGCTGGCTCTAGTCAGAGCCTCTCCTTGGATTTACAAAACACGCCAAAACACCTCTACCTCTAAGCCAAAACACTGAAGCACAGAAGGAGGATCTACCTGGAAACTCTTTTCCCAATGGAGAAACTGAGGCTCTAAATAAATAGGTAAAGTGTCCAAGGCCATATAGCTAGAAAGTGGTATAATTGGGAGCCAAATGTAAATTTTGTTTAAAAATAATTTCCTGCTAGCCATGGTGGCCCATGCCTGTAATCCCAGTACTTTGAAAGGCTGAGGCGAGAGGATTGCTTGAACTCAGAAGTTCAAGACCAGTCTGGGACACATAGTGAGACCTCTTCCCTACAAAAAATAAAACCATTAGTTGGGTGTGAGGAGGACCACTTGAGACTAGGAGATTGAGGCTGTAGTGAGCTGTGATTGTGCCACTGTACTGTAGCCTGAGCAACAGAGTGAGAGAGTGAGACCCTGTCTCAAAAAATAAAATACAGCATAATAATAATAAATTTTCTGGGAGGAATTGGTTGGGATTCAGTATAATTGCTCTTTTGCTTCTTTGTTGCTTTGAAGAATATTTTTTAATTAAAACATACACTTATGAATTGATAAAACAGAAAGACTTGTTGGAATTCCACAGAAAAAAACAATATTTTTATGCAGTAACCTGGGAACTGGATGAGATGGAAGATGTCATTCCATCCCCACCTTAACAACAGGTAAACTGAGAACCAGAAAGACAGCATGGTCAGCTGGAGCACAGAGCTAATATGTGGCAGAACTGGAAGAAAGCAACAGTCCTCTGACTCTATGCCAAAGACCTTTCATTTGCTTGCTTAATATTGCCGTTTTCACAGTAGGAAATAAAACACAAAGAACGTGAGCTGTGGAATGCTTTTGTTAACAGGAGTTGCACCAACAAGTTTGTGACAAGTACCATTTTAACAAAGAGCCAAGCAGGTCTGGGAAGATGTCCAAAAGGACGCCTTTGTCCATGGTTTTGACTGAGAACTCACTTAACCTAACAGAGAGCACCATGCCTGGCACACAGCAAATGACCCATAAATATGTGTGGAATGGATAAATTGCCCTTCACGTTGAACAAATGAACATTGTGTGAAATCTCTCAAGAGTTCCCCCTCTCGACAGTTCTCTGATACTGAATCTTGCTTATCCTCTACAAATGCCCACCATTGTTTACTTCATTTCTTCTTTCTCTTTGTATTCCCATTGAATACTGGTCTAGAAGGGCAAGAACCATGCAGTTTGTTCACCAACCTACCCGAAGTGCCCATGAATGTACATTAAAGGAATGAGTGTGCCCTTTGTTCTCTGCCTGGCTGGAACTTTCCATTGACAATGTCTGTTTGTACTGATACTGGTTGTAAGAGTACTGTAATCCATAAACTCATAAAATGATAGAGTCAAATGAGGTCTGAGTGCTGCCTCTAATTATATAGTTGGTAAGAAAAATAAATTCAATAAAAGGGATTTTTTCAAGGCTATGCATCTTGTTCATACCAGACTTTAGACTCGAATCTTGTTCAGTATTTATGTCATGACACACTATATGTATCTGCATCTGCATGTGTATTGTTTATGCTTGTCTGTATACTCATGTATGCATAGTGAGTAAATGTGTGTGTGTGTGTGTCAGTTGGAAAGTGAGACCATCAGCCTTATCACAGACAATTTCATGATTGAAGCTTCTAAAAAGAAATCATTTCAGCTGTTATGGCAGCCATGGAGCTGCTCTGCTCCGATCTCCCCCAGAGGAACCCGCTGAGGAAAGCATGAGTGGTTGACAGCCCCAGCTGCCACACCTTTGAATCCGCGCTTCAATTATTGTCAGGCCAAAGTTCCCCTGACTGATCCCAGCCAAGACCGAGCACATCAGAGAGTATCAGAATAGGGCTATTCCTGCCCTACTCAGGATCCCTCTCATAAGCAACTTTGCCATGGGCCGGCCAGAACTTTGTCAGAACTGTGCCACAGTGTGAACTTTCTCCTGCCCAATCCTTCTCTTCCTCTGTCCTTCCTTAGGGTGTGTTACCTGCATCATGGTCTGAAGCCTTTCCCCACCAAATTTCACTTTCTCCCCTCTTATATTGTAGAAATGTTCCCTACCCTACCCCCAAACCATAGTAAATCTCTTAGGTATCTAGTCTCTTCTTCATGTCTGTTTCTTCAAGGATCCAAACTGACCCAACTGGCCCACCTGTTACTTGAATCTCTGAGACTCACAGGCCATTCTACTCTCTAAGCCTGTGTGTGGCCCAGGCCTGCTTTCCATCCCAGTTCCATTGTGTATGATGCCCCCAACCCTCCCTGCTTTCCAGATTGCTGTTCTAGCATCCCCAGCAGCCTCATTCAGATGTGGAACACAGACATGGTGCCAGAAACAGGGCCTGTCCCAGG
Source organism: Homo sapiens (assembly GCF_000001405.40). NCBI lineage: Eukaryota > Metazoa > Chordata > Mammalia > Primates > Hominidae > Homo > Homo sapiens. The sequence goes on along the minus strand of NC_000020.11, from coordinate 39,675,851 downwards.
TCCTCAGCCACAGTCTTCTCGTCCTGCTGCATGACCTGCTCCCTGGGACTTCAAGGGACTCAGATAAATGTTCTCTGGAAGCTGGCAGAATGACCACATGGACATGGAGGGGTTAGGGAAGTCCCATCTCCTTAAAGCCGAGAGAATCATGCCGTATAGAGCTATAACAGGCTTCCTGCTGCCCAGAACCACTTCCAGCTTAGTCCACACCCCGAGAGGTGAACTGGCATTCAAGTGTAAAGTGACAGCAATTCTGAAAAGGGCTAAACCCAGACACTGTCATTTAACAATTCATTCCAAGTAGTTGCAGCGGGCCACGTACCGAGTTCAGTACTTCACCTGCATTCTCACCTCTAATTACAACATCCGCTTTATAAGGGAAAGGCTGTCATCATTCCCTCCTGATAGCTGAAGATACTAAACTTTTGAAAAGCTAAATTTTCTGCCAAGGACATCCCACTAGGAACTCTGCACATCTGACCCCAATATCTGTAAGTTTAAGCAGTACATTAAATCGACGCATTTCTGAAACAAACCAGGAACAAGTTCACAGGAGACAAGCAGAGTGATGAGGCAGGAGCTGGTGGTAACATTGGGCTTTGTGTGGCTCTCTTAGAGAACAGGAAGTGCAGGAAGCCAGAGACACAGCCCCAGGGAAGAGAGGCCCTGCCTTGACAAGGCTAGCATGGTGTAGGTTCTGACCCAGACCCTGTGGGGCAACATGGAATCACCCAGAATCAGATCCACAGAATGACAGAGTCATGGCCTCCCTACAGTGATGGAGACCTCGAGAACAGAAAGAGGAAGGAAGGCTCCCCAGGACTCAGTGCTGAGCAGAAGCTGACCTCAGCCCAGAAGCTGAATGGCTAAGCCCTTCACTGCATTAGCATTCTCCAGGCCCTGGGGTGTTCAGGCCCAGGAGACCTGAGGACAAGGGTCAGGATACATCCTTAGAAGAGAGCTTGACAACAGAAAACCTTCCTTCCTTTGGGTCCCTACCCTCCCCCGAGGTAAACATTTTATGGTTCAGGAGTGGTGAAGTCAGACCAGGTTTATTTTTCCCCTGTTTCCTGGGGCTTGCAACAAAAGGGCTGTAATGCTTCTCAACTGCTTTTGGGTCTTCCAGGGTTTTATTGTTCACCTTCTTACTTTAGAGACCCTTATCCTGGCTTTGAAGGGTTCAGATCTTTTCCCAATGGTCAGAGCAGAAGCCCATGGCTGAATCCTGTTTCTAAACCTAAACTGTGTTGCTCAATACTGAGCCCCTCATCTCTCATTCATGCACGCACATGCCTGCACACAGGCATACATGAGCACACACACGTGTACATGCTCTAGAACCAGCCCAGGCAATGGCAGTCCAGCCTGGCATGACTCAACCATAGCAAAATTGTTTTTTTTTTTTTTTTAAAGAGTCTCATCTCCACCTCCTGATTTCCTTTATCTTCCAAGTGAATAATTGTACCCCATGGACATGCCTGGTCTACTGCTCACCTCTTCAAACTCTCTGTTTTCTCCCTTCAAGGCTGAAGGGACTACCATTTGAAAAATAGTTGTCAGTGAGCACTAGTGCCAGGCATTGTGCTGAGTACTTTATGTAAATTTCTCATTTAATATGCACAAAGATACCAATGAGACTATTAGTCCAATTTTACAGATTTAAAAAAAGAAAACAAGCTAAGAGAGGTTAAATAGCTCACTCAGGGTCATAGAGCTAAGAAGGAACAGAGTGGGGTTTTATTTCTTAACCCCAGGAAAATAAAGCTGGAGATTTAGGAAGTTTTGTAGCTGTAACGGACTCCTGACAAAATTAGAGGGATAGAAAAGTCTGATACCAATGTTTTATTTCCAGGAGAGTATGTTTCTGAAACAAACAATGAGTGAAACAGACAATTTCCCAAAAGTCCAACACTGCAAGGAATTTGGTGAACTAAAGCATGCCCTCTGTGCCGTGGGTATGCAAGTAAATGAAGCCTAGACCCCCCTTGGGCTTTAGTGATAGTTTCCTAGCTGTGTCTTCGCCTGAATCTTGGGAAATAAATATTTGATAGGACAACTTAAGAAGGGGTGGGCACTCAAGAGAGAGAGGCAATGTCAAAAACAGAAGCTTAGAAGGAAGACATGGACCAATATATTAGAGAAACAGCATATGGTGAGAATAGTTGAAGGTGGAGCCCAGCAAATATTAAGAGTTTAGGGTAAGAGTTAGACCTTGAGGGCATGATAAGAAACAAATTTTATTTTGTAGGCAGTGGGCGCTGTGGCAAGACTTGGCATGAGAATAACCCGTTTAGACTGTCACTTTCAATAGTTCATTCTGGCAGAGATTCTGATTAAAATGGGGGAAGTTGGCCATCTAGCCCTATTGCAACAATTGCATTTGGAAGAAAATGAGGCCTGAGGAAAAGTGGCAGGATCAGCAATGGCAAAAGGAGCCTAGGATTCAGAAGTTCATGACCTGGAAGAAGTTTTATGTCCCTTTGGGAAGTGAAGTTTTCCTAAACAAGGATGCTTCAATCCTGGGACAGTAATAACAGTTAGCATGTATTGAGTGCTTACTGCATAAAGACTAAATTCTATACAACAACCCAAAGATGACTGTTGTAATCCCCATTTTACAGATGAGAAAACTGAGGCTTAGAAATATAAAGTGACTGAATTTCAAGGCAAGATATTCTGAGTTCAAAATCCAGATATATTTATCCACATTTGTCAGAGCTAGAAATTGGAAGCAGAGGGCGCGGAGGATGTCAGTAGCTCTCTGCATTCAGGAAGAGTGGCCTGATGAGAAATTATTAGGTTGGTAGGTTCGTGCAAAAGTTATCGTGGTTTTTGCCATTGAAAGTAATTGCGAAAACTGCAGTTTCTTTCGCACCAACCTAATACCTTCTGCTGGTCTTACCCAGGGTTTCTCAGTCCCAGTACTATGGACATTTGAGGCTAGATAATCCTCTTTTGGGGATTGTCTTGTGCATTCTAGGACTCCACCTACCAGATGCCAGTAGCACTGTTGCCTCCCAAGCCAAGACAACTAAAACTGTCTTCAAACTTTACCAAATGTCTCCTGGAGTGGCGCAGGGGGATAAAATCATCCTCTGTTGAAAACCACTGATCTAATCTTATCTCAGGATGTCCTGGCAGGATTGAAGTCTACTAAAATCTGTGCCTTAGTGAGGAGCTCCAGGCAGTAGCTATTAATTGTTACTCTCAGCCAAAAAAAAAAAAAAAAAAAAAAAAAAAAAAAAAAAAAAAAAACAAAAACCCTTGCCTGCATATTTATACCGCAGAGTTTCTGGGTGGTGAGCTCCACTCTACGAAAGCTACCCCCACCCTCTGCCCTGCCTATAGGGAAGGCCAAAGTTTGAAGGAGGGGAAAAAAGTCTTCTTTGGAATCTATAATGTACTCATATGAATTAAAGGGTTCAGAGTTTAAGTGGGCAATTCTGAGTTAGTCACTTGAGAGCTCAAATTAGCTCTACTTTTCTGCATATTAACTCCCCTTAGGTGCCCTTTTAATGATTTAATGATGTCTAACTCTGAAGTTCTTTAAAGCTGAAGAATTTGTATACCCCCTACTGCAATTTCTACCTCCTTTGAGCTACAAGTCCACTTCTTAGCTCCACACGCTCCTTCAGGCCTTGCCTTGGGCGTCACCACAGGCAGAGTTTGGGGAAGCCCAGGGCTGTGGGTTAAGTCCCAAGAAGTGGGTCTGTCATTTAGAAGGAGAGTTTAGCAGAAGAGGTGGAGGAGAGAGGGGGAGATGCTTAATGAGATTCTACTGCTCCATTTCTCTCTTCTGAGACAGATGTTCATTTTATATTTTATCCTTTCTGTAACAAGGATTCATTTTATATTTAACATTTACATTGAAAGTGGCAGTATTTCCTTGGCCTCTAAAGACCTGCTATTATATTGACGTTGGATGCTAAAAATAACAGAACCACAGAATAGAAAAAACATGGAATAAATAGATAAATGCCACTTACATGTAAAAAAGATATACATGTAAAAATGGTTTTACATGTATAAAGATAAATACTTTCTACAGATAAGTGCGTATAAACACATACTATCCCCAGGAGGTAGAACTGGTTATCTCCATTTTACAGATGAGGAAATTGAGGTTCCAAAGTACTTAAGCCGTATGCCCAAGGTCACACAGTAGGTGGAAGAGGTGGATTGCAGCCCCAGGCAATCTAGTCACTGCATCCCATTATTTGGGATCTATGTTTACTCTCAAACTTTTTTAACTGTCCCTTCAACTCCATGATGTACAGAGTGTAACCACCAAACCTCAGCAGGTTCTAGGAACTGTTCCTAGCTACCTAATACTATCCTTCTCCCTACCTAAATGGGACTCCTTGGCTTCGTATATGCCAAGTTCACTCCTACCAATACATAAGCATCCTTGATCCTCAGCCTCTCTTTCTCTGAGTTTGTCTTTAAAAGTTAGGTCAAGTAGCCCTGTCAGGGTTGCATAAAAGGCAAAATGAAATATCCCATGAAGTCCCTTGCATGGTGCATGTGACACCTAGTAAAAATAGCATAAACTTTACATAGCTCTGAATATGTGCCAATCCCTATTCTCTGTGCTTTGTGCATATTGACTCATTTTATCCTCAAAACAAACCTCTGAAGGAGGTATAAAATATCCCCAAATGAGGGAAGTGAAGCAAAAAGAGGTTAAATGACTTGTCTAAGGTCACATGACTTACAAGTGGCAGAGCTAGTATTTGAGCCCAGACCATCTGGTTCCAGCGTCCACACCCTTAGCAGCTCTGTAGCTCTACCCAGGAAATGTGTAACGTCTTTCTCCTTTTTTTTCTCCTTACCAATCTCCTACAGAACTTCTCCTCCTCAACAGTAATGTGACAGCTACTGTAGAATGCTTTATTATAGTTTCATGCATTTATCTTATTTACCCAACTGACTGAAATTCCTCCAAAATATTTACATTCCAACAGTGGCATATATATATATATATATGTTTTTTTTTTTTGGTAAATGATACTTAAGCAGTAAGATGTTAAATGTAAAAGTACCGAGGTAGGACTTCAACTGGCTCCAGCAAGCCTTGGATACATGGTCACTCTGTACAGCCCCAGGGAGCTGTCCCCTCCTGGAGTGTTTTGCCTCAACTTCCAACAGAAAGTTTTCCCCTTCCTAGAGAGGGGGAGTTCTTAGAGCCAGAAATCAGGTTGAGCAGAGGTAAGGGAGCCACTTCAGCATCAAGCCACCAAAAGACTAGAGTGTACAGAGTAGAGGCAAGGAAAACAAGAAAGTGCAAGTAGAATATGACACTACATAAGACATTTACATATAAAAAAAAGAGTTCAAATAAAAGACACTGGCTGATGAGGTTTGGCTCTGTGTCCGCACCCAAATCTTACCTTGAACTGTAATAATCTCTGTGTGTCAAGGGCAAAACCATGTGGAGATAACTGAACCACAGGGGTTGTTTCCTCCATACTGTTCTAGTGATAGTGAGTTCTCACCAGATCTGATGGTTTTATACTGGGCTTCCCCCTTCGCTGGGCACTCATTTCTCTCTCCCGCTACTCTGTGAAGAGGTGCCTTCTGCCATGATTGTAAGTTCCCTGAGGTCTCCTCAGCTATGCGGAACTGTGGGTCAATTAAACCTCTTTTCTTTATAAATTACCCAGTCTTGGATATTTCTTCATAGCAGGATGAGAACATCCTTCTCATCCTGAGTTGCCACTGGGCAACTCATCCCAGGTGAGATAGGTAACAGATGACTTGTCTTTACTTACAGGGAAACCCATATGGGTCAATAACTAAAAAGATTTGCTCCAGAGAATAAACCATAGAAATCATCTCTGGATGTGAGTAATCTCTGGATGGTTCTGCATGGTAGAGTATAACTCAAATATTGGCTCCTACTTCTACTGCCATGGTTGCTGCTAACAGGCAGCATTCACTGGTGAGACATGAGAAAGTTTCTATTGCACGCAGCTATAATCATAGTCAACATTTATTGGGCTTTTACTATGTGCCAGGAACTATTCCAAGCACTTTGTTCACGTGAACTCTTTTAACTGTTCCTTCAACTCCATGATGTAAAGAGTGTAACCTGCATTACTCTTGGACCTGGAAAAGAGAGGTCCATCTCCTGGGCCTGGAACTTGCATTTTGTGAGCATACAGGTAACAATATATTTATTGAAACCTCATGGTGGGGCTCCTTGGAAAAATGGCTGATTCTAGGACAGGAGCAAAAAAAAAAAAAAAAAATACATGAGATAAGCCTGTAGCATCATGTAGTGCTGAAAAGTAAGACAGTCCTCAAACGAGATTAAAAGAAAAACAACACAATTATGGGGGTATGTCTAAGGGACACAGGACCCAGCTGAAAGGACTCACAGTGGCCAAAGCTAAAACAACTTGAGCAATAGAATGTTTCAAAGTCATATTGGATTATAATCTAAAGTATAAAATAAATATTCATGAGTCCATACTGATATAAATGAATTATTTAATAAATAAGTGGAAAGAAAGAGACAAATTTCCCATGCAGAAGAACTACAAATAATGTATGTAGATACTGTGCCTTTAAGGCGGTAGAGGAAAACTCCTCAGTCTTTAAGCGTGGGCTGTAGATAGTGACTCCCTTCCAAAGAGAATGATGTGGAAAGGAAGAAAAAACACATAACTTTACAGTGAGGTAACTTGACAAATACTAACTCAGCCAGGTGATCAAGGTCAATATCAAGAGTGACACGTCTTTTGATGATATGATGTGATGCGAATGCCATCTGTGGTCTTCCTCCGAAAAACCAATAGCTAATTATGAGAAAAACATTAGACAAATCCCAATTGAAGGACATTCTGCAAAATACCTAGCCAGTAATCTAAAACTGTCTAGGCCATCAAAAACAAAACAAGTCTGAGAAACTGTCACATCCAAGAGGATTCTAAGGAGACCTGACAACTAAATTCCATGTGGTATTCTGGATAGGATCCTGGAATTGACATAGGATATTTGGGGAAAACGAAGAAAATCTGAGTAAAATATGGACTTCAGTTAATAATAACAATATGGGTTCTTTCTAATAAATGTGTCATACTAATGTAAGATGCTAATAAAAGGGGAAAATGGGTGTATGGAAACATATAGCACTTTTGTATCTTCAAAAAGTATATCTTCGTAATTCTGTAAACCTGAAGCTGTTCTAAAATAAAGTTTTTTAAAAAAAGTTATATACCTCACAATGTCTTTGTTACGCGGGAGCCAGTGTCCTACAAAGCCACCCCTACGACTAACAAGATTAAAATCCCAGGGAAATACTCGTCACCCCTCTTGCCCAGTGGGTGACCTTGAAACCAAAGGAGACTGTATTTAAATGTCATGAGGTCTGTGAGTTGTGCTGCTGTCTTCAGAAATGGACACTGCTCTGGGATTGAGGAGGATTTGAGAGGAGACAAAAGAGAAATCTGTTAGCTTGTCAAATCTTTCCTCTCTGCATGAATGCAAAAGATTCTTCTGTAACGAAGTCTCATTTCCTGCAACCATTTTCTTGCTTCTTTTTGTGTTCCAATGTTGAGTCTCGAGTTATTCACAAATCAGTCCAGCATTCACAACAGCCCCTCAGAACAGCCATGGAATATTTTGCAATGTTAAGCAATTCATAGAACTTTGAAATTTGAATATATGTGAGTCTAGACATAACATGCATGAAGCATGATACCACATTTTTACACCGACAACTAGATGAATATTGAATCCTAGAGTTGTGGCTTTGTTTGAATTTTTCTACAAAATCTTAATTAAATCATAAATACATTAAAATGTCATTTTATTTAATGTTATTAAATGACACTTTCCATTTTGTGTTGCCTATTTAAGTAATCGATTTTTCCTTTTGCTTTTAGTATTTTTCAATATTGTAGAATACTGACTTTTCTGAGAACACTTAAAATATATGTTTTAGTTTTTACATTTACATTTTAAAATTATTTTAACATTTCCAACGTTGACTTAGTTTGCATTTTTATGGATGTAAAATATAAATATATAAAATATATACACATTTTGAATAAATCACATTTTATGTTATAATTGTTCAGGTCATTATTGCCAATAGAACAAAATTCTGTGAAAATCTTGATTATAGTAACATAGTGATTTTGCTGAGAACTCAAAGGAATAAATAATTTTTATGGAATAAATACAAAATAATTTGTAAATAATATGCATCTTTATTTTATGACTAACCCAGTATCTCTGTTTACTAATAGCACATCCAGAACCATGCAGTAACAATTACATTTGGCCACCTTTTATATTTGGATGTCTTTCAGTCATATAAGTATCATAGCTTTACCCATTTTCTGTCTTTCTTTTTCTTCTTTTTTTTTTTTTTTTTTTTTTTTTGAGACGGAGTCTTGCTCTGTCACCAGGCTGGAGTACAGTGGCGGGATCTCGGCTCACTGCAACCTCCGCCTTCCGGGTTCAAGAGGGTCTCCTGCCTCAGCCTCCTAAATAGCTGCGACTACAGGCGCCCACCACCCTGCTCTGCTATTTTTTTTTTTTTTTTCTTTTTTTTAGTAGAGACAGGGTTTCACCATGTTTGCCAGGATGGTCTCAATCTCCTAACCTCATGATCCAACTGCCTCGGCCTCCCAAAGTGTTGGGATTTCAGACGTGAGCCACTGTGCCCGGCCTACACATTTTCTTTTTGAAGGTGTTTCTGTCAAAGTAGGAGGATAGAAAATGTTTGATTCCACAGTTTGCTGGCTTGATATATAGCTTTTAAATATGTAGTCATTGGTATGAGGGTCACTATCTGTACCCATGCCCTGGCACTGCATCAGCAGGGTCTGGACTGTAAGGATAATTTTACAGATAAAGACATTGGCCATTGGTGATCAACTCAACTTACCTGCTTCAGATCCCATGGTAGGTAACCCTGGAAGAGAAGGATCCAAACAGGGCAGAGCTCAAGCTCTTCACTACCTGAAACCTGCCTCTCATGGGCCGTGAGGTGATTGCTATCTGGAGGTTGTTCACCTGCTCCCTAATGCCTATGAAAACATCTGCCTCCTTCTAAAATGTTCCCAAGGCTTCCCTGTAATAGGAACTCTGGATTTAGAGGAAACTATACAGAGAAGAAACCCTGGAGATGGGGCTGAGGCTGGGGAAACTCCCCGACACTCCTAAACCACAGCTTCTCTCTTTTATCTTTATGAATGTTAGAGCCCTGTCTCAAACAGCTGTTGAGAAAATACAAAAGAACAACAAAAAAAAGTCCTTAATATCAACCTTGATGTGGAAAAAAATAATCTTTCGTCAAAAGACAAGAGCAAATATAGTCTCTCCTTCCCCTCGCCACATGGAGACATTTTGCCATCTGCGATCTCCCAGTGCCATCTCTCCTGACCATCCACGTGGAAAAAAGGAAGCAGTTTGGGACCCCATCTCCATTCCCACCTGCTTCTGCCCCTAGTTTCTTTTCCTGACAGCCCTGGCAATAGCAATCGCTGTCAGGCTGTAATTTAAAGCAAACCAGTGCAAACTTGAACCAACTTTACCTGGGTGATTGATGGGTCGAACTGGATTTTTTTTTTCTACTTACATGAGATTTCTGCAAGTAGGTATTATGATCTCAACACATCTAATATTATTCCTTAATCAACTCAACAGCAAATGTTTGGCATCTAGCTTTATAATAAAAGGTATCAATTAGGAGCTGTCGATGTTTTCAGAGGCAATATCTAATTACAGTCACTTGCTATAGGCTATCTTGTTAAAAAAAATTTGAGCAGAATGAGTAAGTATTCTTGACAAGTTCAATGCATTATTAAAGGTGTAATTACTCAGTTATTGCACATGTAATCCTGAGTTAATTGTGTGACTTCAAAATTCATCACTTTTATGTTTATTGAACTTTGATAAGTTCTCCCATACCTGATTTATCCCAATGATACATTATTCCCCTTCTTATTTCAAACTAAATATTTCAGACCAACTGGTTAGAAAGTGAACAGACTTGGGAACACTCTAGACCCAGAACTGACAACAATGGTTATTTTCTAGCGGGAGGGCTAACAGAGGTCTAAAATGACCACTTATAGGGGAACCCAATATGAAAATATGGACGTGGGAGAAAGCTGGCCCAAGGACATTTTCAGGTAGCCACAAAGTCAGTCATGCTTCATTAACAAAAAGTTTGTGCACCAGTCCTTTGCCACATATTTCTAATCCATTGCATTAGTGTACTATTGATTATCTAACAAAGTTGAGGCCAGTGTGTCGCAGGTGGGGCTTTGCTTCTTGTAACGAAAATAGAGAGAATCCAAATGTTGAAATACTGTAAAGACCCCGGTCTTGATGCACACAAATCTTGAGAAAGGTCACTCCAAACAACTTGCAGATACATGCCAAGTGAGGAATACAGCACAGCGGAAGAAGCTGGGAGGTCAGGCATGGTCATACACTACCTTCCCCCAGCATAGGAACCCTCTGTCCTTCTTCCTTGTTTGAGATAGGAAAAAAACAAAGTGTAAGTAATAGGAAAAAACAAACTTTTTCCTACTCTCACACACTCAATGCAGCACAGAACACTTCACCCCTTGTCAACAAAATGTGTGTAGATATTTCCCTACACACCACACAGTTCTCTGAGAGACACTAGCTGGGTTCCCCACAGTTAAATTCAATTTGGGCACTGTCTACCTGGAGATAGCATCAGATCTCACAGATTGAGACCTCAGTCTCCAAGACTGCCCTCACTTCACATGCTAGTCTCTCTAGCCACAGGTTATGGCCTTTGCTTCTGACCAACCAAAAAATTGGGCATTCCCATAACCCCTTTTTGGGTTCAATTAATTTGTTAGAGTGGCTCAGAGAACTCAAGGAAACATTTTACTTTGTTGATTCATGTATTATAAAGGCTATTACAAAGGATGCAGGTGAACAGCCAGGTGGAAAAGGTGTATAGGGTGAAGCCTGGGAGAAGGGATGTGGAGCTTCCATGCCCTCCCTAGGCATGCCACTCTCCAGGGACTTCCACATGCTCAGCAATTTGGGAGCTCTCTGAACCCTGTCTTTTGGGGTTCCTATGGAAGCTTCACTATGTAGGCGTGATTAATTACATCACTGACCATTGATGATCAACTCAAATTTTAGCCCCTCTATCCTTTCCAGAGGTCAGGAGTGAGCCTGAAAGTTTCAATGCTCTAATCACATGATTGGTTCCCCTGGCAACCAACCCCATCCTGAGCTATCCAGGAACCCAAGAAAAGTCACCCCATTAGAACAAAAGATGCTTCTGTCACCCAAGGAACTTAGGAGCTCTGTATCAGATGTTCCTACAACTCAGGAAATTACAAAGGCCTTAGGAGCTCTGTTTTAGAAACTGGTGTCAAAGACCAAACATTAGAAGACAAGATTCTCCTAGCACCTATATCCACAAGGGTTTTAGCAGCTTTGTCTCAGCAACTGGAGGTAGAGACCAAATAGATATTTCTTGTTATATCACAGTATCACATTCTTCTCTCTTTGACTGTCATCACACCTCCAGGCAGCATTTCATCTGAGAGTTCCTTCTGTGTTTGATAGCAGAATCATGTACCTCAGCATCTCTAAGCCTGAGTTTGAACACTTGAAAATGAGGTTGAGCATCTCCACCTTGTCAGCTTTTGAGAGTCCTCGTGATGTGGAGGCTTTACAAATGTTGCTAGTAAATAAGAGAAATCTTCCTCAGACTGTGGGCAGCTCATGCCCTTCAGGTCCTCAGAGGCTGATGACAGCCTCACTTTCCCATCCCCTCCCCTGAACATTCTGCCATTTGTTCCAGAGCACAGCAAGTGGTTCAGGGATGGGAAGCAGTCTCTAAAATAGCATGCACATTCTCTGCCTCCCGTGATTCCTGTCCTTGTGCAGTCCCCCACTTTGAGTATAATTGAACCTCAAGACTCGCTTCTAGCAAATAGAAGTGATGGGATGTCGTGTCTGAGATTAGGTCCATGTGACAAAGAACTGATGTCTGTGGCCAACAGCTGGGGAGGAGCTGAAATCTGCCACTGGTCGTGTGAGAGAGCTCAGGAGTGGATTCTGCCCAGTCAAGACTTGAGATGAGACCACAGCCCAAGACCTGGCATGACTGCAACCTCATAAGAGACCTTGAGGCAGAGGCTCTCAATTAAGCTGCACTCAGATAGCTTCCAAATAGAAATTGTGAGATAATAAATATCTCTTATTTTAAGACACTATGCTATGATGTAATTCATTACACAACAATTGATAACTAATACAAAGGTCCATCCAAGGGGCATGTTTCTGAAGCCATCTTGATTTATCTAGGGAGACATTATTGCGTAGTGCTGAAGAAAATGGCATTTCATGTCTGATATGAGTTTAAAGCCAAGTACCAACACCCTAATTGTTGTGTGGCATTAAAAGTTGACTCTGTGAGTCTTCATCTTTTACTTCATAAACAGAGATATTAGTTCTTACTTCATTGTGTTGTTGTAAGCATTGAACTAGGCAATATCTGCAAAATCACTTACTTGGGTAGCTATCATCATGCTTTTCTTAATTAAGTGGTAGCTATTATTTGTTATCCTCACCTCCCAGTCTTTATAAGACATCCAGGGCTCTTTCACAGCTCTTGATCTACCATGGCAATTATATTTGATATCCTTTGGACAAATTTAAAGTTCTTTTCACTTTTCTACTTGATATTTAACTATCTTGTATTTTATTTCCAAGTGTGTGACTCATGGTACAAACTAATTTCTATTCATGTATTTCTGGGCATGAACACGTGATAATCAATCTGATACCTTCAAACAGGTCTTGTAGAGACAATTTTTCCAAAATAATAAGACAGGATTATTATCCTTGAATGTGATCTTACTCTAGTGGGAGAGACAGACACACAAACACAAATTTGCAGCATAAAATAATGAAGACTGTTAAAATGCTGGCATGAGTTGTTCTTGGTGCAGAGAGGCAAGACCCACAAAATTTGGGTCTCGAAGAATAGGTATTTCCCAAAGCAAACGGGAGAAAGGGTTTCCAGGCAGCCTTCTCAATGGGCAAAGGTAAGCTGATGGAAAAAGGCATAGCATTCTTGGGTAAGGACTATAATATCACTGTGTCCGCATCATAAAGAGGTCTTATAGGAGAGAGAAGGAAAGGACATAAACCAGAGGAGTAGACTAGGGTTGCATTGTGAAAAACAGACATTGCAGCTCCTTCCAATGGTCTCAGTTTCACCTTACAGAAAACAGGAGCAACTGAAGTTTTAAAATAGATATTAGCATGGTCTAATTTCTCCAAATACTATGCTAACAATTTCTCAGGGGATCTTTTGATAGAGGGCTTGTTGAATTGGGGTTTGCCATTCAGTTGAGATAGATAGATGATAGATAAGATGATAGATCAATAGGTAGATAGATAGATGATAGAAGATAGATAGATAGATAGATAGATAGATAGATAGATAGATAGATAGATGATAGACAAATAGATAGACACTTGTTTGAGGGGAATAATGGAGGAATTTGTGGCCTTGAAATATTAACTTCCTCAAATCCAGCTTCCCTAAACACAATCCTAAGCTTTTCTAAGCAGTTCTGTTAACAGCTCCTGCATTAAATACATCATGGTCCACCTCCCTGTGAGGAGTACCCTAGTTCTACCCATTTCAGCAACTCAAAGCAAGGCTATGCCATTCACAGGTTTGAAGACACCTCTCACATCTCTGAACTTTCATTTCTCAAAACAAAAAGCTCTCAATGCTTTCAATTCTCCCTCCAATGCTGTAGTTTCTGGGTGAGTCATCATTCTGGTCACCATTCCTGGAGTGTCAAAGTACCAGTGTGGTGCCCATAACTAGATGGAATTCATATTTGTCCCAGCAAATGCTGGGGACCATGACTCAGCACTTCCTGGGAGTCTCAATGCTATAGGCAATAGCAGATCCTTAAGAGAAATAAGCAGCCCTAAAAAATATGCTATTTTAAATTTCTTGCAAGAAGAGAGACCAACGGGTTCTAGTCTCCTGTATTGATCTTACTTCTAAGCATTGTTTCTCATCATCTTTTGGTTGTACAGCTTTGGCCCACATCCTGAGTGGATTCATCATCCAGGCTGTTGCTTTCCTTAGCTCTCTCAGACCCTCAGAAGTCAGCGTGTGTGGTGCTGCTGAGCCTGGGTGCTGAAGACATCTTATCTACCAAGGGAAACCCAGAAAGGCAAAAGTGCAGTCATTACCCAGGCTGTGAGGCTACTGCAGTGATAAATCCCACTTTATTTCCATTCGGAGGAAAAATCTTCAATTAAATAAGAATTGATTTTCTAATGATTTTTTTTTTCTCCTGCTGGCCATTGGTGGAACACTTGAACCAGCTCCAGCTCTGCCTCATAGGGGGAGAGTAATTAAGTTGCTGCTGCTGACAAAAGGGTTGGCCTCAAGTATGGAAACAACTTAATTCATTTACTTTGGGCAAAACAGAGGGCAGTACCCATCCTGGAAGGGGAAATAGCTAATTAGCGGGAGCCAAAAATGTCAGTGCTGGGCCATTGGTTTGCACATACGGAGCTCTGCAGGTGCTAAATGTGCTCTTGAGACCTGATGGTGGTGGCAGTTCCCTTTTTGTCTGTGCCACTCAAATACTATCAGGGGCAAGTAAGACAAGTGATGTGGAGACAAAGGGGGCATGGCAAACCAAGAGCATGGAAAGAAAAATACTAAAATGTGAGTCATCCTGAGCCACTCCCCAGTCCTGCTTGCTGAAGGAGAATGCCCTTTGTGACATAGGCAACCACCACACCTGGCTTTTTGATGTTTATGATGATCAATAGGCAGAAAGGAGAACTGAAGGAGAAGTCTAGAGAAGCCAGCTACACCTACATTAGAAAGAGTGGAACAGATCACGGGTCACAGGATTAAGGCTAGATGGGGTTTGAGATGTGGGAAGACTTGAGGTCATTTTGAGTTTTGAGAAAAGGAGAGACATGAAGAGGCAGAAAACATGTTTACTGGACCCAGCTACTTTGCAGTGATTAGTGGGACCTTCAGAACATAAATAGATCCTAAGGAGTGAATGCTTGTACCCCTTCCAAAATTTATATGCTGAAGCCTTTATATGGTTGTATGTAAAGACAGACCCACTAATGAAGTAATTAAGGTTAAATGGAGTCATAAGAGAGAGGCCCTAATTCCATAAGATTAGTGTCCTTATAAGAAGAGACTCCAGAGAACTCACTTTCTCACTCTCTCCCTCCCTTTCCTTGCATACAAACCAAGGGAAAATCATATGAGAACATAGCAAGAAGGTAGCTGTCTGAAAGCCAGGAAGAGAGGCCTCAGCAGGAAATGAATCAGCAAGAACCTTGATCTTGGACTTCTAGCCTCCAGAATTGTGAGAAAATTAATTTCTGTTGTATAAGCCACTCAGTCTATAGTATTTTGTTATGGCAGCCCAAGCTGGCTAAGACAGCGGACAGAAAAGAATTTGTGAGTCATGTAATGTTGTTTCCATTGGCATTTGGGGGCAACTGTAGAATAGATTTCAATTGGTTGGTAATTATTTCTGGATATCAGACATATTTTTCTTTTCTACTTTGAAATATTGTGTCTGTGTTGTTTTCTGGATGTGTCACCATTCTGAAACAAACCATCAATCAGCAGAGCTTTGTGTGGGGTCTGTTTTCAAAAACAAGCCACCATGAGCAGTTCCTGACTTGTAGTGCTTCCCAGGGACTCAGTCTATGTCTTAAACACTTCTTTCTTCTTCCCATGTCTCCTTCAGTCTTCAGGCAGACTTGCCAAGTTTTCTCTTTCTTGGGCCAGTGTGCTTTTTCCCCAGCTCATTCTCTGACTTTCTACCCAAAGAGTCACTTAAAAAAATTTTTTTTCTTAAGGGACCTAGGGTTGTATCCTCTTGAATAGTGCTATTGGTAGTAACCAAAGATGCAGCACTGAATAAGCCACTCCCTTCTAGACAGAACTACTCATCCTCAATCTCAAGTACCACATCTTCCAACAGGCCTTCCCTGACCCCCTCTGTCTAAATTAGGTCAATCTCTCACCACCACAATTCTATTCTCTCTCATGGAGCTCATGTTCTTGTCCTTCATAAAAAAGAATCATCACCAGTTGTAATTATATTCTTATTTGTGTATTTATTTATGAAATAGCCCTCTTCTCCACTAGAGTTTGTGAATGCAAAGTCATGATTATTTTGTACACCACTGAATATTCAACAACTTGCAAAGTGTCTGGCATAGATAGAGATAGGTAGGTAGAGAGAGAGAAATAGACGTAGATAGATAGATAGATAGATACATACATACATACATACATAGAGATGGAGTGAGAGATAGAGAGACAGAGATAGAGACAGACAGGTGGGGAGAGAGAGAGAGAGAGAGAGAGAAATGTTCAACCAAAACATTTGTTGGATGAGTAAAAAAAGAAACATGATCCTTTCCCTCCTGAAGCTTACAGTCTATCATGGAATGCAGACAAGTCAACAGATCTTTATCTTTCATTAATAATCGATATAGAAAATATAAACATAAGGTGCCATGGAAGAATATCTTCAATCAAATCCAGCAAAATACCTGTTCTCTACGCTAGGTGCACAGGTGTCTTGACTCATTGCTGCCACACATTGGCCACTCTCATCGAATTCAGAGGACTCATGGAAACCACACACCCACTAGCTGTTCCCTCAGAAGCCCCTGAATTACCAACAAAAAGCTGGTTCGTCTCGGCTACTGAGAAATAATTTGTCATGTTTCATCCCCTAAATGAAAGATGCCAGACTGAATGCCCGTCTGAGAAAGGGACAGAGCATGAGATCTAACAAAGAACCTCAGCACTCAAAAAGTTTACCACTAAAATGGAGTGACAAGGAAAGCAGGGGAAGAAAAATCACTACTGGAAGTACTGCTACTATCACCACTGCTCCTGGGAGGAATCACCGCAGCAGCTGTTCATCAAGTGCTTCCTGCAGCCAATCACTAGGCTAAAAGCACCTGACATGCCACATCACAGCAGCTTGCTAACAATAGCTGCTGTGATTCTCACTTAACAATAAAAGTGTGGCTCAGCGAGGCCAAGGAGCTTTTTCAAAATCTTGTCACTAATAAATCTCAGAGTCCAGGCTTGAACCCATGTCAACCTGACCCTAACGCCTTGGTCTTCACCTGAGTGCTTGCTATGTGCCAGGCATTGTCAACAGTACTTTATATTAATTGTGTCACTTAATTGTTAAACAGCCCTATCAGTTCTCCATCAATATTCCCTGAAGGGAATGGGGCCTTGGAAAGATTAGTGAACTGGACCCCTGACATGATCTCTTCCTTCCAATACTTACAATAAACTACTGTTTAGTATGGAGAAGAAAGACTAGTGGATATTGAAGAACTGGCAGAATAAACACTTGCATAGATGGAAGATGTACAGAGGATGTATGCGATACAGGACTTTAAAGAATGCTGACATCTTTGTGGCTGAAATTAATTGGAAATTTTAAAGTATTCATTTCATTTACCTCTGATTCTAAAGTAATAGAGATTTCTGATGTAAAATTTGCAAAAAAAATTATAAATAATAAAATGAAAATAGCTCATGATTCTACACACAGAATAGCTAATAATTCATTTTGGTGGATTTCCTTTTAGTATATATTATTTGAGTGTGTGTGTGCATGCACATGTGTGCATGTCTATTTTTGCGTATTTGAGATAATGAGCTATGTAGACATTTCTTTTTGTTTGTTTTTACATAGATGTTTCTATTCCATTTTTTGTCTTATATTAAATCTGGACTAATTTTCCTGCTATCAAAAATTCCTAGAGACTAGTATGCTAATAACTGAATCAAATTTTGCCTCTTACATATATTTATTTAATCATTCTCCTTTTGTGAGAGAGTTAGTCTGTTTTCAAATATTCACTAGTATAAACATAGTTTAGAATACCTATCCATAGATGGACTTATCATAAAATTGTGTAATCATTTTTCAGGTTCTTGAAAAATGTCGAGTTGATTTCTCAGATGTTTTACTCACCGATAATATGTGCTTTATCCACGTCAGTGCACTTTTGCCATAAATTATTGTTGTTATCACTATTATTATTTTACTTTGCCAATCTGGTATGTATAAAAAAGAATCTACTGCTTTAACTTGCATTATTTTCCTTTGTCTAATTATATTTTATCTGCAGTAGAATGTTTGTTAATGTTCTCTGTTCAGTTTTTAATTACACTTTAATGTTTTCTTATGGGTATCTACAAAAGATGAGATACTTGCCTTGTTTAGTGTGAACAGTTACCCAATTTGCAGTTTTCCACTTGACTTTGCTTATCTATTGTCACTCTGCTAATCTTTTTCTTTCTCTTTCTTTCTTTCTTTCAGAAATTCTTTTTGTTGTTTTTTGAGACGGAGTTTCGCTCTTGTCGCCCAGGCTGGAGTGCAATGTCGCGATCTCAGCTCACTGCAACCTCTGCCTCCTAGGTTCAAGCAATTCTCCTGCCTCAGCCTCCCGAGTAGCTGGGATTACAGGCACGTGCCACCATGCCCAGCTAATTTTTATATTTTTAGTAGAGACGGGGTTTCACCATGTTGGCTAGGCTGGTCTCGAACTCCTGACTGCAGGTGATGCATCCACCTCAGCCTCCCAAAGTGCTGGGTTTTAGAAATTCTATTTCTTTTTAGGGACTTCCAAAACATTTATGGGCTGGGGATGGTGACCCACACATCTGTAATCCCAGCACTTTGGGAGGCCAAAGTGGGAGGATTGCTTGAGGCCAGGAGTTAAAAGCCAGCCTGGGCAACACAGTGAGACTGTCTCTACAAAAACTAACTAACAAAAATAGCCAGGCCTGGTGGTACACACCTGAGGTGGGGGATTGTTTGAGCCTAGGAGTTGGAGGCTGCAGCGAGCTATGATCATGCCACAGCGTGGGTGACAGAGCAAGACCCTGTCTCTAAATAAAATAAGATATAAAAAAGTTTTATCTATATTTTATTTGCAACTTTTGTGTTTTTATTGTAAAATATAATATTTTAATATACCTGGAATTTATTTAGATGTACGATGTGATGAAATAGTTTAGTTGTATTTTAATATTATATTATTACTTGATTTTATTTAATAATCTCTCTATCTAAATTAATTCAAGATTTGCCCTAGGACAATTTATGAATACACCTTTCTTCTATTCTCTCCTATTACAGAAATCCGTCCTGGAATTTGGCACATGTATGGGATATGGATAGAAAATAAGAGCAAAGAGGAATTCAAGATAATGAGGCAATATAAACAAAAGTTGAAAAGAGAAAATGAGCATGCAGTGCCTAGAGATGCCAAGGAATCCAGATCACTGAGGTCGGATAGATGTGTCTTTCCAGAATTTGATGAGGTTAACCAGGTAGAGCCAGATGGTAGAGATCCTTGAATACCAGGCAAGGGAGTTCATCTCTCCACCTGTAAGCATGAAGGAGCCACGGGAGATTTTGCAAAGGGAATGACCAAAACGAAAATGGCATTTAGGAAATGAGTTTGCCAGAAGTACCTGGGAGAAATGGGGACTAGGCACTGAGAATGTAATTCATAGCACAGCAGAACAGATACTAAAAGATCGTTCTGGAAGCAGAAGGGCTGGTTTCCAGCTTTTCTGAGGTAAGAGAGAGAAATGGCGAGGGCAAGAGGTAGGGAGTGGGAACAGATGAAAGAATTGTGACACCAGGTTCCAGCCAGAGTGCTGCACATTTGGTCATCCTCTGGGCCAGGCTAAATAAGACCAATGACTCTGTGACAGTGCTCCCTCCAGGACAGTGGGCTGTTCAGGGGACACACTGTGCCCACTTATCCCCATGGCTGCTTAGGCCTGCTGCACTCACACTCGGAGACCGGGGGTCCATCCTCACTGCTTCTTCAGTTTTTTTGTTTTGTTTGTTTTGTTTTGTTTTGTTTTGTTTTCCGGCTGGTGGTCTGTCCACTCACAAGTGCATGGTGTCCCCTAGAACCACCCTGACTCCTGGAGGCCCCAGCCTGACCAACGTAGAGAAACCCCATCTCTACTAAAAGTACAAAAATTAGCCACCGGGCATGGTGGCACATGCCTGTAATCCCAGCTACTTGGGAGGCTGAGGCAGGATAATCGCTTGAACCTGGGAGGCGGAGGTTGCAGTGAGCCAAGATGGCACCATTGCGCTCCAGCCTCGGCAACAAGAGTGAGACTCCATCTCAAAATAAATAAATAAATAAAAAACTATGAATCAAATTTCTCCCAAAGTTAGCCTGGCCCAAGCCCTGGAATGACCAAAGGCAGTTTGGAGATTAAAAGCAAGATGGGGATTGGTTGGATCGGGTCTCTTTCACGGTCATAATTTTCTCACTGTTACAATTTTTGCAAAGGTTGTTTCACTGTGGGTAACTGCTAAGGCCTTCACCCTTGATGCCAGAGGTGCTGAAACACATTGCCACACGGCGAAAGAAGTGCCCTATTGGCCCAAACACATTGAATAAACATCTACCTCAAACCTTTCCACGTGTGATACCTCACTTTTTAGCAGGGCTTCAGAATAGAAGGCTCACCTCTTTCTCTCTTCTTTACCTTAGAACTTAGCACAGGGCCTTGCAGTATTGGGGAAAAGAAAAACTGAATGGTTTGTAGAGGTAAATGAACCCTTGTTGATTGAGTGACTGACTTGCCTGGCATATGCTTGGTCCCCTGTGGTACACTTAAGTGTTTATAACATATAAATAAGTCAGGTGAATATCTCTGCTTCACAGATGTGCTCAGTTTTTTCTTGAATTATTTAGTCTTTTGGGGACATGATTCCTAATCTTGACCATATGTTGTCTGGGGACTTGGGGGCACAGGTTCTCTTTAGAAAGAGGATAGAAATGAGGACAAGTATGGAAACCCCAATTCCTGTGACTATTTTTTTTTTCACATGTTGTTTAAGGATGACACTCAGGAGGGTAAGATTTGGAGCTCTTGCTGTCCCATTACCTAGGGAAGGTACGACAAGAAAAATGTTCTCAGCACAGCTGTGTACTACATGTAATTCAGGAGGGTAAGCCAGTTCAGACCACCCACAGTACAGAGCAGGATAAAAATAGGAACTTGGAGCACCTGGGCTGGCTGAGAAACAGCCAGTTCCCAGGGCTTAGCCTCCACCCCGTTAAGCAAACATGGAGACCTAGCTCCTTTTATTAGGTGAATGGGAAGAGAGAAAATTGAGGTATAATAGAAAAGTAACTGTGCACAAATTTTATTTCACTATTTTTACTCTGCAGCCTGGTATCTGGAATAACTCAGGCAATGATGATGCCTTAGGTATTTCTTTTAATTATTCCAGCGCTACCTTGCCTCCTAGCCCTACTGCAAGCACTCAGCTACTCCAAGCAAAGCCATTCTAACAATTTCGATTAAATCCTGGCCTCTTCGCAACCACACACAAATTAAAAGCATTACTGGATGATCCCAGCTCTAGCTCTTGAAAGTGTTGTTATACAAAGAAGGAAGAACGCTGCCAAAGGCTGCTTGGCATTTCCTCTGCCACAGGGGAGAATTAACCCATTGGGTTTCAGGGACCAAGCTTTTTTTTTTCCCCTCACTTTCAACTGTTCTTTAAAAAAAACAAATTCTATCAAGCACACTTTAAACAGATTTATAATATGGAAGGTACCAATGAGTTTTTCAAGAGCACACATTTCCCCCAAAGTTTTGAGAATGCCAGCTTCATGTTTGTAAGATGTCTATCCTTGTCACTTGTTAATCATAGTCTTGTTTTGTCCGGGAAGCTCTGGCTTAGGAGACTTCCCCAAGTTAATTGTCTCATTTGTTTGGAGATTTGAATAAGGGACGCTGGGCCTGCTATGACTTTATATAATAGTCAGCCTCCCTTAGAGAATAGAGAAATCTAGAATCACTGCCCAAGGCTTTGTTATGCACAGGTCTGCCTGATGCCACAAGCTCACAGTCCCCACGTCTCTATTCTATGGTGCAATAAAGCTACCTAGAGGACCGAGGTGAGAGGAAGGGCACCCAAGCACGTATAGAGAGAGGACAGACTAAGCCCGCTTTTCAGGACCAGGCTAGGAAACTGGAGCTTAACAGATGGCATGAGGCCTGCCTCGAGCTTCACATGTGGTAAAACCTGGCATCAAAGCCAGGTGTTGTGGCACCTCTTCCAAGTCTTTCCCCACTCTGCCACACTACTTCTCACCATGAGGAATGCCCATGGGAAGGTCACAGGGAGATGCGACAAGCCAAGAGGGCAAGGGCGCAAGCCAAGGAAAGCAGGGACAGGGAACTGGGATGGCGAGAAATCTCACTGACAGATATATCTTTCCAGCCCCCAAATCTTATAAAACCTTTTATGGGAGCACTCTTATCACAAGTGCACAGCTTAATGACTCTTCCCAAACTGAATGTTTCCCCAAAACCAACACAGCCAACAACAATAAACATTATCACCTCCCCGAAGCCTTCCTCACATACCCTTCCAGTCACTGCCTCGCCCAGGGCAAACATCATGCTGATGTCTAATACCGGGGACTGGTCTACCTGTTGCGTTTCATATAAAGGGAATCACACACCATACTCTCTTCTGTGTCTGTTTTCTTTCTTTTAACACTATTCCCATCATCAGATCCCTCATGTATGGATGTGGTTGTAGACTGTGCGTTCTCATTGTTGTATAGTATTTCATTGTGTAAATAGAACACAACCAAATAAATAGTAATATTTATCTGCTTTGCTGTTGATGGGAATGTGTAACCTCAACATTGGTTGTTTTTTGTTTGTTTGCTTTTATCTTAAGAGACAGGGTCTTGCTGTGTTGCCCAGGCTGGGGTACAGTGGCTATTTTCAGATGCAATCAGAAATGCACTGTAGTCTTGAACTCCTAGCCTCAAGCAATCCTCTCACCTCAGTCTTCTGAGTAGCTGGGACTGCAGGCACCTACCACCATGCCTGGCTTCAACTATTTCTGATAGGCTTGCTGCTTGCTGGTGCCTTTAGAATTCTGTCCTGTGCTATCATTAGGCATTTCCTAAAACTCAAACCACCTCTGCATATCATGAAGGGAATGCTATTCTGAAAAAGACTTCCTTCAAAACTCTCAGCTGTGGTGACTGTGTTGGAATCAGACTGAGGTTTCAAAATCATTCTCTTACGTCTAAGAGGGAGAGAGTTTTCTTGGGGGTTCCAGGGAGGAGGAAGAGGTTCCAATTCTCCTGTACCAATCTTCGTCTACTAAAGATGGCTCTCTGGGCATGGAAAGGCTCCCTTTTGGGTCTGCAGCTATGATCGATCAACAATATTTGCTGCTGGAGAGAGCAAGTGCCCTCTGATATTATGTTCAATCTTCATTACATAGACAAGGAGCTAAAGCCTGGTCAAGTTAGGGACAGAACTGGGCATAAACTCATTCTCTCTGGGTGTTGCTGAAAAATCATTGACTTGTTGGTTAATTACATGACAACATGAAGACCTGTTAGCACCTGTCAGGGAAAGACCTGTGGAGGCATAAGTTATTCTTCCTTCTTCTCAGAGAAGTCTGGTTAGGAAAAAGAAAAAAACAAAAGGCCAAGCCAGTGTGCCGGGGCTTCAGCCATCCCCCTGCCACCCTCCTTCCTCCATTGCCAGCGCCATTTCCAGGCTGGCTGCTCTTGCAGAGAAACCCAGCTCTGGGGCCCAGGTCCAGAGGAGAAATCACTCCCTGCCTCACTTAAGAAAACACTCTCCTGTCTCCATCAATCAGTGGGTTCCCGCTCACAGCCCTTCATGCCGTCGCCTCCCCAGGAGACCCAGATGTTTTATTTACGGGCTGGTCTCTTTAGGAGGAGGCCGAGTCAGGCATACATTTTGCTTCCTATTATTCGTGAGCCTTAGGTAGAGGGAGGCTGCAGTGGCAGATAAGAGAAGCCTTCAATCAAATCTTGATGAAATAAACCAATTAGAGAGATTACACCTCCATAATAATGTTAATTGTACAGACTGGAAATCGCAGCCTTCCTGGCTGACTCTGCTTCTGGCTGCAGGAGGAATCTTTCAGCATCTCCAGAAATCAATGGCAGTCCCTGCCTGTCTGGTGAAGGGGCAGAACCACTGCCAGAGGAGCCCAGGGTTTCCCTCCAGGAGGACCCAAAGCCTTAGTTCTGAGATGCTCTTGCCAGTCCTATTGCAAGGACTAGGAGTGTGCCCAGGGCCCTAGAAAAGACTGATCCTCCCACCCCTAGTCCCTGTCCACCACTCATCTTCCCATTGCACCCACTGCAGCCAACAAATGTCCATACAAATTCTCCAGGGGCCCCCTACCTATGTGGGAATCAGAATAAAACCCATTCATTCACGTGTTCAGTTTTATTTATTAGGAGACATTTATTAGGAGGTTCCTCTATGCCAGGCACTGTTCATAGCAATGAAAAAAAAAAACACACAGAGCTCCTGCCCTCATGGATCTTACATTCAGTGAAGGGAAGAGCCAATAAGCAAACACAAGTCTTCATTAGTATATTGGATGGTGAGAAGTGCTACGGAGGAAAATGAGGCTGGGAAAGGTAGCACTGGTGGGAAGAAGAGCCCAGTAGTATTGTGTGCACCATTCTCAGAGATGTATCCCCTAAAAAATTGATGTTTGAGCAGAGTTGGAAGGAGTGAGAGAGGCAGCCAAGGAAGGACTCCAGGCACAGGGGGCAGAGCCAGCCACAGAGAACTCCAGGCACAGGGGGCAGAGCCAGCCACAGAGGACTCCAGACACAGGGGGCAGAACCAGCCATGGGAGGACTCCAGGTTCAGGGGGCAGAGCCAGCCATGGGAGGACTCCAGGCACAGCAGGCAGAGCCAGACACAGAGACTCCAGACACAGGGGGCAGAGCCAGCCACAGAGGACTCCAGACACAGGGGGCAGAGCCAGCCATGGGAGGACTCCAGGTTCAGGGGGCAGAGCCAGCCATGGGAGGACTCCAGGAAGAGGGAGGAGAGCCAGCCACAGAGGACTCCAGGGGCAGGGTCAGAGCCAGTTACGGGAGGACTCCAAGCACAGCAGACAGAGCCAGTTATGGGAGGACTGCAGGCGCAGGGGACAGAGCCAGCCATGGAGGACTCCAGGCACAGGGGGCAGAGCCAGTTATGGGAGGACTCCAAGTGCAAAGGACAGAGCTAGCCATGGGAGGACTCCAGGCACAGCAGACAGAGTCAGTTATGGGAGGACTCCAGGCACAGCAGACAGAGTCAGTTATGGGAGGACTCCAGGAACAGCGGACAGAGCCAGTTATGGGAGGACTCCAGGCACAGCAGACAGAGTCAGTTATGGGAGGACTCTGGGCACAGGTGGCAGAGCCAATTACGGGAGGACTCCAGGCACAGCGAACAGAGCCAGTTATGGGAGGACTCCATGCACAGCAGACAGAGTTAGTTATGGGAGGACTCCAGGCACAGGGGGCAGTATGCACAAACACCCAGAGGCAGAAAGAAGTTCACGTGGTGAAGGTCCCTAGATGGTTGAGGCAGAGTGATTGACACAGTTGTGTGTGGCAACCTAATACACGTCTTTATCTCCTGATGGGTTATGAGATCCAGGGAGACAAGCTCTGTTTTATCACCTGCTTTTTCCCTCTCTATTGTAGCCTGTGCCCCAGCACATTGCCTGCACATGGTAAGTGCCCAATAAATATTTGTTGATTTAATGAATTGTTAACCAACTAATGAGGAAAATGAGCGTGTAGAAAGCTCCCTGTACCAAGGTGAGGGTTGGTGCAGATGTTGAATAGGAAAAGAGGCTGGGACCTGGGCCTAGGAAGAGAGAGGTGGGAGGCAAATTTCCTGGGGCCTAAGCCAGGCTCTGGGCTGGGTGGCAGAGAGGTCTGTTGCCCCACTTCCCTGGTTGCATCAGCATCTTGCCAGCCCCAGCCTTCAGGACCTGTAACAGAAAACAGCTGGCTAAAGAGAGAACAACAGTGGTATTCTCCTTACCTGAGGCAATTCCTGACATAAACCCTATAAAGTCACTCT
Source organism: Homo sapiens (assembly GCF_000001405.40). NCBI lineage: Eukaryota > Metazoa > Chordata > Mammalia > Primates > Hominidae > Homo > Homo sapiens. The sequence continues at coordinate 39,649,840 of NC_000020.11, read as the reverse complement.
GATGAACAGAGTTGATGAATCTATGTATTATCGAGTTGGTAGTTATACCACCACATGGGAATTTGACATAGCATGCAAGGAGTGTATATATATAATTGATAAAGTACGCTTTAAAATGTAAATAAAGCAACTATGAAATGCCACACGTATATTCAGTTAGTAAAAATATAAAATAAAATGCTAATTTTGAATGCTGGCACAGAGACTATGAAACTGTCATTAATTAGTGGTTGGCAGAGTATATTTTGGCAACACTTATTCAGAAAATAACTTGGCAATTGATTGCCAAGACAAACAAAAAAAAAGTTCATACATTTAATTCAGTAATAACAATACTGGGAATGTACTCAGTAAAATACCTAAATATAGAAAAACTATATGTTTGAAAATACACATTCCAGAATGAATTATAGTAGTGAGAAAACTTACAAACAACCTAGCCATCCAAAAATAGAGATACAGTTAATTTAAATTAGTGTATATATATATATATATATAGTCACTGAAATTTTATGCAACAACTACAGTTAAAATTTTCTAGCTAAAATGGGAACACAGAAGCATGCTTATAAAAGAAGGAGCTAAATAAGTGGATATTTAGCAACACGAATGATATTTCAAGTATATATTTGCATCTAGACAAAGACACAAAGTGAACAAGCAGAGATAAAAGTTGTCATTTTGTTTGGCAGATGGCAATACATATATTTAAGTAAAGCAAGTGTGCTCTAAGTTAAGCACTGGTGTTACCAAGAGTTTCTCTCTTGACCTGCTATGAAACAGACATAGAGCCGACACAACATTAAGTAAAGAGGAGAAAGCTGAGGTACAAAGAGAGCGAGACACTTGTCCAAATCTCACTCAGAAACTGTGCAGTGGTCATTGATGGTCCTTACGGTTCAAACTCAACTGAGGACTTTTTTTTTATTTCAATAGATTTTGGGGTATAAGTGATTTTTGGCTACTTAGATGAATTGTCTGGTGGTGAAGTCTGAGATTTTAGTGCACCTGTCACTCAAGTAGTATCCATTGTGCCCAATAGGTAGTTTTTCATCCCTTGCCTCCCTCCTACCCTCCCCATTCTGAATCTCCAATGCTCATTCTGGGTGTGCCTTTTGTACCCACAGCTTAGCTCCCACTTGTAAGTGAGGTCATGTGGTATTTGTTTTCCATTCCTGAGTTACTTCACTTTGGACCTTTCTTTTTTAATACACATGTCCCGGTCAGAATTTCTAGGATAATGTTGATTCAGTGAGGCCATGGAGTTTGTACTTTTAAACAGCTCCCCAGTGATTGTGTTACCAACTGGGGCTGGTAGCCACTAACAGGAGACCTGAGAACCAGTTATCCAGATAGGAGTCAGGGAAATACTGGGTAGAAGAGGGTGGTTCCCCAGCAAAGGCCTCACCCTCAAGCCTGAAAACCCGCAGCCCTAAATGAGGACAGGCATTTCTGTTTTTGCACCCAAAAACTTGCCTTTTGGCCTGCCATGCCCCCTGATCCTGCTGCCATATAAACCTGAGACCTTATCGGTCACACACACAAGCAGCTGAACATCAAGAGGAGCCACGGAGAGTGGCAGAGAGCAGCGGACAGCAGCAGGGTGGCACAGCAGAGAAGGAGCTAAGGGGCACCTGAATGTTGAGAGGAGTTCAGCTGAGAACAGCCAAACTCCAGGGGAAGATTATCTCCCCCACCCCTCCACCTTCCAGCTTCCCATCAGTCTCGCTGAGAGCCACCTCCACCACTCAAAACCCTGCACTCATTCTTCAAGCCCACATGTGATCT